>NC_000011.10:105960303-106263333 GCF_000001405.40 Homo sapiens | reverse complement strand
AACAAGGCAGTTAACCTTTTGGGAAAACAGTTTTGATTTTGGATTAAGAAGGTCATGATTATGTCTCTCCCACATTGAATATTATAATTCCAAACAACTTTTTCATGTGTTAGTGGACATTTTTAATAACTGACAGAATATTTCCTGGGCTTCTATATTTTAAGTCCTTGGAGAACAGAGTGGTTCTATTTTGAGAAAATACCGCATTGATAACCCTGAACTCTTCTGGACATGGAATTCACAGAATGTTAAATATGAGATAATTTCAACTCTTTTTAGAAAGTTAGACTGTAGCTTTAGCATGAACTCACTATCACTTCTCAGGGTGTCTACGAGAGAAGTATTCGCAACAACAGTTCAACACTATGACCTCATAGCTATCAATTTAGTTTGCATATAGTTGCCCCTGGTGGCTCATATCTGTGTTACAAATAGGAATAATTCACTATTCTTTACTTCTTGAAAAGCTCATATTGAAGTACAGCATTTGGCATGTGAGTAAAAATAACACAATCTGCTAAATGTCATAATAAAACAAATGGTTTTGTAAGAAGTGCTCAGGTAGCACCCAGGGAGAAAGGTGTGTCTCTGCTTCAAAGGGCCATCCCACTCGTCAAAGCATGGGCAACTGGAGCCAAAGAAAGGAAGAAAAAGCATAATATTAGTTTACTATATTAGTATAGTTTTAAAAATACCTGTTGGATCTGAAAAGAAAATTGAGAGGTCAATGGAAAGAGGCAGAGCAATATAACAGAAGACCTTAGCATTTAGAGCAAAATCTGAATTGTATCTGAGGTCTTGGCTCTGTTACTTACTGGATATGTGGCTTAGAGTGGCTAACTACTCTCAGGCTCTGTTGCCTACCTACTCTCAAGAAGAGAAATATCTACTTCACTTGACTGCTGAAAAGAATTTGGATGAAATGATTCAGCATATAATCTATCATGGGTCCTAACTCAGTAACTGGTAAGTACATTGGTTCCACTTAAATATAACTTTGGAAGCATCGATGACAATAGAACACAGATCCACTGATGTTTTTTCTATACTGTTGATTATTTTCTTCTAAATCTTCCTGTAATTTTTGCACTGAATATTCCAGTATAGGCCTTTGGGAAAAAATAAAAAGGAGGACAGATCCCATGAAAAACAGGCAGCAGACTCAAAACCAATTCCTTCAGCACATAATCATTTACAACTTCAATTGCAACTTTCAGAAAAGTTAAGCATTGATTGTCTCATAGTAAGACATGTGCCTAAAGGCCCTAAAAAGAAAAACTAATAACAGAAAATATATGTAATAAGTGTTAGCTTAACCATCAAGCTTAAGGAATGAACAACTGTCAAAAAAGTTCAATTTAGGGTGATATAACTAAAATGTTTTTCTGTGGCACTTTATATGAAAGAAATATGAACCAGAAGCAACTTACTACCCAGAATATGACACTATATAAAAACATACACATATAAATCAAGGTTTGCAAATCTCTTGAGATTCACATAAAAGTAGATATCCAAGGAAGATGGTTCTTGATATGACATCAGGATATAGCCCAACAAACTTGAGGAAACTTTGACCCATAAAACTCTAGTTGTATAAAATAAATCTAAAAGCCTCAATGAGCACCCAAAAATTTGCACTATGATTAATAAGGGCTCAGCATTGTTCTTTCTCTGGACTTTAAAATCCTTTATCTAAAACTAATGAAAGTGGTAGAATTCAGAGTTCAGAGTGAAAGTCAAGCCTCAGACCTGGGAGAAGCCTGTATTTCATTTATTTGAAGTAAAGACTTGAGGGCTATAAACCTCATGCACTGTCTCTTCATCTCCCTCCAGAATATATTTTAACATACCATTTGATATAACATACTACATGGCCTTAAATAGCAGCCTTTTTGTAGATTCGGACTAATTGGGCTTTCAACTGAATGTTGCTGTGAAACTGATGGCCTTACTATCAGCAGCGAGCTGGCTATTTTTAATCCAAACACAGAGAAAATGCAATGACAAATATGAAAAAATCTTTAAGCAAATAGACCTTAGAATGTTTAATGTTTATAAGTTTGCAGATTTCTTTGGTTTTGTTTTTACATAACAATATCTAACGTTAACTTTAGAAGCTGACTTGTGGGAAGGGACAGGAAAGGTAGTCCCTAAATGATTAAACAACTTCATTCATGAAGCATGAGGTTTAACCAGCAAGGTTTTGAGTAGATACTTTATTTCTCTTCCTTAGATTCTTCATTTTTAAATGAGGAGGTGTCCCTAAAAGATATGTAAATTCCATCTGGCTCCAAATTAAATTATCATTCACAGCACAGGGTCCCCAGCCTCATAGGGGCCTGTTAGGAACTGGGTGGTACAGCAGGAGGTGAGAGGCTGGCAAGCAAGCGAAGCTTCATTTGTATTTACAACTGCTCCCATCACTCACATTATTGCCTGAGTTTCACCTCCTGTCAGATCATTGGCAGCATTCGATTCTCATAGAAGTGCAAACCCTATTGTGAACTACACATGCGAGGGATCTAGGTTGCACGTTCCTTATGAGAATCTAAGGCCTGATGATCTGTCACTGTCTCCCATCACCCCCAGATGGCAGATATCAGTGACAGATATCATCAAGCATTACATAATGCAATATAATAATAATAGAAATAAAGAGCACAATAAATGTAATACACTTAAATCATCCCCAAACCATCCCCCATCCCTGTTCGTGGAAAAATTGTCTTCGACAAAACCAGTCCTTGGTACCAAAAAGTACCTTTGTGACCCATGACTTATGGTATTGGGAATCCTAATTATTTCATTTCTCTATCTCTAAAAACCATTTACTTATTCGTTTTTTACAAATATTTTTACATTTATTACAAACTCTATAAATATTTATTAAGTACCTAATATGTTCCAGGCACATAAATACTGGAGATAATGCCACGACCGAAACAGCAAAAATCTCTTCTGCCCTGAAATTAATATTCTACTGGGAATAAAAAATATAAACAAAAGCAAGTCAGAGGATGATAAATTTAAAACAAGGAAGAAGGAATAACTTCAGTAGGGTAAGATATGACAATTTTAAATAGAAAACTTCACTAAAAAGATGACATTTAACCAAAGAGCTGAAGGAAGTAGGAGGCGAGGCATGTGGAAATCTGGGAGAAAAACATGCCAGGGAAAGGCAAGTGCATATGGCCTGAGACAAGAGCAAGCATGTACATCTTCCGGGAACCACTAGGAGCCCAGCGTGAGTGGAGTGGAATGAGCAAGGAGATCAGTAGAAGGTGAGATTATGGCGGTAATAGGAGACACAGCTGAGGATTTAAGTCCTTGGAGGTCACTGTATGAATGCTGTGTTTAACTCTGAGAGATGGGAAGCCATGAGCAGCAGGTGTAACATGACCTGCCTCCCTTTGGCTGCTTTGCTAAGACAGATCGCAATGGGCATAAGGTGGGCAGAAGAAACAGAGGATGGCTCGGACCAGGATTGTGACAATGTGGGTGGTAAGTGGTCAGATTCTGAATATATCAAGAAAGTATTGCCAACAAGATTTGCTATTGGATTGGATATGGGTGTAAGAGAGAGAAGTCATAGATTATTTCAAAATGCTTGGCTTCAGAAATTGGAAGTATGCTAGTAGAAAGACCAGAACCAGGCAGTCTGGCTTTGCAGTCCAACTCTGCCACTGTGACACTAGGCAAGTAAGTATTTTCCTCCATTCTGCATTGCAAAATAGAAGTAATAATAATGCCAACCTCACATGGTGTTGAGGATTATGTGAGTGAATATAAAAAAATTATTAAAATAGTACTTGCCACATAGCCCCATGTAAATGTTTGCTATCATTATTACCATGATGTTGGGAAAAATTATAGGGACCAGATTTGGGGAAAGAAGTTCAGGATTTAGTTTGGGGGCATGTGAGGTTTGAGACAAGATTCCTATCTGCAATCCAAGTGGAGCTGTTGGACAGTCAGATTCACATATATATGAATCTACAGGTTAAGTGTTATCAATGTATAGAAGCAACTGAAAACATAATACTGGATGAGATAACAAAGAGAAGAGTTATAAAAATATTGCCCTGGAGAACATGAAGGGAGGGAGAATATAACAATGTCCTAGAAGCCAAATAAATCAATCATTTCAAGGAGGAGGCAGTGATCAGCTTAACCAAATGTTTCTGAGTGCTCAAATAAGAAAAAGACTGAGAATTTTCTATTGTATTTAGCCATGCAGAGGTCCTCAATCAAGAGCTTTCTCATAGAGGTGTTAAGGGTGAAGACTAGAAGGAAGAATTGGAAGTAATAAACAAAGTCAAGTCTTTTTAAAAGTTTTGCTCTGAAAGGCAGTAAAGAAATACAGTATTACTTGAAAAATGAGATCAAGAAACATTATATTAATGTGGGGAAAATGGCAGCATATTTGTATGCTGATAGGAATGGTGTAACAGAGAGGGAAAAATTAATGATGCAGAAGAGAGAGGAGACAAAGATAAATTATTCTCATCCTGCCCCTTGCAACTAGACAGACAGGAAAGGTGGGCCATGGGAAGCCTCAGTGTGATTTGAGGTACTCAAGGATGGGGATCCCCAAGCTCCGCAGAAGTGCAAAGGTGAGCATGGATGTTCCTGCCACTACAGGAAGAACTACTCATTACTTATGCTTTCTGGGCAATTGCGAAAATGTTGTTGACCCAGCCCATTCCTCTCCAGTTTAGAGTAAGAAAGCCACTGGAGAACTGAAGCCTCAGGCAGCCGGTATGTCTTCCTCTGCAGGAATATTGGCCTTTCCTTAGTGGAAACTCAATACACAGTTCCTCCCAAGTGCTAAGAGACTTTACTAGAATTAGATCATCTAACCCTCCGTACCAATGACAGGAGTATCACAATTATTTCTATTTTAGAAATGCAGGAACTAGGGTCTTCTGTAGATAAATAAACTGCTCAGGAGATTTGAACTGAGATCTGACTTCAGAGCCTGAGCACTTCCGCTTCAGTCTACCTGCTTCACCACCTAACCCCTTCCATGCATGTCTTACTCAAGGACACAAAGCAGTTGCAGAAAGAGAACCAAATCTGAAACTCACTTCTCTTCTCTGAAGAAAAATAATTCAAGATTTCCTTGAATGGAAAAAGGGAGTGCTGAAATGG
The DNA here is from genome assembly GCF_000001405.40 of Homo sapiens. NCBI lineage: Eukaryota > Metazoa > Chordata > Mammalia > Primates > Hominidae > Homo > Homo sapiens. Next base: position 106,258,179 of record NC_000011.10, on the reverse strand, counting down.
ACTCACATGTTTATATAACACTGGGACATAATTTTACTCTGTCATTAACTAGTCTTGTGAACACTGATAAAGGTACATTTCATGACACCTTCAAAATGCTACTTGCCTGCCTTACAATTACTCGCCATTGTCTCAGAAGATTGAAAGTCCAATAGTGAATTAATGTGAAAATCATCACTGAGCCCCAGAACTGCACAGTATTTTCCAAGGAACACTCACAAAGCCTAGGTTTTGCAGTTACTGTCAAAAGTCTGACATTAGACTGGATATGTGGGAATCTGATAGAGGAAGTCCCATACTCCCAGAGAACCTAGAAGCCAGGGACCCTGAATTCTTCCCTTAAGAGTAGCATCAGATCCTTCTCCTAAAGATCTCTCCTTTTCTTTTTAATAAGAGGAACATAAAACTGGATCAATCAGTTAAGACTTATAGAGTCCCTGCTGTGTGCTGTTCTAGATGAGACAGGTACATATTCTGCCCTTCTTTGTGTAACTTTAATCAAGAGACACAATTTCTCAAATTTCATTTTCTCCTTCTGCAACATGAAAATTGTCAGATTTGATTTAAAAAGGATTCTAATATTTCAAAAGCTGTGTTCCTTTTCTAACTCTCACATTAGCCAGCACAGAGAAGGCACACAGAGATACTCCTAACATGCCAGGTGCCTTAGGTGGGCTGAACCCTAGACACCAAAGAGTAAGTGGCCTCAGGTAAATGTATTTCCTCTCTCAACTACTTTTCCTTGTAATATTGGAATAATAGTAGCTCCCTCAAAGGACTGGTGAAAATTAAATGAATAATGTAAAACACCTGTTTTATCGTAATGTGCTTTGTGCTCTTCAAGTTAAAGGTGGATTAATTTTAAGTTACTTTCAAATCCTTCATTTCTAGTTCTATAGAAACTATCATGTTTTCTTAGGGCCAAGGGAGGCAGATCTTTCCATTAATATCTAACCTCTTGGGAATTTTCCAGAACGCTTTTATCTGCTCCAAACACAAAGGACCATATATTAAGCATTCTAACTTCATCATCTTTCAAATGGGCTAACAGAGAGTTCAATGAATTGTATACTGTTTATTTAATGACTAATCTGGCAACCGTAATGCAGCATGAAAATGATTTCTGTTAGAAACAAAATGAAAAAAAAATTAAAATTTCAAACATTTTTTCAGTTTTTACTGTCTTTTTATAGGGCAAACTTTGGCTTTGAAGAAAATTATGCTCTACATCTATGTTTGCTTATAATTTACCTTGAAGAAAATTGAACTTTGCCACTATATCTGTCCTTATATGGCAGCTTACAGAGATATTTACCTGTTTTATCTCCTTTAATTTTCAGAAAGGGAAAAAAATTATCCCCATTTTACCATTGTAGAAGTTGAAATTCAGATAAATGAGGTAATATGTACTTCACATGGCTAGCTTACTGTGTAACAGAGATTCAATCCCTTGATGTCATACTTTGTTACTAGTCCTTTTTACTACACCGGGTAACCGATTTCTGAAGACCTTTGATGTTCTCACCACCTTATTCACCATGTTCTTATGGTATGTTTTATCTGACAATATTACACTAAAATTTGATGAATTATTTATTCATCAAATAATTATTTTTCCTCTCTTATCAGGTGTTTTCCTAAGATTAGGACTGTAATAACCATAAACAGACATACTTGCAAAAATAAATGCGAAGTTAGAACTGTCATTAGTGTCATGAAGAAGTATATGATGCTGGTCACATATAATGGGAGGATTTTATCTAGTCTGGGGCATAGAATCAGAAAAGGCTTCCTGAAAAAGAGGTAACTGAGCTAAAATCTGAAAGCTAACTGGCAGCAAACCAGGCACAAGAAGAGTGTTCCAGGCAGATGAAATGGCATACACAAGGACAGTGGAAGGAGAGGGGAAGAGTCACAAAGAACTGAGAAAAGACCAGGGAAGCCAGAGCAGAAACCAACGAGGGAGAGGGGTGGTATAATGTGAAATGAGACAACACACAACAGGAATTTTTAGAAATAGATTTTATCTTTTAGAGAAGGTTCACAGAAGAGAGGAAAGTTCAGAGATTTCCCATACACCCCCTACCCCGAGACATGCATAGCCTCCATTATCGACATCCCTCACCAGAGTGGTACATTTTTTTCAATTCATGAACCTACATTGACACGTTACCACCCAAAGTCCATAGTTTACATTGGGGTTCACTCCTGGTGTTGTAACTATATGGATTTTAAGCACTATAATATGAAAAATGATTTCTCTCTTTCTCTTGTTGATTTAACATATATTGATAGAGTACTCATCATATACCAGGCACTGGAGAGCCAGTAATGACCGATAACAGCCCCTGCACTCACACACTTAGAGTTTTCACCAGAATACATGAAATAGGTCACTGAAATTCAACTCTATGACAATTTCAGGATGCTGGAAGTATATCTAAGAGGGACTTCTAATCTAGACTGGAAGGTTGGGAAAGCATCAGCTGGGACCTAAACATGAATGAATGTTAGCCATAAAAAGTAGGGAAGTGTTTCATAAGCCAAGGTAACAGAGTAGAAGGTCTACAGGTAATGGACTAAACCATAGAGTAAAAGTGGGGCTTAGAGATGAGGATGGAGATTTAGTTAGAAGCCAGCATGGGTCTCATAAATTATGTTAGAGAATGTGGTTTCTCCTAAATCACTGGAACTTTTTAGAAGAGAATAAATCAGATTAATTTATGTTTTCTCTCTGACTGTAGAATTGAAAATGCTTTGAATTGGACACCACAGAAGGCAGGAATATATATATATATATATATATATATATATATATATATATATATATATATATATATATATATATTTATGAAAGCTATTACTATAGTCAAGACATAAGGTATGGTGACCTGAACTGGAACAGCTACAGTGGGGATAGAGAGAGATAGATGGACTCATGCCACATCCAGAAGGTAGAATAAATAGAATGTGCTCTTTTGCAGAAACTGCCTTTGTTTTAGCACATCGCCTGAAATGCCTGCAGCCCCTTCTAGTGGAAATGACTCTGCCCATAGCCTCTGCTAAAGAAACAGCTACAATCTGCACATGTGATGCCATTACCCAGCAGGTCCAGGTCACTAGAGGAAGGGAATCTTATTGGATAAAGGCTGAGTATCTGACCCAGAGCTAGGATCTAATCTGTCTTAAATAAATTCATATTGTCTCTCCTGAGGATTAAAGTCAATAAATACAAAGAAAATAAGGCAAATCACAAAATACAATCTAAAATTATGAGAAAGTCGAGCCACATGTAGAGCAACATTAAGTTAGAACCCTAGAATGAAAAGCCTTATATCCCAAGCTTCCGAGCTAACTTAACCCACCTTGGTCTTAGAATCCTGCTTCAGCTACTACTCTTCCTTTGGTTATCTGGCTCTTTCTGATATCCCATGCCTGCATATTGCTGCATCAAATCCCCCACTGTTTGAGAAAATCTGAGTTAGTCTCAAATTCTTGAAGCCAAGTTAGTTTAACAAAAACAGTCCATGATACATCTCTTGAAAAGGCAAACATCAGCCATCCTCCAAAGTACTGAAACAACGCAATTTTTTTTCAAAAACCATTCCCATAGATAGCTCTGTTTAACTGGTAGTTATCTTCAAGAGCATACAGGAAGATTAGATTTAATGGAAGTGACTGGTTGTTCCATATTTGAGTGAGAAATGAATAAGAAAAGGGGACTTCCATTGTAGTTAGAGGAATTTAGATTGGATTTTTCTTTAAAAGTAATGATATTTTATGCTAGAAAGGCTACGTAATAAATCTTCTCTGGATGAAATAGATAGCAAGTCATTTTAGAAAAGTATTAGACTTTTTAAAACTGAAGTTCAATATATGTGCTACTCTCTCCAGGGCTCCATGAGCCATGATAGTTGCACTTATGGTGAATGAAGATCAGCTCATCAGCTCTGATGGACACAGAGGCCCAGGTAGCCCTTCGGAAAAGGTTACAGCTTGCAGATCTTTAGTTCATGTGGTGGGAGGGAGCTTGAAGAAAAGACACAAGATCAGCATTTAGTGTCAGAATGCCTCCACTGAAGGTTTGGCTCTATGCATTCTAAGTTTCTATTTTAGAATTTTTAACATAGAGATAGAAAGCTTTGCATGGTTACTGTGAGCATCACAAAGAGTTGCCATGTAGAAAGCATCATATATACTGGACATCACTATACACTGTTCATATTTATGATAAGAAGAGTTTTCTTACAGAATAAGGAAAACTACTGGTGAAACTCACATACAATAGCAGTTAAAAACATAAACTTTGGGATCGGATGGGCCTAACTTTGAGAATCCACTTGTTATAACACTAATCCCATAATATTGGACCAGTAAAACTCTTCAAGACTCAGAGCATCAGCTATAAAATGGGGTAAAATGGCACCTGACCTCATAAGCCATTTAGTTTTGAGACCATACAGTATTAAGCCTTCTAATTCATGCATATTATATACTCTAAATACTAATTTTAATAGCAGCAGCAGTAGTGAGTGGGTTTTCAAATATTATTTATAAACATCTCAGATCCTGTAACATTTTGTATTGCCTATCCCAAGAAGTAACTCAGAATGGGCAACCTTGACTATAAATCTAATTTTTATAGCAACTAGCAATATGCTTCATTTATGTGACACAATAGTTTCCTCTTTGCTAGCAAAAGGAAATGTCCTCTTTCCTCTTTCATAGTAAAAGAAAACATAGCCACTTTTTCCAGCCACTAATATGTAGTTGTCATTTAGGGAGAGTGCAGGACTGGTGGGCTGTCATGAGGAAACACATTCTCTTAACATAGTGTTCAATTTATTGCTTAGAGTCTTCTAATTTAGTTTAGAGATAAGACTGGCAAGAAGAAAATATTCTATTCTATAATAAATGAACACCTACATCCTTAGAGGTTGTAATTTTGACTCCCACTTGTTTTCATGTATCCAGTCATTCAACAAATATTGATTGGCACTGGATTAAACACTGGCTGTTTAACAGCTAGCAAGATTCACATGGTCCCTGCCTTCAACAGCTAGCAGTCCACTGAGTGCACAGGTAAAATAACCAACAATTACAATACTGTGTTTTAAAAGCTACGATAGGATAAATATGTTTTATGACTACCTAGGAAGGACATTTGGCTCATCAGACTCATTAGGAAGCAATGCCATATGAAAACACTGGATTTGTCTCTTCTCCTTTATTAGATTACAGACAGGTGCTCTTGACAAAATCTGGCTTACTTTATCTTTGAATTCTCTGTAGTATCTGAATTATCACTTAGCACAAGTACTTGCCTGGGGTGTATCCAGCTGATTTTCTGAGGCTCACTCAGTATCTATCCCAATCTTCTTATAGTATCCTACAAGGTTGAAAAACTAAAAATAAGATTTCCCAGACTCCTTTACGTACATGGTTATGATTGTGACTTGGATTAGGCCAGTTAGATACAATCACAATGATTTGTTTTGGAAATGGTTAAATGCAAACAGAAGTAGTACAAAATCTGATACAGGTGTAGACTATAGCAGACACATGGGTTGGAGCCAACAAATTTGACAATGACTTCCTGGGTCATAGTCAAGGTAGTATGAACCTGAGGCCAGCAGTTTGAATAGCAGCTTCCTGACTCCATGACTTTTCAATTGTGACAAAGATGACAGCTCTCTTGGTGGGCAAGTTCTGCAGGGTAACTCTTATTCTACAGTCATTTCTAGAGGCCCAGCCTAAGGGTTGCTTTTCCAGCACTTTGAACAATGTTGTAGCCAACTAACTCCTTATACTAAGTCCCTTTCTGCTCAAACTCGCTGGAACTATCTCTGCTATCTGCAACTGAACCTTATTGCAGCCTTTTAAGCAAAACTTAAATTTTTCAGAAACATATACTAATCTCCATAGTCAATACATAAAGCACTATAAAGTATAATAAGACCACCCACTGAATGTGAAAATAGCAAGAATGAGCACACAATGGCACATTTAATCAACTACATGAAGAATTGTGCTTAAGATGGTCTGTGAATTCATTTGTCAGTAGTTTGGAGCCACTCAAGGCCAATCAATGTGGCTCTGTTGCATGCTTAGAACTGGCATGTAACAAGTAGGCAGTCTAATCTATCCTATTTAAGAATGTGTTCTGGGTCGGGTGCAGTGGCTCACGCCTGTAATCCCAGCACTTTGGGAGGCCGAGGTGGGTGGATCACGAGGTCAGGAGATCGAGGCCATCCTGGCCCACATGGTGAAACCTCGTCTCTACTAAAAATACAAAAGTTAGCCAGGCATGGTGGCATGTGCCTGTAGTCCCAGCTACTCGGGAGGCTGAGGCAGGAGAATTGCTTGAACCAGGGAGGCAGAGGTTGCAGTGAGCCGAGATTGCACCACTGCACTACAGCCTGGGTGACAAAGCAAGACTCTGCCTCAAAAAAAAAAAAAAAAAAAAAAAAGAATGTGTTCTGGTCATCACAGGTCTAGAAAGAAGGAAGTCAATAAGCAGAAACAGGTCAGTGTGTCTTTCACATCTTAGAAATGGAGACCCGATCAACAGACAAGACAATCAGCCTCCCTTGGAAGGTATGATTCTGTTGGTTAAGAGCACTTGGTTGGAAGATTCTCCACCTAATTCTCTTGTGTCTGTTTGTTACCGGGGGGTCCTTGCTCCCAGAGCTCCCAAGATGGTGGTGGGCTGCTTCCAAGATGGTGGCAAGTCTCATGTTCTCTGACCTGGGGTTCTTGGCCTCACAGATTCCAAGGAATGGAATCTTGGGCCATGCAGTGAGTGTTATAGTTCTATTAGAAGCCATGGGTCACAGAAGAGAACCATGGAACCTGGTGACTAGTGTTCAGTTCCATTAGGACGAACCCAGGCACTTAGCCGTGCAGGAACAATGGCAAGCCTTTAGCCTGATCGGGAGCAGCAATGGGCCCCTCACTGGATTAGGACAGTGGATACCCTGCCAGATCCAGAGGGATAGACGTCAGTGGTGGGTCTGCGACAGTAGCAAACAGCAGTGGTGGGCAGCGAGCAAAAGCTCTGTTCGAGCCATAACAAACACGGACCAGAAGAGAATGCAGTTGCAAGATTTAATAGAGTGAAAACAGAGCTCCCCTACAAAGGGAGGGGACCCAAAGAGGGTAGCCATTGCTGGCTCGGATGCCTGGGTTTATATCGTGATCATTGTCCCTCCCCCTGTGCTCTCAGGTGATTGATGATTGGCTATTTCTTTACCTCCTGTTTTAGCCTAATTAGCATTTTAGTGAGCTCTCTTTACTATCTGACTGGTCAGGTTTGAGCTAAGTTGCAAGCCCCATGTTTAAAGGTGGATGCGGTCACCTTCCCAGCTAGGCTTAGGAAATCTTTCTTGGCCTAGGAAATCCAGCTAGTCTGTCTTTCATGTTTCCAGATTACAGATTTGTAAAATATCTAGCTAGCTGCCCATCACATGGTAAATATTTTACATACCTAAATTCACTTTCTTCTTTCACCCTAGTCTTTCTAAATCCATTGTATATATGAAAAGGCTGAGGCTTATGGAAAGTAAGTAATATATCCCAGGTCCCACAGCCAAGTAGTTGGCAGAGCCAGAATTCGCTGACTCTTTGATGCTACATGCAGAATCTTGAATGGCATTTTATATTATGCTGCTTCCCACAAAAAATTCTCATCCAGGGAGAGAATGCATTGACCAACTAATATTAATATTCAGGTCCTCTTGCAAACCAGAGTTCTCTGTAAAATAATTGTGTCTGGTTGTAAAGTAGTCCCTTGTGAATAGGAATACCATGATTTCTCACACCTCATCCACTTCCTCAGACATGTTGCATCAATTACGTACATTTTAGGGGACCAACAAAGTTAAGAACAGTCTCAGGAACATGCCAAACCTACCAAAATGTCATCCTTGGTGGCCAGCCTGAACAGCAAACAAGCCTCTTAAGTTATTCCTTTTCTTCTAAAGCCACAGACTTTATCTTTCTTTCTCCTCCCTCTGTCTCCAGGAGGCTGTTGTGTTTTATGCGTCAAGCTCTTGGGTATTTACTGTAACTGCGTAACACAAATTTTTGAGCTATTTTGGTCAGAGGCTTGCCCCCATGTTGTTCTCACATGAAAGATTTTCCAAAGGTTTTATAATTCCACAGCTCAGTCTTATCTTGAATGGTCTTTCTTAAATACAGGCTCTGTGGACAGCAGGGAATCTTAGCAGCTGCTTTTGTGATGTAATTTCACGGTCAACAAAAAGGCAACTCTGACCCTCATAAATTTCCATCTCCATCTGTTCAATGGTATCTAAAAATCGAAAGAGATTTATTCATTTAAGCTGTGACTGCCTGTGTTTCCCACAATTCATATACCTCTAGGAAACTAGTATATTAAGCTTCATCAGTCATTAGCATCCTACTGAGTCTGAGTTTATCAAGTCTTCTACCTACAGGACATTTTTAATAGGGACAGAAAGGGAAGCCTCAGATCATAAGGCTGTATTTAAAGCACAGAAGGACCATGGAGTATTGCGTCTGTCTCTCTAGAACCCAACTCAGAGGAGAGAAGTATCAAATGCCTGATTCACACTCTCTCCATAGTTTTTTTTTGTTTCACTAGATCCTCTGCAATCTGGCTCCCACTGCCACCCTCTGAGTGTGTTCACTGATCTGTAAGCTCCATAAGGGAAGGAATTCCACCCATGCTTTGTCCCAACTGGGACTGCCACAAAACCCATGCTCAATGAGCATTTACTAAAAAAAAAAAAAAAAAATGTGGAAGAATGACCTTCCCGTGGGCACTATTCACTTCTTATGGAAACTCTCTGGAGCATTTGTTTACCATTTCCTCATTCCTGGAACCCCTCCCTTGGTGTTCATGTTTCCCCACCTTCATTGGGTGAAAGTGAAGAGATGATGGTGGCACACTGATGAGGAGATTGAACTCTGGAGTAAGACAGACAAGGTTTAAATCCGAGATCTTCTACTTACTACTTGCGTGACCCAGGCAGGTACTTAATTGTCCAATTTTGTTACTTCATGAAAAATAAGGGAATCTGACAAGTTTTTGCACAATCAGGTTGCAATAAGGATTATGTAAAAGAATCCCTGTTAACATTACATAGTGCCATATACATAGTCAGCAATCATAAATATTAGCTATCATTTTAATAAGTTAAAACCCTTTGGTTGCTATTTCTCATGCTCATTCACCTGTCACTTAAATCTTTACAGATGAAAAAACTGAATATTCTTCAAGTTTTCATTCTCTTTGCTTCTTTTGTTTTTAACTCTATCTACCACTACTCCCTTTGAATTCTCATCCAGTCTATAGCCTCAGTTACACATTATATTTTAATGACATGCCCTTTAACACTTAACTCTCATTTCTGAACATAAACTCCTATGTGACAGATATTACTATGAATTCACCCAAATTCACTTTTTTCTACCTTTTGAGTACACTGCTAGACTACATGTTTCCCAACCTTCCTTAGAGTTTTGTATGGCCATGTGAGTAGCTTCTGTCAATGGAATACGGTGGTGATAAAACAAGCCATCCCTAGGATTAGCACATAAAACACCTTCCATGTGATCATTCATACTTTCTCCCCATCTACCAGTTTGTACAGAAGATCTAGGGGAGGAGATGGACCCTTGAGAATGGTGAGGTCATTAAGATTGTAGAGCAGTGTCCCTAAATGACCCTGGGGAAGGCCTCTTGCCAACCAAGAACAACTGCATTGTTCTTTGCATGAGCAAGAAATTAACTTTTACTGAATTAAAATGTTGAGATATTGGAGGATTGTTACAGCAGCTAGTGGTTTATTACATGCCCTTTATCTAACAGCCTCATAGACCTTTCACTTAGCTGTTCCCTCTACAAATCAAATTCAGCATGCCTAAAGTTGAATTCACAATTGTTGAAATTTTACTGAAAAAGATATTTTCCTTAACCAAAATTCAGGCAAACTTCTGAACCTTTTTCTAGGCCCATCTGTGTACTTACTTGTAAAATCCAGTGTTAGAAAGGAACCATAATGCTAAGTCAGTGTGGTACTGTGAAATTAAAACCAGCCCAACTTCTCCATAAAACTGACAGTTACGTGTTTTTTTGAATAAACACAGAAATTGACCCTCACAGTCTTAAATCTTGAAACTTACTATATTAGGCCATTCTTGGAGTACTATAAAGGAATACCTGAGACTGAGTAATTTATAAAGAAAAGAGATTTAATTGCAGCCTCTACAAGCATGATGTTGGCATCTGCTTGGCTTCTGGGGAGGGCTTAGTGAACTTTTACTCATGACACAAGGTGAAGCAGGAGTGGGTCTGCCACATGACAAAAACAGGAGGAAGAGGGAGAGAGACATGCCACACACTTTTAAACAACCAGATCACATGAGAACTCACTCACTATCAGGAGGACAGCACCAAGCAATGAGGGATCTGCCCCCATGACCAAAACACCTCCCACCAGGCCCCCCTAACATTGGGGACTACATTTCAACGTGGTATTTGGGCAGGACAGATATCCAAACCATATCATTTCATCCTTGGTCCCCCCAAATCTCATGTCCTTCTAACATTTCAAAATAAAATCATACTTTCCCAAAGGTCTTAACTCATTTTAGCATTAATTCATAAATCCTAAGTTCCAAGTCAAAAGTCCAAAGTCTCAACCAGAGATGAATTCCTTTCACCTAACAGGCTGTAAAATCAAAATGAGTTATCTACTCCCAAGATGCAACTGGGGTACAGGCATTGGATAAAGATTCCTGTTCCAAAAGGGAGAAATTTGCCAAAATAAAGGGGATACAGGTCCCAGACATGTCTGAACCCTAGGAGGGCAGTCATTAAATCCAAAAGCTCCAAAATAATCTCCTTTGACTCCATGTCCCACACCCAGGGCACAATGCTACAAGCAGTGAACTCTCAAGACCTTTGGTAGCACTAACTCTGTGGCCTTGCAGGGTACAGCCTCTGCAGCTGCCCTCAAAGGCTGGAGTTGACTGCCAGCAGCTTTTCCAGATTCAAGGAGCAAGCTGCCAGTGGATCTATCATTCCAGGGCCTGGAGGATGGTGGCCCCTTACCACAGTTTCATTGGGCAGTGCCCCAGTGGGGACTCTCTGTGGGGCCCCCAACCCCACATTTCCCCTTAGCACTGCCTTAGTAGAGGTTCTCTATGAGGGGACCACCCCTGCAGCAGGCTTCTGCCTGGGGACTCGGACTTTCTCATACACCCTCTGAAATCTAGATAGAGGCTGCCAAGTCTCCTTTACTATTGCACTCTGCATGACCACAGGCTTAACACCACATAGAAACCACCAAGGTCACCTTTCCAAGTGGCAGCCCAATCTGCACCTAGGCCCTTTTGAGCCGTGGCTAGATCTGGAACAGCTGGGTGGGGAGCAACGTCCTGAAGCTGCCTAGGGCAGCAGGGCTTTGGGCCTGGCCCCCAAAACCATTCAGTCCTCCTAGGCCTCTGGGCCTGTGATGGGAGGGGCTGCTCTTAGATCTATAAAATGCCTTCCAGGCCTTTTTCCCATTGCCTTGGCTATCAGCAACTGGCTCTCTCTTAATGACGCAAATCTCCCTAGCAAGTGGTTATTTTGCAGCCCACTTGGATTCCTCTCCTGAAATAGCTTTTTATTTGCCACATGGCTAAGCTGCAAATTTTTCAAACTTTTATGCTCTGCTTCCCCTTTAAATATAACTTCCAACTTTGAGTAATATCTTTGCCCCAACATCTAAGCATAGGCTGTTACAAGCAGCCAGGACACTTCTTGAATGCTTTGCTGCTTAGAAATTTCTCCCACCAGATACCCAGTTCATCACTCTTAAGTTCAAACTTCCACAGGTCCCCAGGGAACAAACAAAATGAAGCCACGCTCTTTGCTAAGGCATAACACAAGTAATCTTCCCTACAGTTCCCATTAAGTTCCTCATTTTCATCTTAGACCTCCTCAGTCTGGACTTCACTGTCAATATTTTGGTCACAACAATTTAACCACTCTCTAAGAAGTTCCAAACTTTCCCTCATCTCTCTCTTCCTGTCTTCAGAGCCTTCCAAACTCTTACAACCTCTACCTGTTACCCAGTTCCAGAGCTGCTTCCACACATTTAAGTATCTTTATAGCAATGCCCCACTTCTCAGTACCAGTTTTCCGTGTTAGGCCATTCTTGCACTGCTGTAAAGGAATACCTGATGCTGGGTAATTTATAAAGAAAAGAGGTTTAAATGGCTCACAGTTCTTCAGGCTGTACAAGCATGGTTCTGGCATCTGCTTGGCTTCTGGAGAGACCCCAAGGAGCTTTCATTCATGGTGGAAGGAGAAGCAGGAGCAGACACGTCACATGGCAAGAGCAGAAGCAAAATGGGGGAGGTGCCACACACTTTAAAACAGCCAGATCTCATGAGAACTCACTCACTATCATGATGACAGCACCAAGCCATCAGGTATCTTCCCTCATGACTCAAACACCTCCCACCAGGCCCCACCTTCAATACTGAGATTTACATTTCAACATGAGATTTGTGCAGGACAAATATCCAAACCATATCACTTACCTTTCTCTTATCTGAGTTTTTTCCTCAGGAAACCGACCCTCATGCCTCTCAGTATCAAGGAACTGAAACTCACCAGATCACTGCATCCAGACAATGAGATGCCAGAACTCTCAATCATCATTATTGCTTCCTTACCCTTCCCTAAGTCCTGACATCCACCATATAGCTACTGCATTCATTTCCCCACTATACAAACTCCCAATTTTAGTTGGCTGGGAGAGACAGATTTGAGATTTGGCTCCTTTCTCTCTGGCTGTTGTCACCTTTCTCCCCTGGCAATACTGATTGTCCCAGTGATTGGATTTCAATGCTTCACCAAGACCCAGACCAAACCCCTGGTGTTTTGCTAACAAAATAATAAGAAATACGTATTGTCTCTGCCTCCCACTTCCTGGCACAGAGCTCTTGAAACTCTTGTAGATAATAGGGCAGTTGGAAAATAATCTGTTCTATTATTTGGTCTTTGACCTGGGTTCCTAACACAAATCTTCTAAGACATTAATAATTTCTTGAGTAATGGGAACCTCTGATTCAGGTCCTAAATATCTTGAAATTTCCTGGGTAATCAGAGCATCTTTTGTTCTGATGACAAAACACTTGGTGGGCTCCTGGATGACTTCATGATGGGGGCTGGTTGCCAGAAGAACCAACCATATAATTAGATGGTTAAAACTTTCAGCCTCACTTTTGGGGAGGAGAGAGAGTCTGAAGGTTGAGTTGATTACTAATGGTCACTCATTTAATTAATCATGTCTATGTAATAAAGCCTCCATAAAAACCCAGAAGGACACGGTTCAGGGAGTTTCTGCATTGCTGAACACGCAGAGGTGCCTGGAGAGTGGTGCAACTATGATGGCTACTTGAATCAGCCTGACTAGCATGTTTCCTCCCATTAGAAAGTAAAGTTACATCCAGAGATGCATCTGGAATCATAACATGAACATTTATCATGGGATTTGAGGATTCAGTAATCCTAAATCCTCAAATAGCTTGTAATAGATTGATTACATAATCTGACACCATTATTATGAGAATTGCCCTTCATTCATTCTTCTATGTTTCACCAATACCTTACTCTTTCTTGAATTTTCCTTCTTCTGTCCAGTCCCAATGTTGGTGTCTTAATTTTAGGATTTCATTATTGCACACCAAGGCTATAACAACAGCTACTTCAACAATAGCCTTACCTATACTTTTACCTCATTCAATAAATTATTCACAAGTTCTATACTTGTCTTTTTAACAACATGTGAAATCACATTATTTTTTCCAGTTTAAAATTCATCCATGTTTTTAAGATAAAATTCCAAGTTCATAACGTGATTTTTAAATTTCTTTAGGAACTGTCTCCTGCCTACCTTTCCAAACATTTAATTTCCTCACACTCTAGTCATGTTGAAATTTATGCAATCTTCTCTAAATAGGGCAGGATCTTTCTCACCTTCTTTCCTGGGCCAAGCTGCTGCTTTTACACATAATGATCTTTTCCTCCTTTTTTCTTGGCTGACTCCTCCCCACACTATCTTAGCTACTCCTCCAATATGCTCTCTAGCACCCCACATCTTCATCTATCATAGAATGTGTGTTAGCATAACCTAGTTCTTTATGTACCAATTTCTCTTCCACTATATAGTGAATTCCTGAAAGAAATGACTTTTATTTAATCCTATATTACTAAATCTTATTGCTTGATGAATATTTATACAATGAATAAATGAATGTTTGAGTGGAAGGCATTTGTTGTTTTTGATCAGTAACTCCTTTGGCTACTTCAAACATGTTATTTAATCACTGGATTGAATGTTTACAGAAAAGTAGTTATAATGCCTATTTTGTACAGGAGGAACTGATCTCAGAGGAGTTAGATAACTTTATCAAACAACCACAGTTAATAAACTGAAAGCCAAGATTTAAACACAGATGTGACTCTAAAAGTCAATTTGTTATCCTCTGGATCATTATTTGTGCAATTCACTATAGGTTCAAAAGGAATTCAAATATATGAGCATCAGCTGGCCTGGAATTATCAGTAAGTTTCATGAAGAAGCAAGTGACTAGTTGGGCTGGAAAACTGGGTCAGTTTTGGAAACACTGAGAATTGAAGATGAAATCTTTCAGGCAAGGGAGACCTAACTGAAGGAAACCATCTCCAAATAAATTCATGGATTGTGAAAGCACAACTATAATGTTTTCTTACTCACTTATTGAAACACAAAACTTAATCCTAGCCTGTATCTATGAAATTAATGTCTGGTTTTAAATTGCATATTTTCAATTCTGAAGTTAGAAACATAATGCCATTGGGGTTTCAAAGAAAATGAGAATGTCTGTATTGCAGAGAAATAACTTTTAAACTATTCACTTCTAGATAAAGGGTGGAAAGAGTCAATGCTTACCACAAACCAGTTATTACATCAGTTTTCAGTGACTTCCTAGTTCCAGCTAAGGAAAGATTCTTATCAACACATCATTATATTTAATGTATTGCAAAAATTTAAGCTCTGAATTACTCTAGGAAGGTTGAGGATGAAATCATTAATGTTTTAAAATGTCAAAAACTTAAACTTGAGTTCTATTTGATTTTAAGAAGTCTGGGGCTGCCATTGGTTGCCTGGATTATTTTTCCTCTTGTGTACACTGCACTGAAGACAGGCTTGAAATAGCTCACATATTCAGCTGCTCTTTCCTAAATACAAAGAGAAAGCTGAGAAAACAGATGCCCTCAGCAGAAGGCTGGATGAGTAAACCCACCAGGAAAAAGCTGAACGGAATGAAGTCTAGAGGCAGGTCAACGTTTAGGAACACCTACTAAGAGTGGCAAACTGGGCCAGGCATTTTTATCTGCATTATGCCATTTAATTTTTTCAATAAGATGGCTTTAAAAAGTCAAGTAATTTGTCCACAATCTCACAGACAGCATGAGGAGCAGCAGGATTAAGATAATTTTTTTGCAATTTTTTTTTTTTGCAGTTTTTGTTGTAGTTTTGTAAAGGCCCTTGTTAACCCCTTATACCATCCTTCCATCTAGATACCAACCAGGAAAAAGTAAGCCCTATGAAACAGATGATGATCAAAATACCTTTTCAGGTATTTGTTATTGGCAAAGCTCATCTGGTAATCACAGTGGAACCTCCTACCTCACTCCAAAAACTTAAACCTTCAAAAGCTAGTGAAACAGAAGTCTCCACCCAGCGACACATGGGAAAACTCTAAAAGAACAGAGGCTTGGCTGACCGACCAGAAATAGGTCCTTTTTTATCTGCTATCTCAAGAAGGAGGAATCAAGAATATACACGGTCCCTGAGCAAAGGCAGGACTGACATGAAGCAAGAGCCATGTCCTACATATTGCCCACAAACCAGAAGAATGGTCCCACGTTTGGACTTGTATGATCAACTGGGTGCCAGTCACTCCTCCCAAGCAGAGGAACAAGCGAGAGCCAAATGTCACTGCTTATATTTGAGAAGAGTGGAAAACCTTCATGAAATGAGAACAAGGAGTACAGATTGCTCACAACAGTTTTCACTGTACTAATAGCCATGTATCCAGCTTCTGTAGACTATCGCAAGCCTTTATAATAGAGCCCGAAGTTAACATCATGCTGCATAGATGATAGAAGCAGCATAGAACCACATAGCGTGGGGGAAACAACGATAGGAACATTCTTCATTGTGGCACTTGCATTCAACACATAATAACTAATTTTTCATGTTTTAAAAAATTAAATGGTGTTGTCTTGAATTTCACAGCAACAATGTGACTTTATCATTGCCTACCTTGATTTCTCAGCTGCTTTTCTTCCCAAGGAGATTAGAAACAGCTTTTTAAATTTTTGTGCTCCAGGACATAATTCAGTGCTGTGAACTTCACAAAATATAGAATTGAACTAATATTATTTCCATAACATAGTTTAGAAACTATGTAAAGGTTAATATGCATGTATTCTGCTTCACCAACATCCCTCACAGTACCTAGCAGTACTGAACATGTAGGGGAAGATGAATGAACAATTTACTTAATAAATAAGAGACACAGAAACTAGAAGGAAGCTATCTTGTTCTCAAGAAAGCCTATGTTGTTTCTTCAAGGGTCTGTTGCCATTCTGGCAAATGCTTTTAAGTTCTGCATAAAGAAAACATCCTGTCTCAAGCCTAGTGTTTTAAATGTTGTTCCTGAATAGTCTAAATTCATCTGATCTGCATCTTGCCCTGTTTTCCTGAATCCTCTGGCTGTCCACCTTATTGCTCTTTTATCATCCCCTATTCTAGCTTGACACACAACCTTCTTCTAGTTTAATTCACCTCCGCTGGAGTATGCAAAAGCATACTCCAAAATAATCCATTTCAAGTTCTTCTAGATCTCTGGGATCACCCCCAACTCTCTACGCTTCTCACCAAGTGTAATTTGACCGAGGTTTGTGACCAGAATACAGACTTTATTTTCTATGCTAAAATACAGCAACCAACATTCAATCTCCATTGATCCTCTAATAGTAATCATAATAATAGTGATAGTAATAAATAACCATGATGGAGCTCTATGTATCAGTTGCTTTCCTAAGCTATACATGTATGATACATATCACCTATGAGATATGTGATATATAATATATATATATACACTTTTGAAGTTAATACTGTTATATCTATTTTGTAGACAAGCAAACTGAAGGGCCAAAGTTTGAGTAATTTGATAAAAATTTGAGTAATTTAAATCCCCACTTCTAAGTCTAAAATCCTCCCTGACAATTTCCAAGAATTCCTAGATGCTGTACAATCTCAGAGCCACTTCAGGTACTGAGCTCCTGCTTTCTTATTTGATGTATCTGATACCTACATTTGGGATCTTATATAGACTCAATAAACAGACTCAATCTTTCCTTCCTTTGTTAGAACAAATTAAGAAATCAAACTTGAATCTGGAGACGTGGATGCCAAAATGTCAGTTATATTACTAATAAAGCTGATTGGAGAAGGTGTCTTTGGATCCATAACCACATATACTTATTAATTATCTACTGCCTGCAACTTGAAATACATGAGTCCATCTGTCCAGTCACTTTCATGGATAGAAAGCCACTGTTCTTTTCACTTTTTCCCTGTGAGTTACTACATGGAGGAGAAGTGAGATTGGTTCTAAGGAAAAAAAAAAAAGAAAAAGACACCCAGAAGACACTAAATTCATTTATTCTCCCAATCTCACCAATCAGATAAGTCATTTCTCCTCCTCTGTAAAGAGTCAGAGCTTATTCCAACTGAAATCTTTCTTCCTGGAGATAGGAACCACAGGAGATAAGGGTACTCCCTAAGTGCCAGACATGAAACTCAGGCCATTCCTTAATTTTCATATGTTTCATTGATTTTATTAAAACTTTGGAAGATAAAAACTGAACTTAAAGAACAGCAATATTCTAGCTCCTAATTTTATATCTATTTTTTTCAAAACTATCCTGCAAAAAAATACTTAGATGGAAAATGTGGTTTTAAAAATATAATAATAATGATTCCTGCTATGTTTGTATCCAACTTTTAGTTTTAAATATTTTGTCTTATAATTGGTTTAATTGTACATATTTGCTGTAAATAAATTTTGGAAATAGACATAATAAAATCCAAAATTAAAGACAGACCTGAAATATTGAACAAGCGTGTCTATCTATACATCTCCAATTGCAGGTAAGATGGGTCAAATCTGGCTCTCCTATGTAAGTAGCATTCCTATAGCAATAGGAAACAGAGCCTCAGAAAATAAGAAAAGACAAGCACAAACCTGCACTCTACATGGTTTAATACCTTCTTCTATTTCACATCTTAAGACAAATAAAATGAAGGTGATTCTTTCAACAATTTAAAATATTTATTTAGTACTTTTATTCAAGTTGCTGAATATGTAGGAAAACAGACTGCATCAAATTATTGTACTGTGTGATTTTCTCAGAAAAAAATGATTTATCCTCCACTTTTGAAAAAAAATCTAGCAAAGTAGCTAAATTGGGACTCTGATCCCCAATCTTATTAATTCACATATGTGCTTTAATTAAAATTTTAATTTAGAATTTTTATGGAACATTAATCATCAAAGCACCCAGGAGAGGTGAATGAAGGTTACTAATATTCTTCTTTAGGCTCTAGGTCACAAATATTCAGTAACGGCCTACTTGGGTACAAAGGAAAAGCAAAAATAATAAAATGGAAAGGAAAACTATCAATTTCAATGTCCTTAAGGTAATATTCAAAAATTTCTTAAAAAATATAATACAGAAATAAAAGAATCCCCTAAAAGGTAAAACAATCTCCAAATTAAAAGGGTATATACATTGTTCTAGGAAGTATTAGTAGAAACAACTAACAAGACACACCCTAATGAGTTGCCAAACTTTAAAATTGCAAAATCAATTCTTCAGGCAACCAGAAGAAAATAGTAAGAGGAGAAAAAAATCAGGCTACCCACAGACTACTAGGTGGGAACATGTAATGCCAGAAAATGATGAAAGACTGTATACACAATTTAAAATAAGAAAAATATGACTCATGAATATATAAATGAGCAAATTTTTGTTCAAGTTCTAAGGTAGCAGACATACATTTTCAAACATAAAATAAGTCAGGTAATAAGGCACCCAACAGTTAAAACATAGACTTTCTTATTATGCTGACTCAGGTTAACTATAATCTCCTATTTTTTAAGACAACCAGCCTGTTTCAAAGTTCAGTTTGATTACATGTCACTCAGCATGAGTGACTCTGTTCTGGTTTGGTCTAGTCTCCTGGGGCGTACTGCAGAAGGCTAGTTCAAAACAATGGCTTCCCATAAACTTTGTGTAATACTGCTTAGATCACTGCATAAGAAATAATTTAATTAATTAATCTCTTGAATTAAGAACTTTTTAAAGACAAATTGACTCCAAAATACAAATAGGAAGGATTACTAAACATAAAAATAAATAAAAATTATACAATAGACAAAAATAATTATTTAACTAAAAATTAATAAATGAACAACAAAAGGGAAGAAACACTTTCTAGGAAACTGAGAAATAACCCAAGTACAGAAAATTAGGGTCAAGTAAAGGTAAATAACCACAAGTAAAGAGTAAATAACTGAAAGGGAATACTTTGTAAACTTGCCTGAAATGCAAGCTTCTTGCTTGAAAATTTTAATGCTTGAGTAAAATAAATTATTTTTTACAAAAACACACTTTATCACAGAAATAGAAAACTAGATAGACCACTAAACATGGAAGAAATTGAGAAAGTTGTCAAAAACCTACTCATCCAAAAAGCTGCTAAGCCCAGATTATTCACAGTTGAATTATTCTAAGCCTTCAAGAAAGAGGATCATTCCAAAGCTTTTCTGGTGCTTCTAAGACTAACAGAGTGGTCACTTTTCCTTTGCCCTGGGTGAGTTTTTATGTGGATATGTAGCAATGCCCTGGCCAATGAGAAATAAAGAAAAACTCAACCAATATAGGGAGAAAGATAGAGATATTTGAAATCCTCTTTACAAAGGCTACATAACACTGATTCTAAAACCTGACAATGCATGCGTGCACACACACACACCCTCATAGTTATAAAGCCTTGATTTTAAATACTCACTAAATATTTATGTGTTAATATTTATTTGAAAATTATTAATATTTATTTTAGTGGGTGCGGTGGCTCACGCCTGTAATCCCAGCACTTTGGGAAGCTAAGACAGATGGATAGCTTGAGGTCAGGAGTTTGAGACCAGCCTGGCCAACATGGTAAAACTCTGTATCTACTAAAAATACAAAATTAGCTGGGCATAGTAGTGCACACCTGTAATCCCAGCTGCTCAGGAGGCTGAGGCAGGAGAATCACTTGAACCCAGGAGGCAGAGGTTGCAATGACCCGAGATCATGCCATTGCACTCCAGCCTGAGCAACAAGAGCACAACTCTGTTTCAAAAATAAATAAATATTTATTTTAAATACTAATAAAAAGATTTACAAATACAATCGACAAATAAGTTTTCAAAATCATCTCTAATTACCAATTAGATTCATTCAAAATATGAAGAGATAGTTCAAAGATAGATTTTTTTAACAAATCGATCAATAACTTTTTTCCTAACAAAAGTCCATTGAAAAATCTTATATGATCAGCTTGATTGTTGGCAAGAGGCATTTAAACACACACACACACACACACACACACACACACACACACAACAATGGCCACTGATAAATTCTGGAGAAAAATGAAGGTGGAAATTCCCTTTGGAAGACACTATGGACTATCCAACTGTAGTCACACCCTATCCCCTTCTAACAGGCACAATCCTAATTTGGTTCAGTTCTTCACCCTTCACCTACTCATCCAAAAAACTACTAAGCCCAGATTATTCACAGTTGAATTATTCTAAGCCTTCAAGAAAGAGGTCATTCCAAAGCTTTTTTGGTGTTCATAAAACTAACAGAGTGGTCATTTTTCCTTT
The DNA here is from genome assembly GCF_000001405.40 of Homo sapiens. Classification (NCBI taxonomy): domain Eukaryota; kingdom Metazoa; phylum Chordata; class Mammalia; order Primates; family Hominidae; genus Homo; species Homo sapiens. The sequence continues at coordinate 106,237,143 of NC_000011.10, read as the reverse complement.
GCCCTGGGTGAGTTTGTATGTGGATATGGGCTCAGAGAATGTGACCATACCTTCCCTGGATTTAGAGAGTAAATATGATGATTAGTTTATATCTACCAGAGTGGTCACTTCCTTCGCTCTGGATGAGTTTGTACATGGATATGTAACAATGTCCTTGCCAATGGGAAGTGAAGAAAAATGTGCTGGAGAAAGTTAAGAAAAATTTGTCTCACTAATTAATAAAATGATGCCTGGAAGGAAGGAAACCCAACTTTCCTTACTACCAGATGCGCTTAGTCTATATGTGATACTTGAAATTACAGGCCGGGTGCGGTGGCTCATGCCTGTAATCCCAGCATTTTGGGAGGCCAAGGCAGGTGGATCACGAGGTCATGAGATCAAGACCATCGTGGCCAACATGGTGAAACCTCATCTCTACTATAATACAAAAAATTAGCTGGGTGTGTTGATGGGCATCTGTAATCACAGCTATTTGGGAGGCTGAGGTAGAAGAATTGCTTGAACCCAGGCGGCAGAAGTTGCAGTGAGTCAAGATTGCGCCACTGCACTCCAGCCTGGCAACAGAGCAAGACTCCATCTAAAAAAAAAAAAAAAAAAAAACACCCAGAAATTACCAGGGCCACCTTGCCACCATAAGGCATGACATCACCAGCATGCTAAGGATGACAGAACAGAAAGATAAAAAGCCCTTGGGTGCTTGATAACAGAGTTGTCACCAAATTAACTCCAGGACTCTGCCTCTCAAAGTATACAATGTGACATGAAAGCTTTTCCTCATTTTTAAGCCACTTTTAGTTGAACTGTTCTTATTTATGGCCACTGTCATAACTTATGTAGTCTCTTAAAATGGTTACATAAAGTATCAAAACAAAAGCCCAAAACACTGAAAGCTATCCCATTAAATTTGGAAGAAACAAAAGGATAACTGCTATTTAATACTATTTAACATCGTTTTGCAAGAATTAGTCAATGGGAATAGAAAATTATCCTTATTTGCAGTTGAGTAGACAACTGGAAAATTCAAAATTCTGATATATAAAACTATTAGAAAAAAATGAGTGTTAATGTATTCAACTGAATAAAAATATATGTAAATAATAAGTAATTAGGCAATCATCTAAGATAAAATTATATTTACATCAATAAAAACAACAAACAAAATTCCTAGAAATAAAGTCAAAAATGTCCTATTGATACAAAGCTATCAAGCTGCAATAGAAGATTATATTAATGAAATACATGCTTCTTGTTCTTTGTTTGGAAGTTCAATTCTGTATAAATGTTATATAGTCTTATTCAAAACACCAAAAGAATTTTTTAAATGATAAAATTACTCTAAAGTTTAGCTGAAAGAATAAACACAAAAATATCTAAAGAAATTTTGGAAGAGTGATGAAGGAAAGTTTGCCCTGTTTCATATAAAGACAGGTGCTAATGCTACAGTTGAAAGTGTGGTGAAGAAACCAAAACTGACATATAATTGATACACAAAAAAGTTCATAATTAGACCAAAATATTTATGGAAAATGAGTACAAAATAAATTTGCCATCTGGGTAGAGGTGGACAAATCAATAAAAGACGTGGCCATACGGTGCACCTTTTTGGGGATACAGGGAACCTGAATTCATACGTTAGCACATAAAAACATGTCCTAATGAACCATAAATTTAAATGTAAATATTGAAAATACTATTTCCAATTTAAGATCCTAATGTTAATTTATAACACCTAAGCCTTCTTAAAGCAAAGAAAGCAAGAATCATTGTTCCCAAACTAGAGCAGTTATTCTAAAAGCCACTATGCTTTCTGGAAGAACAGAGAGACAGAATTCACTGTGGTGAGTTGGGGTGAATGCTGACTGGCTCAGAGGACCAGGAGTAAAACTAGACCAAGTGCTTGGAGTACAGGCAAGGCCTCCCAAACTGTGCCCAGATGGCAAAGATGGTACCAACTGGGTGAAGCCAGGTCAAGCGAATTACCACCCAGCAATGAAAGAATGTGAGCCAAGTTCAAGGAAATCACCTGTCCTTAAAAACTTACACTTTTTAAGGGTCAGAAACCTCAAGTTAGAAACTTACCCAAGCTTAGTTGAAGTCACGCCCCATGTGTTAAATGCTAAGCCCTCCTGAGACCATTTCTGGGTTCTTGGACATGTGCTGAAGAAACCTTTCTGTGAAGATAAACTACAAATAACAATCACTGAGCACCTGTGAAAAAAAGTAGCACAGGAAAAAGCAAATAACGAACTCAGAACACAGAAGCACTTAAACTAAATAGGGAAACTCTAAAGCAGACCACAAAATAAGTATTTTTAACATTCTCTGAATTAATGAAAAGGAACAGGGAAACAAGACAGAAGGCGAATGAAAAAAGAAGTGATAATGAAATAATAAATGAGTGGTTATTTTAAAACAATCAATTCAAAATCTTAGAAATGCATAATATTTTAACAGAAGTTTAAGCATCAATAATAGGACACATATTCAATAAAATGCTATTGACAAATTCATGACTTGACAGGCCAAATTGAGGCAATCATCCCATAAAGTAGTACAAAGAAAGAAAGATATTTTTTACATGGGAGGTGAGATGCTAACAAATATAAGTGCATAAGACCAAATGTTCCAAATAAAAATAAGATTTTCAGAAGAACAAAATAGAATAGTGAATGAGCAATATTTAAAGAAAAAGACTGGTAATTCCCCACTATTGAAGAAGCACTATTCCTAAATATTGAAAATGATTTGGACCACTAAGAAGAATAAGTTTTCAAAACTTATACAGAGATCAATTATGGTAAACCTTGAAAATGATGAGGAATTCTAAAAACAACTAAAGAGTAAGAACAGATTATCTACAATGAAGATAATCATATTATTAGCTTTATCATCCTCATTAGATGTCAAGACAATTGACAAATATGTCTTCAAAATTATGAGAACAAAATAACGCACAACGTTAAATTCTACACCCATTTAATGATCATTCAAGACTGAGGAGTAAAGATATTTCAAAACTCTGAAGGATCAAAAAGTTTACCTTCCACAAACCTCAGTGAAAGAACTACAAAAGGTTATACTCAACAAGAAAAATAAACTTAGAAGGACATAGTGCAATGCAAGATTAAAATAAAAGCTTTATAATCTATGGCTAAATAGATAACAACAATGAATAAAAACAATTTTCACAGGTGTAATAACAAGTTGGCATATAATTTTCAGAAATCAATTATATAGGAACTTTAGAGAACTAACCCAAAGAGAAGTGAAAGTAACCTAAAGATTTTATCTTGTTCAGAAGAAAAATGATAAACTTTGGACATTGCTGAGAAACATTTTTAGAATACCCACTAATAAAAATTAAAATAAAACATGTAATTTCCAAATCATTAAAAAAGGAAAATAAAGCAAATAATTTATTTAAAAACTCACCAATCTAACAGAAATCAGGAAAGACACAATAAAAGAGAAAGAAGTATCACTGTAGAGCAGAAAAGAAGATGGCAGAAGGCCAAGTATGTTATTAGATACAATGTATTTCAAGGTGTTAAATACATCTTTTGAAAGAAATTATTCTTCATAGGAATTTTTAAAAAACAAACACCAAAACAAAATGATAGCAAAACAGTTGACATTGAGGAGATGGGAACAGTAAACTAGAAATTACCAACTAGAATATCATGGTTTCGAGTTTTCATAATGAAAAATTTTCAACTACCTTTTTGAAACTGAAAATCCAAGCAAGTAAAATATAGATATAGGTAATGAATAAGCACAAACTACTACATAGAACTCTGCACCCAACAGTGAATGTACATTCTTTTCAAGCAAACAAGGGCCATTTATAAATATTGACCAAGTACTAAATTTGAAAGGAAATCTCAATAAATCATAAAAAATTGGTATCATGCAAACAGTATTCTCTGATCACAATATCAGGAAATTATAAATAAACCTCAAAAAGATAACTCTTCTCCAAATCCTATACATTTACCAAGCAGAAAATATACTGCTATGTACAGTAAGTCATAGATTTATAAAGGAAATCAAAATAGAAAACTACAAAAGATTTAGAACAGGATGACAACAAGTTAGTACATATCAAATGCTGTGGGACATAGCTAAAGTTGTACTTAACAGCCTTAAAGATACTCATTAGAAAGCACATAAGACTGAAAATGAACAAGCCAAGTTTCTCATTCAATAAGCAAGAAAATATTTACATGCAGAGAAAATAAAAAGAAACATCTAATGAAGATGAAAGCAAAAAACAAAAAAAGAATTAAAAACAAAACAAAGCAATGGAGGTGATCAACAAAACCAAACACTGGCTCTTTAAAAAGCCAAATAAATACAAATGTCTTGTAAAATTAGTTGAGGAAAAAAGTAAGGCACAAATAAACAATTTAAAGCATGGAAAAATAGAAAATAACTACAGGTAAAGTAGAACTTTTTAAAACCTTTTAAAAATACTGTAAACAAGTTAATAAATACTAAAAATGTACCAAAAGGTTATTTTCTAGGAAAAATAATTGCTACAATCAGTTTACAAAGTTTAAAAATCTGACTAGGCCAATAACCATCTTAAAAATGCAAATCATATTCAGAGATTCTCCCCCTAAAGAAAAGGTACCAAGCTCAGATCATTTACAGACAGTTCTATCAAACCTACAAGGAAAAAATAATTCATATTTTATGAAAACTTTTCTAGAGTTAAGCAAAAGAAAAACGTTGCCCAGCTCATTTTTGAAGGCTGGACAAACACTGATTCCAAAGCTACACAGAGAGAGTACAAGAAAACCACTGGTCAATCTCACTTACAAACAGAATCAAAAATCATATTTTTAAATAAATCAAATTCAACATGTAGCAAAAGAATAATATTAAAAGACCTATCCCAAATATCCAAACCAGTTCAACATTTAAAACATCAATCTAATTGACCAGATTAATAGATCAAATAGAGAAAAAATGATAATTATCTTTAAAACTTTAGATAAAAAATTCAGTTTGTCTCAACCATTCAATAACATCCTTTCAAGATTTAAAGAATAAAAACCCTGGCATAATAAGAACAGATAAAACTTCTTTAAATTCATATCTATTAAAATCTTACAGCAAATATTAAAAGCATTCCCATAAAAGTCAGAAAGAAGATTAAGATATCCACTATCACTTCTACCATTCAACATTGCTTTGGATGTTCTTGCTAACGTGTTAAGACAAGGAAAAAAAATAAGTGTAAGGATTAGAAAGAACAAAGTAATAATTATTGTGGCTTTCATTTTTGTCTGTCCAGCACTCATCTGTTTTACGGGGAAACAGCCCACTCTGGTGTCCACACTCAGGTTCACAGGAACAGGTTCACAATCCAAATTAGGAGAGTCCTAGGACAGTTAGAGCCTTAGTCACAGTCATTACTACAGAAGTGGGCAGAGGAAGTAAGCCAGATCAGTTGAGCTCTTCACCAGGATTTTTTTCTAGTGCTGTCTCCTTACTCCCCTATCCTCTAGAGCTAGAAGGAAATTACTTTTCAAGCTGCTGAAAACCCCATCCCCTTGCATGAAGAGTAAACACATTTGTACCAGAAGAGAATGAAGCCAAGCACAGATAAGCAAAAATAAAATAGAAGCATCTTAAAAGTATTAATTTCCTAGTTCTAGTCCTTCTGATACAAGGTTCTAGTGGTTCCTGATAAATATATATTCTTCATCATTCTACAGATTTTTCTTTCCATCTCCACACTAGTCTTCATTCTTGGAAACTGGGAAACGGGAAGAACCAACTGCATCAATCTCAGCCTACGTAAATATCCAGTTTTCCTAGTTCCTAGCTCTTTCAATTTTGCTAACTTCTCCAAGATATTTCCATTAGTACTCATAAAGTCCTGATTAATGCTCTTTGCAATGTTCTATATTATGGCGAACAAACATGCAAATATATTTTTCAAGATTTTCCATGAGGGTAAGATGACTTTGAAACTAAGTGAAACAAAAAGACAACATTTATCATTCACTATATTCAAGGTAGTATGCAAGCCATTAGTATATATTATCTTAATCTTCACAACAGTTCTACAAGGGAAGCATTGTTATCCCCATTTTACCCATGAGTAAACTGGCATTCAAAAAGATTAAGTACTTTTCCTAGCGTCATCTAACTAATTAGTATTGAGACAGATTTTAAAACCCTGGAAAGTCTGCTTCCAAAGCCAACAATTTTTCTGACATTCCATGGGTCTTGGAGTGAACCTACCAGAAATGTAACAATGATAAATTAATTAATGAGCACTTAACCTCAATTCCTATTACCATTATTGGAGAAAGATCATATTATTCCTTGAGATTGTAGTATTCATCTTCTGTGTAAAGAGGTAGAAAAAGAAAAGTTATCCCAATAAGTGCAATAGAGAGGGAAGACTGAGCCTCTTTGACAGTTAACCTGTATTCTGCGTAGCTGGTGGCTGCTATGATACTTCTTATATCTGCCTGAGGAAGTTATCCTATTTGTACCTTTGATTATGACAAAATCTAGTTCTTCCAGGGCCTCTTTGCCTCTGTTGGAAACAAATGCTCAGTGTCGCAAAGAAGAACCAGCACTGAGACAAAGAATTTCTCAGCAAGGCAAATTTAGTTTTGCAGAAGGGGGTTTGGGGGGCTGTGTCTGTCAGTCACGACTGTAAGAGCACACAGAATAAAGGAGAGTAGGGGTTTTTATTTCTAACACAGATTCTATTTCTGTGTCTTTCCCCATTGGCTGGGGTTGGACCGCACAATCTAAACTAGTCTCAATTGGCTAAACATTCAAACTTTCTTAGATAAGGTAGGCATGTGATAGAGGAGAGAGGGAGAAGAGGAAGGGGTCACCTGCAGGGGACAAGAAAGTTAAACTATTTGTACATAAGGAAAGGAATGTGGACTGGGGCTTATCATGTCTAGGCATGTTTAGACAGGATACTGTGCAGCAAAAGTGGGGTGGGGAGTACTTGGAATTTAGAGAATAAAGAATGGGGGAACTGGACAAACTGAAGAGGAACCTAGCTGAATCTAACAATTTCCCCCTTTTGATTTTTATAATTTTTTCTCTTCAAACCTTTTTAACATTTCTTGACTTTGTTGTTCCACTTGAACTTTTAAAAGGAAAAGTTTATCTGTCTAAGGTGGGGGAGAATTGAGGAAGGTTTTAGTGAGAGTCATCTCAATAAGTCTTTCTATTAAACCTTGAGCACAGGGTATGAGGCAGCATTCAATGAGAATTAGTACACTTATAACAATTGCAAGGGAGGTAAATATTGAAGTTATTAACTTTTTTTATCCACTGAACCACCTTTCCATGAGGCTTGTAAAGGGGCCATCTATTTCAGATTTTTTAATTAATTCATCTGATAGAGGGGTAAGGCCTTGTAAGGCCTTTGTGATTATCTTATCAGGGGCTGTGTTAGGGATGAAAGTACAACACTGGGTTCCAATCATGACACAAACTCCACCTTTTTCTGTCAGTATCACATCTAACGTTATTCTATTTTCCCAGGCCATTTGACTGCTGGGCCCTAATTGTTTAGCTATTCTTCAAATGGCATCTCTGGTATAGTTAACAAATCGTTGTTGGTTAGAGTAAATGTAGTTTATCTAATCTACATTTTTAATAATAATTACCCACCATAACAATGTGGATTTAAACCCTGTAGCTATTTGGTTTTGGGCTTTAAATTCATTTGGCACTCCTCGTGGAACCTCGATGGCATCTATATAATCCTGAGGATCAAAGGACTTATAAGGGGTCTCTCTTGGCCTATGGCATTTTGTTTTTACTTTCTCTGGTTGATGAAATGTCAAGGTAAAAGGGACAGCCAATTGAATTAGAGCACACATTCCACTCCAGTTACTTGGCAGAGTGTCCAGTAGGGGTCTGTCACAATACCACCAGACATCCGCTCAGGGATGACTAAGGGCAGACTGATGGGTAAGCTCTTGGAAGTGCCTAAGCTCTTGTATCCCTTTAAGTCTCTGAGGAATGCCAAGTCTTCTCCCTGTCATGAGATATGAGGTAAACTTGACATTGGAAGGCAGAGGCTGAATGGACCTCAGGGGCTAACAGGGTGTTGAACTTCTGGGAACAGCAGAGAAACAGCTTGGCACAATCAGTCATCCCAGGCAGTGCTGTTTTAGAAACGAGCTACCATACAGCTCATGTCCGGTTGACGGGGAGACCATCCAAGTAGAAAGGGGATGATCTGGGCCTCTGGTCTACCGTGCGCACAAGGATAACAGTCACTTTTACCTAGGGTGTGGATGGAATGTTTAATTCATTCCAGTCAGGCATTTGTATCTTGATGTCCTGTCTCAATTGCTAGGGTTTGTTTTAGATCTTTTACTTTTACCAGGGACACCTTGGTTTTATCATTAGGTACAGGAATAACAGGTGTTTCATTCAAAGTTGAAATTATCGGGGATGGGGGAAGAGGAGGTGGGAAAAGAGGTATATTTGAAAGATACTTACAGGATCTCTCTCATTATAATTGGCCCCTACACCATAGAGACTACTGAGGGTGGGCCTAGGGTCAGTGGAGGTAGAGATGGTAATGGAAATGAGGATGGGGTTGCATTGATGAGACTGGCAATCAGGGGGAGTAGTTCCTTTGGTAAAATGGAGGTAAAGCTTTAGATTAATGCAAACCCTCACTGCAGAGGTCTAACTTTGGTATTGTGTGGTCTAGAGAACATAGTCTCAAACACTATAAGGCTGTCAGGCTGTGGAAATAAAGAAATGGCGTCTTGGCTGTAGGTGATCACAATGGTGAGGGCTAGGGGAAACTTTGGAATTAGAGGGCCAGGGCAAAGATACTTATCTGAAAAGGCTAGTTGTCTTTGGTTTTTTAGATCCCCACAAGGTGTAACCAGACAAGCATCAAAAGCAATAGTTTGGGGCGAGTCAGACCTAGTTACATTGATAACAAGATGGCTAACAATAGAGTGGGGAAAGAGGGAGAAACAATAAAAAAGGTATAGGAGGGTTAAGGTATTTTTAGCTTTAATTTGATACGGCTTGATCTTGGAACAATGGCCCATGACTCTGAAGGTTGTGGCGTTTCTTTGACTTGGGTATGGTGAGTCCATCCTCTTTCCACTGTTCAGACTGTAGATTCAGTAGTTAGAAGCACCAGGTAGGGTCCTTTCTAAGCGGGTTCAAAATATTTTTCTTTTTACCGTTTGATGAGGACTTGATCTTCAGGCTGATGCTGACGTACAGAACTCCAGGGGTGGTGCCGGTGCTAGGAGACATTTGGTTTTAAGAGAAGAGAAAGTAGAAGATAGACCAAGTATATAATTTTTGAGGAACTTATCTTTTGTTTCAAATGTAGGGACGTCAGTAGTAGAATGTAAATAAGGCAGCCCATATAGCATTTCATAAGGGGATAAACTGACATCTTTTCGAGGGGCAGTTTTGATTCTTAAAAAGGCAATGGGGAGACATTTAGCCTAGGGTAACCGGGTTTTTAGGACTAAATTGGTTAGGTAGCTTTTTAGAGTTTCATTCATTCTTTTTACTCTTCCTGATGCCAAGGGATGGTATTCCTATTTTATATCTAGCACCTGGGCTAACTCTTTAATGACATGTATAGTGAAATGGGTTTTATTGTCTGAATCAATGTTTTCTATTAGTCCAAACCTGGGTATGATGTTTTCAATTAATGCCTTAACTACATAGCAGTTGTGCTTGAGAAGGGGATAGTCTCTACCCAGTGAGTAAAGTGATCTATTATTACCAATAAGTACTTCGGGTGACTAACTGGGGGCATTTCAGTGTAGCCAATTTGAACACTTCGGAATGGTCTTAGTCCTGGATCTCTTCCCCTGATGGGTGATTTTCTTAGAGCTTGTTTTTTACTTTTTCTACATATTAAGCAACTGTCTGTAACTTGTTTGGCTAGGGTATAAATTTCAATACACCCATAAACTCTAAGAACTGCATCACATATAGTTTGGGGTCCCCAATGGGTTCCTTGATGTAGTTGAGACAAGACTTCCCTCATGAGAGGTTTGGATAACATTTTTCTTTGGTCTGGTAATATCCATTTTCCTTATGTGTTTTCTTTGGCTCCTATTTTTATTAATTTTTCCTTTTCAGCAGAAGAGAAAATGGGGATTGCGGTAGGGGAAGGAAGGCAAGGAGTTACGTGTAAGATAGGCACTTCAGAAGAAACGGCAGCTTGTTTGGCTATTTGATCTGTTAGGTTATTTCCATGACTTTTAAAAGAAAGGCCTTTTTGGTATCTGGGGACATGGACAATAGTTATTTCTTCTGGCAACTGGAGGTTATTTAATATCTGGGTGATTAACTCTTTGTGAACAACGTCTTGGCCCTTATTATTAATAAGACCTCATTCAGTCCAAATTTTCTCAAATGTATGAGCTAAAGGTGTACTTAGATAAGTATAGATGGTCCCCTCCTGGTTCTGTAAGCACTTTAAAGCTTGGCTGAGTGAAAAAACCTCACACCTTTGAGCAGACCAATTATTAGGCAATCTTCCTGACTCTATTTCTTTAAGAGTTTTCCCATCAATTACTGAATACCCATTATGCCTCTTTCTTTCAATTACCCAGGAGGAACCATCTATAAATAAGTGCCACCCCATCTTGAAAGGAGTCTCTCCTAGATCTAGCTGGATCTTTTTATGGTAATCAATTAATCTAAACATGCATGCTCTCTCTTTAGGTTTGGATTCCCCATTAAAAAACCTGGTGGGTTGAGTGAATTATCAGTAGTTAATGTTAAGTCATTTTTCTCTAACAGAATAGCCTCATACTTTAAGATTCTTGAGTCAGCGAGCCACCTTCCTGTTATTTGGTTTAAGATAGTTGTAACTTGGTGAGGCATACTCACTGTCAATTTCCCACTAAATGTTAACTTTCTATTTTCTTCAATCAATACTGCTGTAGTCATAATAGATGAAATGCATTTGGACCATCCACAGGTGACTGGGTCTAAAACTTTTGATAGGAAAGCCACAGGTTGCCAGCGGCCTCCGTGCTCTCGGGTGAGCACTCATTAAGCTGCCCCATTATTCACATTAACAAAAAGGTAAAACAGCTTTTCTAGGGAAGGTAAAGCCAGGACAGGGGTGGTTATGAGTTTTTTAACTCTTCAACCTGATCGATTTCCTCAGAGGCCCACAGGAGACGGTCAAGTGTCCACTGGGTAACTTTTTGGTATAAGAGTTTACTTTTTAGTTCATATGAGTCAATTCATAAGTGGCAATATGTAACCAACCCCAAAAATTTCCTAAGTTCTTGTTCAGTTTGAGGCAAGGCTAAGGACATGATTCTTTCAACCTGTTCTGGACCTATTCTTTGCTTGTCTGTGCTTATTAAGTGGCCTAAATATTTATCTAAACACTAAAGCTTTCCTTTTGAGACCCGTAACCCCTCAAACTGAAGATGGTTAAGAATATGTGTACAGAAGCCAGCTACTTCCTCTATGTTTTTGCTAGATATGAGAATATCACTTATGTACTGAAGCAGGCATAGTTGTTTTGGAATGGAAACTTTTTTCAGCACTTGTTCTAAAATTTGACCAAAAGGGTTAGGTGAATCTGTGAACCCTTGGAGCAAGACTGTCCATTGATATTATTGTTTCTGCCCTGAATGAGGATCCTCCCATTCAAAAGTGAATATGTCTTGGCTTCTTCAGCCAGGGGGCATGCCCAGAAAGCATCTTTTAAATCTATTACTGTGAACTGAATGGAAATGACTGTATGGAAATTTGTTGAGAATGGTGTAAGGGTTGGGGACAACAGGGTGGGAGGTCTGGACTATCTGGTTAATACCTCTGAGGTCTTGTACCAGTTGGTATGACCTGTCTGATTTTTTGACAGGCAGTATTGGGGTGTTGTAAGGAGACATACAGGGTTCAAGGAGTCCATCTTTAATGAGACTTTGAATTATAGGTTTCAACCCTATCCTGCCCTCTAGAGGAATGGGGTATTGTTTCCTTCATACTACTTCCCCAGGTTCTTTTAGCTTGGTGTGTATTGCGGAAACTTGGAGTTTCCCTTGGTTTCCTTTTCTGGACCAGACATCAGGATTAATATGTTTTTCATTTGTGATGGTGAGTAGGTTTAATGAGGTGAGGAATCCCTTTGGGCCAACTTGTAGTCCTATTCCTAATTTTAACATTAAATACCTTCTTAATAAATTAGTTCCTGTTTCAGGGATTAACAAAAATCGGATATAAGTTGATCGACCTTTGTATTTGACTTCTATATTCTCCAAAATTTCTGCCTTAAATCCTTCTCCTGTTACCAGGGAGACTAAAAGTTCCTCTGAAGAGCAAGCAATGTTAACTGAAGGAAAGCATAGAGAAGAGCAAGCTTCTCCTAAATCTACCAAAAAGGTGATGAGCTTATGTTTAGGTCCCACCTCTAAATTTATCAAGGGCTCTTGGTGGGACTCGAGATAAAAGAAAGAGAGCCCCTGACCCTCCTATTCTTCCTCGAAAGTCATGAGTGTGAGGGCTCCTTTGTCCTTTTCCAGTTCAGGACATTCGCTCTTGAAGTGGCCTGTTCTTCTGCATTTGAAGTGCCTATCCTGTCCTTCCTCCCTGTCAGTTCTAGAATTCTTTGACTTTGCTCCATCATATTCTTTAGAGGGCCTGGGAAACGAGGGCCTAGGTCCTTTAGTTGGGGACTTGGGTCCTTTAAACAGGGGTTTGGACCCTCTATCATTTTTGGCCCCCTGAAGGCTTTGTTAAGAAGCATATGGGTTTGGAGCCACCTGTTGGAAGGTGGATAGCATGAGTTTTGCTTTTTTGTTTCTGCTTCTCTTTGTCTCTCTTCACATATAACTTTTGAGCTTTTTGAGAAGTTCATTTGGAGGACAGTTTTCCCAATCCTCTGTTTTTTGTAATTTTTTGGAAATGTCTGGCCTACTTTTAGTGACAAAATGGAGCTTTAACATCCCCTGCCCAAGGGAACCCTCTAAGTTTAGCCCTGCATATTTTTTCATTTGTTCCTTTAGTCTGTTTAGGAATTCCATAGGCCCTTTATCCTTTCCCTGTTGTATATCAAACCCTTTAGAGAGATTTTGAGTTCGGGGTATTGATTCCCGAATTCCTTTTATTATCACGTCCCTTAAGTCTTGCATGTTTTCTCGATGAGTTGCATTATTATTGTCCCACTGGGGGTCTTGGGTGGGGAATTTCTGGTCCACGGTAGGAACATTTTGACCGGGAGGGTGTTCATGGTCTCAAACCACCATAGCAGCCCTACTGGTCATACTTCTTTCCTCCCCTGAAAACAGCATGCCTAGATGGACATTAACTCGACCCAAGTGTATAACTCAGGTCCTAGGAATTGATCAATTTGATCTGTCACTCCACAAGGGACATCCACCAATGGCTTGAGTTCTTTTTTTAAACTTTGGACTTCTGAACTAGTTAAGGGAGCATTTACCAATCAAATGGCTGTCCCTCCTTGTGGCACCTATCTTAAGGGAAAGAGAGTTGGAGCTGATCCCTTAGGGGTGGAAGGGAAAGGGAAATTCTGGATGTCCTTCTTACATTGCTCTATCTCATGTTGGAGTCCTTTTAGGGAGGGGTACTTAGGCTGTTAGGGAACAGTCTCATGGGACAATAACTCCCAAGAGTCAGGGTTGTAAGGAGGAGGAATAACATGAGCAGGGGAAGGATCTGGAGTGGAATCTAGTGGAATCAGCTGCCTGAGGGGAAGGTCTGGGGGTACTGGACAGGGGAAGATGGTCTAGGGGATCCCATGTGTTGGAGTCTCTAGGCATGGGAATATCACTGCTGTTAGCTTTGTCCTTTCTGTTTCCTATCTTACTTGGAGTATTTCCCATTTTGGGTGCTGGTCAGGCTCAATCCCTCGTATTACAAATTTTTTGCCCTCCCTTTTCTAGGGACTTGCTGAGGCTCAGTCCCTCGTGTTAGGGATTTCTTGTCATCCCTACCCTGGAGGTTTGGTGTGAGACTCAATCCCTCATATTAGGGATTTCTTGCCCTTCCTTTCTCTAGAGGCTCAACACCCCCTCCTGGAGGTTTGTCACACTCTTCTCCTTTCACTTTGTCCTCTATGGCCACTCCCCTGAAGGGAATTTAGGTCTCTCTTAGCATTGGCAAGTCAGTATAAGCCCCTTACAGGACCCTCAAAGGGCCGCCATAAGCCACATGAGGTGACCATGGAACTGCAGATTGGACTCACTCATTCCACTCAGCAGTAGGGCTTGTAACCACTCACGCATTTTCAACCTCCCAAGATTTCCATCAGCAAGGATTTCTCCAAGGATTTCTCAGCAAGGCAAATTTACTTTTGCAGAAGGGTGCTGCCTGCGTCAGTCATGACCAAAAGAGCACACAGAACAACAGAGAGTAGGGGTTTTTATTCCTAATGCAGATTCTAACTCTGTGTCTTTCCCCTATTGACTGGGGTTGGTCTCAATTGGCTAAACGTTCAAACTTTCTTAGATAAGGTAGACACATGATAGAGAAGAGGGGGAGAGGAGGAAGTGGTCACCTGCAGGGGACTAGAAAGCTAACCTATTCCCACATAAGGAAAGGAATGTCCATTGGGGCTTATCATAACTAGGCATGTTTAGACAGTTTACTGCACAGCAAAAGTGGGGGTAGGGGTTCTTGGAATTTAGACAATAAAGAACCGGAGAATGGGACAAACTGTTTGAAGAGGAACCTATCTGTATCTAACAGCCTCTCTCTGATTCTCTTTTTTCCCTCAAACCCTTGAAATTTAAATATTGCCCATAGTTCTATTATTGATACCATTTTCTTCTTGATATATATTTTATTATTCAACAAATTCATATATTATCACGCTGTCAAATACTATATCCTAAGAGGTGTTTACCAAGTTGTCATCTCTTGTCACAAATACCCTCAAAACCCTAGGCTCCTATACACAATTGGGACATACACAACTGGACATTCCAATACTCCTCTAGGTGCAACATGATCAAGTCGGCTCACAATTTTTTCACCAAAGAAGCTTGTCCTTCTGTGTCGGGCTTTGTGGTCAGCTGTCTCCCTGTTCTCTGCTCACAACCTCAGGGTGCTTTGAGTCTTCTAGATCAGTTTCTCTCACATAATTAAGGACTGATACATTTCATTGATTAGTTTCCATGCTCATTTTTCTTGTGTCCATTATCTCCATCTCATTACTAGTTCAGGCCTCTCATTTTGGATACTTTTTAAAAATTCCCTAGCTTTTCTACATATTTCCAGTATCTAATATTTTCACTTTCAACCTATCCTTCAACTTCTGGAATTCATTCATTCAACAAATATTTATCCAATGCAGACTATATATCAAGCACTGTGCTAGGTGCAGGTAGAACACAAATAGGAAACAGGTAAGTAAACTTAAAAAAACCACATAAATATAGAGTATATGTCACGTACCATGAAAGTTCAAAGGAGAATAAGCACTTTTGGGAGTTTAGAGGAGGCTTCCCAGTGGAAATGATGCCTGAGCTGAGTCTTGAAAGATATAAATGGACCCTCAGTTTTCCCATTGCTCTTGTTCATACTTGTCATAAAGCATTTGCGACTTTGGGTATAACATGAACCTATATTATGGGCTCTTTTGTGTCTTGCTTTCATCCATGGTGTATTTCTCTAGATAATTCTCAAGGAAAGGGAGCAGTTTCGGGAATGATTTCATAATGCTTTCAGTTCAGCCTGTGAAGAGATCATTTTGTCTGCCCGGTAGGACATTACTTACACTTACTTCCCTGCCTTTCTCTGAATCAAATAATGGCTAGATACCAATAATGTTTTAAGCAGCCCTTTAGAGAATGGCTTCATGTGGTATAGGGAGAAATCAGGCATCATGTCATAAATATAGCTACTTAGATCCCTATGACCGCACAAAGTTGAGACTAACCAGCCTATGGCAGTAGGAAAGGGGCTTTCCCATACAAATCTATGTGTTACCTTCTGATTTATATTTTGCATTCTTGCAGAAACAAGCAAGTCCTCATCAACCCTTTGTCACATGTTATGAAATTTTTCACTACTAGTTGTAGAATATCAATGCTTACTCCTCTGCTGAGTTCCTGCTGCTCTGCAAGAAGGCTGTCTGTAGTCTGTGGTGCCTAGCAGTGGATGTTGGAGGGAAGGAAGGTGAGGACTGAGCTCCGATCCTATAGATGTAGAGAGAGTACGAAATGGTGGAGGACTTCCACTTTAAAATAGTGCTATGTCTTCCACAGTGTTTTCAAAAGCAACTAGATGCTGTGCCTCAGGACTTATTTCTCTCTGGTGATCTCCTACATAAAGTGATTTTACATAAAGAATCCATCCTATACATAAGGGTAGTGTTCCTTCTATTAACATAACTTCGTATTTCTTGTGAAATACTATTCTGGCTTTACTGTGCTTAGTTTTTCCCTCCCCATCCTGAACTATATCATAAAGCTTTGTAGCTGACTAAACTTGACATTGAAATTCACCAGTCCAAGTTTCTTCTTGTCAAATTGTAGGACATATGTAGGGAGACACATCTGTGACACCCTACACCATAAACTTTCAGGTGCCAGGAACCATTTATTTTTTTTCCTTCATTTGGCCAGGAATTAGTAGAGAATTAGCACATAGAAATTTCTCTGTAAATGTTTGATGAAGGAATGAATGCAGACATCCAACAGCCTGCCAAAGCCTCCCTCACAAAAGCTGCTTCTCTGATGTCCTTCCTTATTCTGTTATATCTCAGGTCCATTGTAAAACCTATGCAACACCATTTAGGCTCATGTCTTTCCCTGTCAACGTGAATTGAAATCAAGAGTCTCAGGTGCCAACAGATATAAAGAAGAAATTGTACCTTGTTATAAGCCACAGGAAACCTAATTTGAAAGACCTATCTATAAACCCCTTTGCCAATAAGTGTTATTGCTCTTTTAGGCCCCAACTTTTATCTCAAAGCAATATCCTGTGCTTGAAAAAATAAAACATCTAATGATTTGGTCTGAATGTTGGGGCTAGCATGGAAGATTTTAAATGTTTTTAGATGCAGATCACATAGAATAAAGGGAAAAGCCTGAACATAGGATACAGGAGTATTTTCTCATAGTAACATGTTGTTGCATCACTTTGAAGATGACAATGGAAAGCGTTTCTAGAGCAGGTCCGTTATGCTGGAATTGAGTCCCTGAGACTCCTTAGAAGTTGAAGAAGAGGCGAGGTAGCAGGAGTAGAGTGCTCTAGACCTCAATGCCTTCCCTATTAAGAATTACCACCAGCTGGCCTGGTGTGGTGGCTCACGTCTGTAATCCTAGCACTTTGGGAAGCAGCGGCAGGTGGATCATGACATCAGGAGTTCGAGACCAGCCTGGCCAGCGTGGTGAAATCTCGTCTCTACTAAAAATACAAAAAAATTAGCCAGGCATGGTGGCATACACCTGTAATCCTAGCTACTCAGGAGGCTGAGGCAGGAGAATCACTTGAACCCGGGAGGCAGAGGTTGCAGTGAGCTGAGATCACACCACTGCACCCCAGTCTGGGCAACAGAGCGAGACTCTGTCTCAAAGAAGAAAAAAAATTACCATCAGCTATATTGCAGCAGAGGAGTGAGGGGTAAGAGTGGGGATATCAGGCAGTGAGTAAGGAAGTCAACCTCACAAAGAAGTTTATACAGAGGTTTGCTACATAAACTTCAGCCTTACACTGTTGGCTAAAGAATCTTCAAAATTCAGATTTGGAAACACTATCAATTTCATGTCTAACCCACATAGCATCCCCTTTTCCTAATTTGTCCCTCAAGTTTAATCTGTACTTGCATACCTCTAGGAACAGGACATCAAGCATCTTACAGAAAAAAACATTCCATCACTGAGTAGATCAAATTTGATTATAGAGGAAAAGTCATCTTTGGACTTATAAACTATTTACTGCTTTTTGGTAGGTCTGTACCCTCCCATAGTGACAAGTATGAACATTTGGAAATAGTTCTGATCTCATTGTTTTGCTATTGTTGTTCTACTAGCTTGAATTTCCTACCAAACTTTAAAATTCTTGAAGGACGTTATAATCTTATTCATCTTTGTATCTCCGGGTATGGTAGAGTACCTGACATATGTTTGCTACTCAATAAATGTTTCCTAATTAATTCAAATTTAATTGACACACACATTACTATTTTTGTCCTAAATTCAAGAGTCAAAAACAGTAAGTTTAATCCCTCTTCCACATGATCTTTCCTTAGGTATGATTTCCAGGGTCTTCCACAGAAATTGAAATACCATAAAGCCTATTCTCAAAAAGACTCAGAAGACAACCAGAGGAATGCATTGTATACAAGGCCCAAAAGAGGGATTCATCATCCCTTCCTAAGGCACAAAGAATTATTTAGTTCCCCCTGACAATTGTTAAACTACAGGAAAGAAAGAGCCAGGGTATCACTTCAAAACATTCTTTACCTTATTATAGAGACAGAGATTAAAATGTTTAAAATGTTATAATAAGCATTCTCTTTCCTGTCCTCTAAAGGGAGTAAAATAGGGTCTATGTTTATTTAGGTGAAGCAAATAAACTAAAGCAGTGAAGACTCATTCAGCGACGCGGCTGGGCCTAGCTAGGCTGCTAGATCAATCACATGACCAATCCAGGGAACTGACTTTTTGGGATAACTCATCTGACTAGAATGACTGAATAGGTTGATTCACCTATAGAACCTGCGGTCAGTGGTAGTGATGCTCTTTGAGCCCTGATTATTCTTCTTCTGACAAAGAAAGTAGGAGGAAAGCCTTTGACTGTAGGAGGCCTCTTCAGAGTCAGTCAGCGTATTAGCTGCCCCCTTGGGGAACGTTCTGAGACAGGCAGCATCCACTGCTTATGAACTGACATTCAAAAGGATTGCAAACTCCCTTATCCCACACACACAAAAGGTCAAAGAAAACAAGCTCCCAGAGGTACTTTTATTTTTCTCAGAGAAATTCTGCCACAGCAAAACTAGTGGGCAAATCCCACAGGGTATAGAGAAATTCTGTAACTCTATCTTTAAACAACATGTTCTTCATTGCTGTTCCAGAAAATATAATAAAAAAAAATCTAACTTCCCATCAGCTAGTCCTGACAAGATTATATTTGAGGAAAGAACTACATGCCACATGAATTTAATGATTATATTCATTTTATTCTACAAACAGCTGTTTAATCCACTTAACCTACATACAGAATCATTCTATGTTCCAAATGTTAATTTCTCATGAGTCCAAATTCTGCACTGACTTAGTCCTGCAATTTTCTCTAATTTCCTGGTAAACATTACGACGCACACAGAATTTGAGTTTTAACACAATAACACATTCAGATACTCAAGACATTTCATGAAACAAATCAGAGGTATTTCTTTTCAGAAGCTCCAAAAGAAGCTAGTAATGAAGCTACTCAACCCTAACTTCTTTGTCATATTTCCTCACTCAAGGTATTTCATAACTCACTTTCTTAATTTTACAAGTAATAGGCATTTTCTCTACTCAATCTCTCCTTTAAATGGTATGCAAACTGGAGAGACCTCCCTATTACATTCTATTCATTCTCTTACTCAATAAAATGTTTTTTAAGAACTACTCTGAGTTGCACTCTATGCTATGTGCTGAAAATGCCAAGATACAATAGCTGACTTAGAAAGCTCAAAAAAGTCCAGAGACCCATTTATGAAAATATGTTTCAATACAATATAACTAATTGGCATACAGTGGGGAGATATTTTCTACTCTGCCTCTGAGAAAGCTAGGAAGGCTACAAAAACAAGCCAGCAATGATATTCTACATCTTTTCTCTCTGTTAAAAATTAACCTAAAGTAAAATGGTATTTCTAGTCGAAACTTGCAGATAAAGGTAACTACTGAACAATGTTGATTAGATATCCCACAGGTATGTCAAACTCCATGAGTCTTCAGGTTTGCAAAACTGAACTCAACTTTGCTTTCTTTTTATGTTTTAGATTGCTCCTGCTGTAGCTCACGATCTTCATCTTTCATCTGGGTCATTCCAATAGTTTCCCAAGTGGCTTATCTCCAGTCTATCCCCTACTGCTAATCTTAGTGTACATTGAAACCAAAATTTATTTTTCAAGCATAAAGCTGATCATACCCTTTCCTTATATAAAATCTTCCAATAAGCTCTATTTGCAGAATGAGGTGACTAAACCATACCAGGCACAGACTAAATGTTCAATAAGTATTTATTGAATAAATAAATAGACCCCCTCTATATATCCTGTAAATTGTCTCATGTAGTAGACGGAGTGATAGCCCTGAAAGATGTCTATGTCCTAATCTGCAGAACCTGTGAAATATGTTATTTCAGATGACAAGAGAGAATTAAGTTTGCAGATTCTGTAAAGGTTCTAATCAGGTGACCTTATGATAGAGGCTAATTATCCTGGATTAGGAATAAAGGACGAATGACTCTTTAAAAGTAAAAAAGGATGGCAAGAGGTGGTCCCTAGGGTTATTATAAATGGACAAGGAAGGCAGGACAGTCAGTGTCAAGAGTTTCTCATGATACAGAATGAGAAAGACTTAGTCATTTCTGACTTTGAAGAGAATCAGGGGGCAAGAGCCAAAAACTGCTGTTTGCCTCTAGAAGTTAGAAAGGAAAGAGAATGAATTCTCCCTTAGAGCCTCCGGACAAACCCTGGAGCCCTGCCAGCACCTGGATTTTAGCCCAGTGAGACCCATTTCAGACTTCTGAACTTTAAGAAAATAAACTTGTATAGTTCTAAGCAACTATGTTTGCAGTAATTTGTTATAGCTGCAATGGAAAACTAATACACCTCACTGAAAAGCATGAGATACTTTATATCTTCCTGAAGTGTTTATGTATCTAACTTCCATCTTACAGTGAGGCAGTCATGTTTATTGGTGCATACCCAAGACAGAGCCAGGTGTATATAATAGATCCTTAATGAATGTTTGTTGAATTAATTAATTTGTTAGGGAATTATTTCCTCTAACATTTTTAGAATTTCCTAAAGATTTGATGTCAATTTCTACAAATATTGGACATCAATTTCTTATAACTCTTAAATTGTCATTGTTCTCACTTCACTCAGTTTACTATCATACTTTCTATGTATTTTATCTTTCTGAGCTATGTACAATTGTCTCTTGGTATCTACGGGAGATTAAATTCAGGACCTCCTGCCAATACCAAAATCCAAGGAAGCTTAAGTCCCTGACATAAAATACTCAGTATTTCTTCTATACTATTTTTATATAAGCTACATCCATCTTCCTGTTTACTTTAAATCATCTCTAGATTACTTACAATATCTCATACAATGTGAATGCTATGTAAATAGTTATACTCTATTGTTTACAAAATAAAGATGAGAAAAAAACTATGCATGGTCAATTCAGATGCAATTTTAAAAAAATATTTTCAATCCTCATTTGGTTGAATCCACAAATGTAGAATCAATGGATATAAAGGGTAAACTGTATTTTATTTTTAAATCTACATTTGTAGAACTTTGTATTTTCCTTCTTCCAGAAAGTCTTAATACCTGAGATGGAATTTTTCCCAACGTCATTCTCTCTTTACTTAAGGCTCATGAGCCTCTTTACTTAATTCTACCTGTTCCATCTTTGTCCTACATAGGCCTAGTCAATTAAATCTTACTCATTTTGTTTTATTTTGGATCATTAGGACAAAATGCATTGCTGAGTTTCCGCCTCCTCTGACATTCTCTTTGGAAAGACTGTCTCCTGCCCTGCATTTTGATCTTGGCTTTTATTAAGATAATTCAGGTAAGACATTAGACATGACACACTCACTTTATCCCGGATCAATTCCCAGTAGTCCTTAGAGGTCTTTTGCTTGTCAGCAAACTAAAATTTCCCTTCTTCTAAGTATAGGTTTCCCTTGATGTCACCCATTTATTGTTCCTATTATTGTCCCTTGGCCCCACTCCTGTACTCTCCCACCCTCTTCATATTCTTTTATGTGTTAAGCTTTTTGGCTTTCAAAACCCTCTTCTTTTTTAGGAGTATTTCTTTCCCATTATATTTCAAACGGAGTAGTCAGGACTTTGAAAGGTTTCTATTTATAATCTACTGATTATATTAAAGATGAAAGACACAAATGAAAACTAAACAGAGGATAACATCCAGCTCCCTTCTTGGGTACTGAAAAGTAATCTTCCTGAAAAGTAATCAAGTTTTCACTGTTTACTATAGTGCCATGAAAAATGCCGCCATCAATGAAATGATGTATCTATCGGTGGGAGTGATGCATCACTGCTATGTAAGTCAATTGAAAAAAGAATCTGATTGATAATCCTTATCTATTTTCCTGTGATGCATATATTCCTGCACATACCCATTCAATTTTTTTTCCTATTTCCCGATTGTTTGGTGCCTTTTGAAGTAAATACCAACACTCTCACTAGCTCATTCTCCACTTTTACATCTTCAGCATAATTCAATTTTTTTCCCTTTTTTCTCTATTGTATCACTTTGTACTTTATTTTGTTTCCTGTTCCAAGGATAATCTTTATACTTCCAATGTTGGGACTTCTCTTGTTATCACCAGAATGAAATCATCTAGAAGTTATAATAAAATTCAGATTAACTATTAACATCCATTTTGATCTTTATTCTTTGTATACTTCGATTTTTTGTTATAGAAAGTCTCCAAAGCCATATAGTCACTGACTGGCTGTGAGCAACACTTTCTTACTTCCTTTGTCTCTTTTCTTTCTCCTATTTTCTTGTGAAGATGTAAGTTACCTTGGTTTATATATCTTTAACATACGTTGGCGGTTTTTCTAGTACATACCATATTTGCCTTTTTGGCAGTACAATTGAATGAGATATCAATTTGGCTTCTGTTTTTACTGTTGTGAATATAATTTCTTCCCCCAATAAAAGGTAGTAGCCAAGCTTTCGGATATGGAGTCTGAACTCCTTGCATCTTTGAAGAATGGATTCAGGGAGGAGTGAAGTGAGAGGATTGGAGATGATTCCCAACAAATTTTGTATTGCAGCGTATGTCAGTTTGGACCCTCCATGAAGTAGACACCAATATAAATTGTAAAGCGTAACTTTAAGCTGGGTGTGGTAGTTCATGCTTATAGTCCCAGCTGCATAGGAAGCTGACCCAGGAAGATCCCCTGAGCCTAGGAGTTTGAGGCTGTGGTAAGCAATGATTGTGCCACTGCCCTCTACCCTGGGTGATAGGATGAGACCCTGTCTCTAAAAATAAAACGCAAAAAAAGTTCAACTTTATCTTGTTAATCATAAAGGAGAGAGGTGACAGGAGTTAAGTGGGGAGAGCCTCACACTGTGATGTCTGACTTATGTGAGAGGGAAAAGGGAATAAAGAAGAATCGGATAAGAAGAGCCTCAAAATATAGTGCAGCTCTAAGAAAGTCCTTTCTATGCCACTAGGGAACCGAAGAATATAGTACATTAGAAAAGCCCAGCATTGATCAGAAATGACCAACTCGAGGACTTCTGCCATGCTCGGTCATTGGCCAGGAGCAGACTGAAGACAGTGAGACATTGATCGACACGGGACTGGATTCTGATGGTGCAGCAGCTGGAGGCTGTCACTATCCACTCCTTGCAGCATGTTCTGTGTTGAAGTCTGAGTAGTGCACTTCCATGCCTACCATATGCAGCCCAAAGCAGAAGCTATCGGTCATGCAGTTGACAGTCACTAGCTAATGCTTTGATGTTGGAGAAAAGCCTAAGCTGAAAGTTGAACTAACATGACCTGGAGTTCAAAATTTCCTGAAGTCTATACTCTCACTACCAGATTCTAGGAAATGGTGGAGACACAGAACCCATGCTGGGTGAAGGAAGAATGTAAGATTCTACAGAGGTCAGACTCTATGCCTGGAGATTTTCAGCAAGGGAATCTAGAGGTGAGTCTGCAGTCAATAGAGTATTCTTATGACAATATATCTGTGAGGATTCCCAGAGTAGGGTGCTTCACTGGAACACAAGAACCAGAGATTGAGAGCAGCATCAAGTGGCAAAAGGAGAAACAGAACGATGGGTGACTTCTACAGACACAAGCCTGGATCTATGTTAAGCCTCTACGAAAAGGAAAACTTAAAAAGTAACTGCAATTGAATTTACTACAGCCCAGTACAGAAGGGGTCTTAGAGCAAGTTAGGGTGCATGTAGAGAAAGAAAAATCAATATGACCTCTATTGCATCTTAATGTTGTGGGGTGAAATCAGTACTTCTGGTGTGTTAGTGACCAGGGTGATGTGTGCCATGGGGTGTGATCTCATGCCGACCACAACTGCCACCTGCTTCCCTGTAGCCTCTCTGCTCCTCATGCCATCATTCTGCCCTACTGACTATATTGCTGTGCTGTCCACAGGTATCTTCTCAAACCACTGACAACCTTTTCTAGATGACTCAATTTCCATACCACTCTGCCATTTATATTGATGCTCATCTCATACAAATCCCGAATGTCCAAGTCTTCTTTTCTGGAAGAAGGATCATTGCCACTTCATGTGAGCAGCTTTTCCAAAATTGTGTCCTTCTGGAGAGCTTTCAGATCTTTTGTGACACCCTTTGTTGTTGTTGTCTTGTTATTGTTGATGTTGTTTCCTTATGTGACAGTCCTCTCATTTTCAGATTGCACAAACAGGCCAGGATTGAGGACTTGCAGAAATAAGTAGTTGGCTAAGCAGGCACAGCTTCAAACTACACATGAACAGTTCCAGTCATTAAGTTATTCCCTCTCAGCTCAAAACCCCACCTTTCTTTGTTCTATTTTGTGATACTGGAGCTCAGACTGTGCAAATCATTTCCCCTTTGTCAGTTAGCTCAATGTTAGACTTTGCTAATAAGTTGCCGGAGGCAGAGTGCCTGCCTCCATGAGAAAGAAAGGCCTTTCCTTCTTTCTCATTTTATTTTCCCTGTGGCAGGGAGTGGATCATCAGCAGTTTGTCCCAGCAGAATTCAAGAAAGCAGTAGCAGCTCTCACAGTTCTGCACTGCCGGACTTCCAACAAGTTTCTTCTTCCCTAGAGTGGCAGGCAGTGTACTTCTGCAACAGACATACCCTCTACTCATAAGACTTTTAAGTTTTTTATTCCCATTTGATTCAATCTTATGAGTGGTAACTGCTTTATGCAGTTGCTACCTTTATTATACCTTACAAGCCTTTTTTTTAAAGTTTACCATATTTTACCTGGTTAATAATTCTTCATAGTAAACTTCCTCTGTTCAAGTTACTGATATAGTTTCTGTGTCTTTTCTGGAGCCTGACTGATTCATGGACCCACTAGTTTCATGAGCATTATGAACTCAGTAGGCCTACTCTGAACCTCAGACATATTTCTCCCATACTGTGTGTTCTCCTGTCTCTCCCTTCAATCCAACTTGCTTATGAGACCCACAGGGAACAAAACCTGTCAGTATGTCTCTGAATTCCAACTGTGGAAGAGTTCAATTACATTCCATCAAGACATTAAGTATCATGAAAGTTAGTATAGCTGTGCAACATCTCAAGTGTCATTAAACATTTTTTATAGGTAAAGAGCTTCCTAAAAGTAAATAAGATACAAATAATCAGGGCCAGGTGTGGTGGCTTATGCCTGTAATCCCAGCACTTTGGGAGGCTGAGGCAGGCAGATCACCTGAGGTCGGGAGTTCGAGAACAGCCTGACCAACATGGAGAAACCCCGTGTCTACTAAAAATACAAAATTAGCCAGGTGTGGTGGCAAATGTCAGTAATCCCACCTACTCGGGAGGCTGAGGCAGGAGAATTGCTTGAATCTGGGAGGCAGAGGTTGTGGTGAGCCAAGATCGTGCCTCTGCACTCCAACCTGGGCAACAAGAACGAAACTCCGTCTCAAAAAAAAAAAGATACAAATAATCAGTGTGGATAATGAAAAAGATAACCTTAACCCTCCACAAACATCAAAAAGATAAAAGGATATTAACTTTCTGCCAATAATTGTGAAAAGTTAGATTAGAAAAATTTCCAGAAAAAAATATATAGCTCATGAATATTGACTCAAGACCAATAACTGTTAAAGAAATTCAATCAATAATTCAACATCCAGCCAGGTGTGGTGGCTCCTGCCTATAATCCTAGCACTTTGGGAGGCCAAGGTGGACAGATACCTTGAGCCCAGGAGTTCAAGACCAGCCTGGGCAGTGTGGCAAAACCCTATCTCTAAAAAGAATACAAAAACTAGCCGGGTGTGGTGGCATGCACCTGTAGTCCCAGCTACTCAGGAGGCTGAGGTGGGAGGATCACCTGAGCAGAAGGTTGTCGAGGCTGCAGTGAGCCGAGATCATGCCACTGCACTCCAGCCACGGTAACTGAGTGAGACCCTGTCTCAAATAATAATAATAAACTCAACATCTTTCCACAAGAAAGTTCCAGATTCAGGTGACTTCAACAAAGAATAGTTATACACAATCAAGAAACAAAATATTTTAATCTTGCCAAAATAATTCCAGAGAACAGAAAAAGCAGGATCACTTCTCAACTTACTTTTAAGGCTAGTGGTCTAAGACACCTGTGGGGCAACACAGCAATAGCAATCAATAGAGAAGAAAACCCACAGCAGAAAGACTGCAGAATAGCCATGTTTTGTATGTGGTTCTCAGAGCCTGAGCTCCAGTATACCAAAAAAAAAAAGCAAAGAAGGTCAGGCTTTGGAACTGTGAGTCAAAAACCTGACAAGGACCATATAAAGATTCATAGCACCCAAGACATTGATGTAAAATCATTTTTAAAAAAGTGTTAAAACAAATACTATACTAACTAGGTAATACTTGATAGACACCAAAAAAGCATTTTATAAAAATCAATTGATGGTTTAAAAAAAAAACTCTTCACAAATGAAGAATAGGAGGAACCACCTTTAACTGATAAAAGATATCTACAAAACACTACGTGAAACATACTTAAGGGTGAGACATTGAACATTTTCCTTTTAAGAACAGGAACAAGTCAAGAGTGCTTCTTAATGTCTCTGTTATGCAATATTGCACTGGAGTTCCTAGCCCACTAGCACACGAGTTGTTTCTCAAAAAGTATATAAGTGGCCAGGTGTGGTGGCTCATGCCTGTAATCCCAGCACTTTGGGAGGCTGAGGCGGGCAAATCACGAGGTCAGGAGATCAAGACCATCCTGACCAACATGGTGAAACACTGTCTCTACTAAAAATACAAAAATTAGCTGGGTGTGGCGGCACACACCTATAGTCCCAGCTACTCGGGAGGCTGAGGCAGGAGAATTGCTTGAACCCAGGAGGCGGAGGCTGAAGTGAGCTGAGATCACTCCACTGTACTCCAGCATGGGCAACAGAGTGAGATTCTGTCTCAAAAAAAAAAAAAAAAAAGGTACATAATTCTTCACAGCAAGTGGCATGGCTTTGCTCCAGAGCCCCAGAGGTTTGTTCTGTGATTCTCCAATGGAAGCTTTCTACCACCAATACCCTGAATACAGTGCTGTCTCTAGAACCCAAAAATATCCACCAGGTATTATACTTTCTGTGGCCTGATAGAGGTGGAGCAGATGACTATGGGAGACCAAGTGATCATGTGCCTGGAATTGACTATCATGAACTGGATCCTGCCAGAACAACAAAAGTCAAAAATTTGAGCAAACCATCCACCTTAACATGGAAGAGGTAGGTCTCAAATCAAGCATGAGCAGAACTAGTATCCACCATCCTTCTCTCAGCTCATGGTTATGAATATATGGTGCATCCCATCTATCCATAAGCTGAAGAAGGAGTAAAACGTCTGAGATTGGTTTAGACTTATAGACTAGTGTGTAGGCTTGATACACGGGTGCAAGACTAGAACTTCACTCAGGTGTGAGTACAAATGACAGTGGTGAGCCAGCTAACTTATATCTTTAAAAATCACTAGTAATTTTCTTTAGGAGATCCGTCAGGGTAGTGGGAGAAATTGTAGGAAAAGATACAAACCTTCCTGGAAGGCTGGGAGGTTTTGCAAAAGCTTCGAAAGGCTGCCTTCAGCCAAACTCTCTTATCCGGGGCCTGAGAGCAAAGGTTAGATAACAAGGGGATGTAAAGAAATTCATCTAGATAAATTAGTTTACATAGGCCTTGGAACCTGGCCTTTAATCATTAGCATGCACGGCTGCTCTCTCAGGGCCAGGGGGCAACCGTGTTAATTATCCACAAGTTGTGTTGACTCAATAAATGACTTGTCAGGGCCACAGCTGCTACAACTCTTTCTGTGAGTGGCCCGGTCCCCCAGCCCGCTGTTTCACTGGATACCTGTGTCTGAGTACATTTTTTCATCCGTTGCTCCTCCAGGGTCTGCTGGTCAGACCTGGCAGTTTTCCAAAAGTGAGACACAGAAGTGAATTATTTCTGTGCTAATTTTTTCTGAGCCTCCCAGCTGTACTCTTGCTGGGTACAGCTTCCAGTGGTATCTCTGGTCACTTTGTATGGAAGGAGAAATGGCCCAAGGTTAGAATACATAGTAACTCAGGGGCAAGGGCAAATGGCCTGGCCTACTGATAACAGACCTAAGAGGAAAAAGTCTTGAAGATAGATGTGGGACAAGGAGGTCTGAGACAGATGCATGTGGATGAACAAGTAGGACTGTGCTGAAAGTGTGAAGGTCTTTGTACCACATGTTAATGCCTACCAAAGAGCACTGACTGTGGAAGAGGCACTAAATGACCAAGTAGACAAAATGTTTCAATCAGATGGTATAATTCAACCTCTATTATTGGCAAACTAATAAAGTGGCCATGGCAACAGAGATGGAAATTATGCATAGGCCCAACAGCATGAATTCCTGCTTGCCCACTGTGATCTAGTTACTATTGCTGCCTATTGTCCAATCTGCAGGCAAGAGACACCAACAATAAGTACCCAGTATGGCACCATTCCTTAGGGAGACCAACAAACCACTTAGTGGCCCATTCCATGCTTGAAAAAGCTAGTATTTTGTTCTCATAGAAGAATGAGCATCTTCCAGGTAGGGGTTTGTCTTGTCTGCCCTCTGGGCCTCATTCTGTGCCAAAACCCAAAGATGTATAGAATGCTTAATACACTGGTGTGGCATCCCAAATGACATTACAACAGACCAGGGGACCTACTTTACAGCAAAGGAGGTGCAAGAGTGAGCCCATAATCACAGGATTCACTGGTTCTATCACATACCTCACTACCCAGAAACTGTCAACCATCATTGGAACCTCCTGAGAAAAGCATAGCTGCAGTGCCATTTTGGAGGCAATACTTTGCAAGGATTTACATTATCTGCCATATGCAGTATATGCACGGATGCAAAGACCTTCAAAGCGCTCTGTGTCTTCAAGAGAAAGAATGCATAGGCCCAGGGGTGAAGAGCTAAAAACAGAGTTGCCCCACTTCCCATTATTTCCAGTGGCTTACTGGAGAATTTGAGTTTTTGGGGATTGGCTATGTCCTTAAAAAAAAAAAGTGAAATTATAGTGACATAATTAGAGAAACAAATTGCAGAAGCAAACTAATTCAATTTTTAAAAATTAAACAATAACAATTGTGCTGACTATTGAGACTCTTTATTATACTATATCAGGTAAACTAAAAGGGAGTTCCTTCCTTCAATGCCAAAACTAAGAAAACTTCGGTTGAGGGAGCCAGATAATTTTTTGGTCTTTAATGATTTTCTAAAGATAAAGACACAGGAATAATTTATTTCTGTGTTAAGTTGTTCTGAGCCTCCCATCTCCAATCAAACACACTACAAGACGACCCCCACCATACTGGGGAGTCCATTCGTCTTGGAACCATGCTTACATGACTCCACTATATTTATTCTGATCTTTCTCACATTTGTTGAAGAACTGATGAAACAATACTATGTTTAACCAGGGTTACATTACAGAAGCAAAAAGCTAATGATGCATATGTGTGTGTATATATACAGGTCAATGCATGTCTTAATATATGTGTGCATACCCATATGTATGTACACTTCTATATTCCTACTTCTCCTCCTCTGTCAAATTACCCCTCCACTGATGACTGCAGAGCTCTCCCACAAACTGGCTATTGCCTCCACTGAAGAGCAGTATAGAGCTTCTGATTTCTCTGTCTTAAGACCTGTACTGAAATACTTATTCTCTTAACATGTTTCATAATGACCACTTTCCCTCTTCTGGTTGTTGAATCTGAGAGGCTATATACCACATTGGCTTTGGAGTCAGTCAAACCTGGGTTATTAGCCTAGATTGGATATTTGTTCACCTGTAGAATAGGGATCCTGCCTGGACAACACAGTAAAACCACATCTCTACAAAAAGTAAAAAAATTAGCCAAATGTGGTGGCACACATCTGTGATCCCATTTATTCAGGTGGCTGAGATGGGAGGATTGCTTGAGCCCAGGAGGTCGAAGCTGCAATGAGCTATGCTGGTGCCACTACACTCCAGCCTGGGTGACAGAGTGAGTCCTGTCTCAAAAAAAATAAAATGGGGCTAACACTACCTACCTTTTGGAGTTTGTAGGGGTTTTGATTGGTGTATTTTGGACACAGTGGAATGAAATGTATGTAGAACCTCTTAGCACAGTGTTTAGTGTACTGTTAGTGTCAATATGTAGTAGCTAATAATATTGATCCATCCCCTGGTGAGAAGTTGAGTCTCCTAATATGATCTGACGATCAAAAGCTTCAGAAACCTTAGTGCTAAATTTCAAGATAATTCTGATCACTTCTACACAACTTCACTTGCTTCAATTAAATGATCCTAAAATGTTTTCAACATAGTAATAATTTCAAATTTGAAAGCATAGTATGATGAATGCCCATAAATCCTCTACCTATATTCAAGAATTATCATTCCTATATTCAAGAATTATCATTTGCCACATTTACTTTAGTGTTCTCTCTCCTTCTATACATTTTTCCCTGGTGAAACAATTGAAAGTATAAAATATGTTACCTTTGTAACTATAAACAATACTGTGACAGCCTTCTCCTAAATGAATATTTGAGGATAAAGTCAAGTCTGCAGTGAGGAACAAAACAGGACCTTTTCTCCCCCATCTCAGAAACACGTATCTTCCTGAATCACATGTGCTTTGGGGTCAGACTGTGCCTCTCCTCAGAGAATGAATAGCTCTCCAGGACAATTTTATTGGCTTTACTCTAAAGGCTCTATTAATGCTTAATTCCAGATTAGTGTGAATGCAAAACTGGTTGCTGCAGCAAATGCCTGTTGTGATGACCTAGTATGAACCCATGAGACGAAAAGGATGGGGTGTTCTTCAGAGCGTTGTTTTTCTCCCATAACCAAGCGCATTATTGATTGAATGTATTTAGTGAGATTTAGTGACTGCATGAGATTTCTGAACAGCACTGAGACTCCTCTCCCTAAACAAAACAACATGGCCTCAGGCCCCTAAGTTTACTTTCACTAACTAGCCAGAGCAACACAGATGTCTCCATTTTTAACTAGATATAAATAAAGTAAAAAAAAAGAGTGCTGTTTATTGAACACCATTTTATGGTATGCTTATCCTAGGTTGGATGGAATTTGCTGTGTGATTTGTTTTGCTGTTAATGCACGTACTGTGAATAAAGTTCAGGCCACAAACTCAGGTACAAATAAATCTTCATTTTTTTTCTATATAAAACTAAAGTTAATATCTGCTTTGAGACCTCATTCTCTAGAAGCAGTAAAAAATATCTCCAGCAGTTTGCAGTTTTCTCATATTTCTTTCCTCTCCCCACTCCGGGGAAATAATTTTCCTATCCAGGAGCATACAAGAGAAGCTCAGCTCAATTCTCTCATTCTTGTGATATCATTTCCAAATATTTTGTCTGTTGAAGTTTTGTTGTTACTCTCCCCGAGGCCACCAGCCTTTGGAGGCCAGAAATTGTTCTTTTTCTCTTATCCTTTGCTTTTATCCTACCATATCATTCCTCAAAAAACATAGGAATAAAATGACATAGATGCTTGAGTAAGGAATAGAACAAATGGGAGAAAATGATTACTATTTCAAAAAAAATACTCTGCCACTCATATACTTCCCCAGTTATGATTGTGTCAGTCAGGGTTGTTACATACAAGAACCCTGGATAATTTGAACAGAAAAATATAAATTATATGATATAGGTAGTTCACAATATCTCAGGAAGGCTGAAAGAACCAGACTTGGAAGGCCGAAATAAGACTGGCGTCCAAAATTAAGTAACTAAATTGGTTTATCCCATGATGATACTGCCACCTCTGCGCATAGACATGCACGTGTGTCCTTAATACTACCAATGCTAGCCACTGGGCATTACAGCTCCTGGGAGCTGATATAGCTTCTCCTGCTGACTTTTCCTCACCAGAATGGATTTGGGGATGTCCCCACTTCTTGACCTCTTTAGTTTCTAAGTTGAAGTCTAGAGTGGGACTTTGATAAGTACAGCATGGCCTAGAAGGCAGCCTTGTGGTACCCTAACAGCAAGAAACACTGGGAAAGGGGTTTCTGCTCCAATGGTGGGGTTGGTGCAGCTTTCTACTGTGGCTCCAAAGAAGGGTAATTCCCCAAACACAGTGTATTTGACCCAGTTTGCACCATACACTTCCTGTCCTCTAGGCCCTGGTTATGTGCCCCATTTCCCTTCCGGAGCAGCCCAATAATGGCTCACATGTTTCTCGTGACCATAAAGCCCACCACTGACACTGCTGCCTCAACTCCTACTGCCACTGTCTCTGCACATCCCAACCCACTTCTGAAGCAGAGGCTAGGCTTTGACATTGTCTCTAGAATGTCCATCAAGGAGAAAACTCAACCTTTCCAATATCTTGGCTTCTCTAGGGGCTACTCGGAGAAACCAAGTCACACATTCCAGAAGGACAGGGCAGTCTCACAGGGCTGTTTTTCACCGATAAGTAACAGGTTAAAGTAAGTAAGCAAGTTAAAGTGCTTGCTTTTCTTTTCCTGGACAAACTGTTCTGAGGTCCAGTGGTCCTATAAGGCCTCTCCGGAAGCTTTCTTCAGGGCCAAAAGCACTAGCAGTATGTTTTTGAGTTTGGTAACACACCTCTTTGCATTCACTTTCCCTCCTTTCCTGCCTTATTCTCCTTTTATTTTCACTCTTTCATCCCTGAGATTTCAATAAAGTGCTTGCAGGTGTCTTAGTTAGGGATACTAAAATGCCCTAGACTGGGTAGCTTATAAACAACAGAAATTTATTTCTCACAGGTCTGGATGCCAGGGAGTCCAAAATCAAGGCACCAGCAGATCTGGTATCTGGTGAGGCTACACTTTCTCTTTCAAAAATAGTGCCTCTTCACTGTGTCTGCTCATGGTTGAAGGGGCGAACAAGCTCCCTTGGGCCTATTTTATAATGGCACTAACTCCATCATAAGGGCACTAACTCCATTATAAGGGCACTAATTCCATCACCTCCTAAAAGGCCCTAGTTCCCAATACCATCATCTTGGGGGTGAGGATTTCAACACAGGAATTTGGCAACGACACAAACATTCAGACTCTGGCAGCAGGTAAGCTTTGTCTCGAATGCTGTGTTCCAGGGAAAAGGCTGAGTGAAACACATGTAGGAGGGAGAAGACCAAAACATTGCAAAATGCAGCGCACTCACCATAACTCTGAAAATCAGGTCCATTTTACAGATGAGGAAAACTGAGGGTCAGAAGCATTAAATCATTTCTCAAAGCTGACACTACCAGTTAGTCACAAAGCCAGAAGTTGAAATCAAGTCAGAATGCCTCTGCAGGTCACATTCTTTTCACTGCACTGCATTCATTGCCTGAGTTCCACCCTGCACAGCCCTGGGGAGACAATGTGAAGATAGGAAGAGTGCTTACATTCTTCTATAGTAAAGCATCTCAAATGGAAATCCATGACACCAATGTGGTTTATTTTTTTTTTTCCACAACCTCATCTATCAGGACTCCAGATTAGTCTGTGTGCTTATCTGACCCACTTTCCCAAACCCACCCACATATTCTTTTCTGCAGAGTCAGAGAGCTGGCAGAGCTGTTGGGTGGGTTTAGCTTTGAAAAAATAGCATTAATAAAGAGTTAATAGGCCAGGG
Organism: Homo sapiens; assembly: GCF_000001405.40. Taxonomy (NCBI): domain Eukaryota; kingdom Metazoa; phylum Chordata; class Mammalia; order Primates; family Hominidae; genus Homo; species Homo sapiens. Next base: position 106,203,103 of record NC_000011.10, on the reverse strand, counting down.
CACTTACAAGCTTTTAGGGAAAGATATAGGAACAGGAAATAGGATTTAAGTGCTGTGAAACAGCCTCTTGATTTGTGAGGCAGCTTCCTGTTGGAGTTTTCCACTTAGAGTTTGGAGTCAGATAGACAGGGATCCAGCTCTGTTTCTGCCACTTACCAACCAAAGGCAAACTATCTAAATCTTTGTGACTCAATTTGTTCTTCTGCAAAGTGGAGATAATTGTAGTCTCATTTAGCCCATTGCTAAGTATTTAGTAAATGTAGATTTAAAAAAAAAGATGGTATCATTGTTATTAGACCTAAGAGGAAAAACATTATGAAAGGACCTAGTATCTTTTGACTACCCTTCTACATACTGGTAATGCCCACTCTGAAAGCCCCACCTTCATAAGGTAGAATCCAGAGCACTTCACTCCTCAGCATCCTTGCAAGATGAGAACACAAGACCTAGCTTCTGTCTGTCATAAATACCCACACAGGACTTCAATTTGGAAATGAGTAACCTAAAGAGAGAACCTCTGAGTAGGACATAATTTTGCTGACACAGGTGACAACCGTGGGGGAACACCTTGTGGGGAAAAGTAAAGTTGATATCCTGGTCTATCACTGTAGTAAAATCAGAGTCCTGGCATCCAGGCAACAAGTGATGATGGCAATATCAGGGAAGTTTTGGTGTCTTATCTGTTCCGGGGTGTGGTTATGGGTGATTCTGAGAAGTTCAGCTTAGCTTCAGCCTGTTTCTCTAACCCTGCATTGCAATTTATTCCATAACTATCTAATGGCTTTTTAAAAATTCCTTTTTCCTGCTTAACAGAACCAGAATGTACTCTTTGTTTGCAAGAAACAAACCTTCTGGAATCAGGGGAGCTAACTTATACCATGGTCAAGATACCCTTATATCCAACATAAGTATTTTAATTGTATAGATGAGGAAACTAAGGCTTAGACAAGTTAGATAACAAAAATCCTGATTTAAGTCACATCCCATTAGACTTTAAACCTAAGATCATTTCTTGAATTCTATTTTCCAGAGAAGCCTCAGGCAGGTGTGAAACCTAATAAACCCAAAGCTTTATTGGGAATCTGCACTTCTCTGGGGCAACCACCGAATGAGGTAATTTTAGAGGGATAGACAGAATATCTGATCCCAAGAAGTTGGAGAATGCTTATTTGTGAGCATTAACATTAAGCATCAAACAGATTATAGTTCTTTCCCGTAAGAGGAAAAGAAGCATTTGTGTGCTAGAGGCAGAGTAGGGAATAGCACATTGCTACCTGATTAACTTCTAAAAAGCTTGGGTGGTCCAGTAAATACAGGTGTATTTGAAACAACTTTTTTTTAAATCTCTTTCTGAATATATTTTTTAAAACTCCAAATAGCAAACTTCTCCAGCAATAAGATGAAGTTAACACTTTGGATTTACTTTTGATATGCCACAAAATTCTACTTTTATTCTTCAAAATTTGATGCCTAACATAATTAGCTAGCTGTCTGTAGAATAGCCAGAAGGTGTTAAAATATTTCTGAGCAAGATATTTGGAAAATTCAGAACCACATTACCCCTCAGCAATGAAATTTCAACTGAAAAAAAACTGAAATCTCAACAATGAACAGCATACTTCTTTTATTGTCTCTCCTTGAGTTGTCCTACAATAACCAGTAAGAACTACCAACTGATTACTCTTTATTTAGTTTTGATGTTTGCCCCCTTCATACCTCTCTTACATAAGGCTCCATATGGGCAGACAGCATGGTATTATAGAGGAATTGTAGCATTTATTGCACCCTTAGTTTGCATCAAGTACTGTGCGAAGCACTTCACATGTATTCATATATACTGAGACAGGGTCTTGCTGTCACCCATGCTAAAATGCAGTGGCGCAATCATGGTTCACTGCAGCCTCGACCTCCTGGCCCAACCAATACTCCCATCTTCGTCTCCCAAGTAGTTGGAAGCACAGGCATGCACCACCATGCCTGACAAAATTTTAAATATGCTGTAGAAACAGGGCCTCCCTTTGTTGCCCAGGCTGGTCTTGAACTCCTGGCCTTGAGAAATCCTCTGGCCTCAGCCTCCTGAAACACTGGGATTACAGGCATGAGCCACCACGCCCAATCATATATTCATAATGAATCCCTACAAACATCCTGTGAAGTAGGTACATTTATATAAGTGAGCCAAAGGTGGCCTCTGTGGGTTATTTCCTCATTCCAAGCTAAGACCCATTAGCTCAAAAGCCCTTTGCTGCCAAACTAAAATTTGTACACATCTAATTATTCCAAATTTTAAAGTAGCACAACTGGGACTACATCTTGACTCTTTAAACTCTTAATCCGGGGCTTCCCACCAGTCCAAGCTCCTTCTACCTTTTTCACCCCAAGTGTATAATCTTCTCAAAAACAGAATAGATTAACAGAAGACAAGAAAGGAATTGACTAAATTTGAACAACAATCACAACATGTTAATATAACAAACTTAACTTTTCATTGTTTTCATTTCAATTTTCTCATTTTATCTTCATTTTATCCTATAATTATTTGATCACAACTGGTTTCTGTTTCTTCCTTAGAGATCAATGTATCATACTGATTGAACTTTTGACTGTGCTTCAGCAGAAGGAAAAGAGAAATTTACTATATTTTCACATTCGATCAAGGAAGTGTATATATAGTATCTAATACGTATGTATCTATGTATGTATCTGTGTGTGTGTATAGAGAGAGAGAACATATGTATTAACACCTGAAAACTTTTAAGCCCCATGTCAAGAAAATAAGAAATCGATGCAGATTACAGAGCTTTTTATTTCTCAATCTCCTTTTTACCCTATTCCTGAGAGAAAGACCTGCTTGACAGTAAGACTAGAAAACTCACCCTCTGAAATGGCAGGTGCAGCATAGCAGTCCAGGGTTTTGATTATCTCAGTCTCCTGCTCTTATTTCTAGTCTTCACTGGAATTTCTTTCACTGCAGCTCTTAGCCAGAAGTGAAGCACAGGTGTTAAAATTGATAGATAAATAGGTAGATAGATGATAGATGGATAGATAGCATATGGTAGATAAATAGCATATGATAGATGGATCTAGAAGACAAAGGACTCTATTTTGGAACTCTAATTTTAAACACTTCTTGCATTTTTATCTAAAAATACGATGTCCTTTCTAAGGACTATTTCTGGACAGCAGTTTGGACTAACCAGTAATCTCACAAAAACTGATTATTCTTTTGCTGGCAGTGTCTGAACCTTATTAGAGACAAAACTAGATCCAGGCAAATTAGATAAGCACTAAGAAGTTTGGCAAGCTTGAGAGTAGCAGGTGATGTCCAGGACAAGAAACAATAATTACTAGTGGATCCAAATGCCACAACGGTCCGTTGGTCAGAGTGGGAGCTTACGGGTATCAAGTGAGAGATTTTAGGTATCAATTTGCCTAACAGTGGGCACAGTGACTACATAGACATATTACACAGTTACTGCTCACTTCATAAGTGTATACCTGTATAGTAAATAGACTAAGCCACTGCAAAATTCCCACAGAAGCTCTCTAACACAATGGAGGGAGACTTGTATCATAAAGAGCCAGGAGAAGCCCGTGGAGTTTTCCTTTCTTACCACAATGATAAGCTAAATGTAATATCTTGCCCACTGAGTAATTTCAGAGATTAGTGCCACCATCTAGGGCTTTGAAAGATTCAGAGATTCTGAGTCCTTTCATATCTCAATTTTATCTGCCTGCTTGGACTATGCAAAATAAAGAGTATTTCAGAATGACAGTGGATTATTGTAAACTATCAATTGTTGCTACTGTTCCAGATGTAGCCTCTCTCAACAAATACATCCCTCAGCTCCTGGAATGTGCTATTATTCTGATATCCGCTTTTTCTCTATCCCCCAAATCAAAACAATACCAAAAGCATTTCATTTTTTATTTGTCAGGGTCAGTGAGTGCAACTCCCATGAATGCACAAGACACCATGCTGGTCCACTATATTGATGACATACTGCAGAATCTGGTGAACATGAAGTATCAGATTCCCTAGAAGCCCTAGCTACACTATACCCATTCCAGAGGATAGGAGAAAACTGCCATAAAAATTCATAGCACCCAGGATCTAGACATGTCAGGATATCCATTTTAAAATACTCAATGCCACCAAGAAAGAGCTACAATCTTGGTTTCTGGGCATCCAGTGTCTAGAACATGACATGATATCCTCTCTAAAGAAGGCACTACCATTAACAAAGGGATATATCCCCTTTAAGCCTCTATGAATTTTGAAGCTAACATACAACAAAGTGAAATTACTGCTCAAAAATTAATAAGCAATCCAAATTGACGCTAGCTTGGAGTGAGGTTCAGAGCAAGAGATGGTGTAGACTGCAGTATAAGCAGCTCTGTTACTTGGCCCTTATAAACCAGTAGACCCAAAGATACTTTAGGTATCTTCAGCTGATCAAGTTACACTATGGAGACTGTGGCGAGACCCACTGGTAGAATCACAGTAGATGCTCCCAGGGTTTTGAAACAAACAAGGCTTTGACTTAATATCAGACTCAGAGACAAAATATCTGGCCATAAGACATCAAGAAAGAGTACACTCTGAGTTGCTTCATGAAATGATTTTATCCAACCCATAAGGTAGGCCGTTCTGTATCAGTCAAGTTTTAATACAAGTACCAGAAACTCCTTGTGTTAGTCTGTTTGCATTGTTATAAAGGAATATGAAGCTGGGTAATTTATAAAGGAAAGACAATTCTGCATGCTATACAGGAAGTGTGGTGCTGTCATCTCCTTCTGGTGAGGGCCTCAAGGAGCTTACAGTCATAGCAGAAGGCAAAGGGGGAGCTGGCATATCACATGGTAAGCCAGGAAGCAAGAGAGGTGGAGGAAGTGCCAGGCTCTTTAAAGCCACCAAATCATGTGTAAACTCATATAGTGAGAACTCACTCATTACCACAAGAACAGCACCAAGTCATTCACATGGGGGATCTGCCTCCATGATCCAAACACCTTCCACTAGGCCCACCTCTAACACTGGAGGTCACATTTTAACAGGAGATTTGGAGGGCACAAAACATCCAAACCATATCACCCCTCTAGGTATTTTATGCAGGATGGAATTTCACATAGGAAATTCGTCATTCTAAAATCACTGGAAAATGTGGAAGAAAGAGTTCTAGCTTATGCCTCCAAAATAACTATTTGAACACTATATACTTGATCACTAAGGTAGCAACTTCCTCTGGAACTGCTACTTACACAATTAAAATCAAGATCACTCAGAAGAGGGAAGGCTATGCATGTGTGGGACAGGGAATATATTGGAAAATCTCTGAACCTTCCTCTCAATTTTGCTGTGAACCTAGAACTGCTCTCAAAAAATAGGCTTTAAAAAAAGCAAAAAACACTCAGTAGTAACTGCAATCCCAGCATCACAGAGCCAAATTTAGAAAGCCCCCACTGCAGCAACCACCACCACAAATGTCTCTCAACACCCACATACTAAAGATTAACCACTCTATTACTTCTAGAGGAAGAACTTCTGTCTTCACCAAGTAGTTTCCTAGCAGAAAACAGCAAAAAGAAACAAAAGATGGCCTTTGTCTTGCTTCTTCCAAACCTGTGATTGCATCCATCTAAAACTAGTTGTAAAGGAGTCTGGAATATGCTGATTTTTACCTTTACAGTTTATGGAGGTCAGGAAGTCTCTCTTAAAGGACAGTAGAATACAGGCTGAATGAACAAATCATCCTCATGCAATATTATGGGAAATTGCTACATGTAAGATAAAATTTGAGCCAGTCCTAAAGGTAAAATAAAATTGCATGAGCAGATGGCTTATACTGCCAGTGACCTATTCTTACAGAACTGCTGAATAGGTCACTGTAACCCACACAAAGGGCTTCACAAGGAGTTCCCTCACAGGTAGACCCCAAGTACCAGAAATTCCTTGTGTTTGTCTGTTTGCATTATTATAATGGAATATGAAGCTACAGAGCTTAGTATGCATTTGAAAGAATTCAAGTAGCAGCCATGTGTGAATTCACTATATTCCAGGGGAAAGTTGGGCTACACTTGAGATACTATACCTATACTGAGATAAACAAGCTGTTGCCTTTTCTTTTGTTGACAGATGAATATGAATCTTTTGTTTCATTGATAACCAATATAGGCTTGTGACTTTTGGTATACAGATTCACTCTTAATGGTCTCATCCTCAGCCTAATTTAATTTCATATGTCAGAGTTATCTTTTACTATATACACTGGTTCTGTTTCTCTGAATGATTGCCGATATGCTTTCACATCCTCTAAGTTACATTCTTACAATTGTGATATGACCCCTTTTCTCTTTGTGCTCCTCAGCACTCTGATCACACTCTAATTAAAGCTAATATCACATTGTTTCACAATTATCTGCATACATGCTTGCCTATCGGATTAGATTCTGAAATGCTTCCAGGCAAGATTAGGGTTTTACTCATTTTTCAACTTTCTAGTAAGGCATTTATTATGGAAAGTTTCAAATATTTTTACAAGTAGAAAGAATGGTATAATGAACCCCTACCCACCTATTAGCCAGCTTAAACAATTCTTAATTTGTGAGCCATCTCGTTTCATCCATATTTCCACCTACTTTTCTGCTTCTCCAGGTGACTTTAAAACAATTCTTGGACATCAATCTCTCTTCCATACATATTTCAACATGTATCTTTGTAAAATATAATCATAATTCGATTAGCCCTGCTAAATACTTACAGAATTCATTAATATCATTAAATACCCAGTGAGTGCTCACATCTCTTTAATTGCTTCAAAAATATTTTTTACTGGCTGGGCACAGTGGCTTATGCCTGTAATTGTAATTCCAGCACTTTGGGAAGCCAAGGTGGGAGGATTGCTTAAAGCCAGGAGTTTGAGACAGGCCTGGACAAGGTGAGACCCTCGCTCCACAAAAAATTTTTAAAACTAAGCTGGATGCAGTTACACACACCTGTAGTCCCAGCTACTTGGGAGGCTGGATGAAAGAATGAGAACCTGTCTCCAAATATTTTTTTAATTTAAAAATATATATATTTTACTCTCTCTGTAATTGAATCAGCATTGTAATAAGACCCACAAACTTCAATTGGCATATATGTTTTTGCTTTTTAGATAGGGTCTTGCTATAATATGTTGCCCAGGCTGAGTAGCTGGTACTACCGGAGCCCGTCCCATGCCCTGCTGGTATGTTTCTTTTTTAATCCATAGAGTTCCTCTTCTCTCATGCTTTTTATTTTTACAATTTCTGTGTTGAAAAACACTGGCTCATCTGTCTTGTAGTTTCCCACAGCTAAGCTTTTACTGATTACATCACTATGTTAAGACATTTTTTTGATCCTTCGTATTTCCTGTAAATTGATAGGTCTAAAGAGCTAATAGATTCAGGTTAGAATTTTTGACAATGCTACTTCAAAGCAGTAATACTGACCTCTATTATAAGACTTGCGTTTTCTGGTTATTCTCTTTCTATTGTATTAGTCATTGATGATCACGGTTTAGAGCTATTATTTATTCGTATTTCATTAGCTTAAATACTTCCATAAAAAGAACTTTCCCGGAGGAACAGTGGCTCATGCCTGTAATCCCAGCACTTTGGGAGGCCAAGGAGGGTGGATCACCTCAGGTAAGGAGTTGGAGACCAGCTTGGCCAACATGGTGAAACACTGTCTCTACTAAAAATATAAAAATTAGGGCTGGTCGTGGTGGCTCACGCCTGTAATCTCAGCATTTTGGGAGGCCAATGAAGGTGGATCACCTTAGGTAAGGAGTTGGAGACCAGCTTGGCCAACATGGTGAAACACCGTCTCTACTAAAAATATAAAAATTAGGGCTGGTCGTGGTGGCTCACGCCTGTAATCTCAGCATTTTGGGAGGCCAAGACAGGTGGATCACTTGAGGTTGGGAGTTCGAGACCAGCCTGACCAACATGGAGAAACCCCATCTCTACTAAAAGTACAAAATTAGCTGGGCATGGTGGCACATGCCTATAATCCCAGCTACTCGGGAGGCTGAAGCAGGAGAATCACTTGAATCTGGGAGGCGAAGGTTGTGATGAGCCAAGATCGCACCATTGCACTCCAGCCTTGGCAACAAGAGCGAAAATCCATCTCAAAAAAAAAAAAAAAAAAAAAAAAAAATTAGCCAGGCATGGAGTGCCTGTAATCCCAGCTACTCAGGAGGCTGGGGCAGAAGAATTGCTTGAACCTGGGAGGCAGAGGTTGCAGTAAGCAGAGATTGCACCACTGCAGTCCAGCCTGGGCAACAAGAGCGAACCTCCGTCTCAAAAATAAAAGACACTTTCCCTCAACAATTTGGACATCCTGAAAAATAATTCACATAGGAAAGGGAGAAATTCTTTCTCTATATTATTGGTTTTCCAAATAATGAGTTTAGGTATTAAACTGTTTGTTTTCTAGTTCTTTTCAGATTCTTTAAGATGTCTGGCATATAGCAAAAACTTAGTAAATATTTTTTGAATTGTTTTCATAATGCCTTAATACACAATACCAATTTTTTAAATCTCTTTTATAGAATAACATTTTCTCTAACTTTTCTAACAGGTCTCACGTTCAGAGATTATTCTGGTTAGTGTTCTGTGGATAATATTTACCCTTAAACCATTTAGAGAAAAGTTACTACATGATGATACATAATGAAGAACTCTGAGTCCTCAAATCCCTTATTATTCAGGATTTGAACAATAGATCTTTAGCTACCATTTTAGCAAGAAATCTCCCAATTCAAAATACATCCCTACAGCCCATCTGCCTAAATTGATCAGCACTTTATCTGGCCTGGAATACAATTCAACTTTCAGATTTTCACGATGTAATATATTTGCCAACTGCAGATTGTAGAAACTGCAGCCAGATTGGCTATACCTCACACTGGGTCTTTAGCATAGAGGAGCTAGTTAAGAACAACAAAGCAACCATCATGTTTTTACAGCTGTAGCTTCAATCGAGGAAAATTACCTCAGTAAAAAGGCTGTCTGCAATGACCAACCAGGAGGTACAAGGTCTAGTTAGAAGTAAGGATACCACTAGCTCCTATATCTGAGAACAAAATTAACCCAAATCTTCCTTTTCTGTTTCCAAAATTTAAATATAAGCATATGCACACACATTCTCAAGCATATGCATCTTTCATGCAGTTTGACTGAGGCTACAAACAGATTTCTGACATTTGTCAGAATTGGCACAGCCAGGAATCAAAAACCTTGACCTCTCTGATTTGAGATAAACTTGTTATTGCTACACTAGACTGTTCTATTTGCTTTCTTAGTTTCTGCAAGCTACCCCAAATCCTCCTCAAAATGGGTAGGACATTAAAATAAAATAAATTGAATTATACATATCTTTTTCAGATATCTATCCAATTTTCTATTTTCTTATCCAATCTCCTCATATCTATAAGCAATTTGAGAGCAGAACAGTCTTCATCACCACTTTAGCCAGCGATTAGCACACTGTGGGTTACAATAGATTTTGGTTTTTTTAAGACAAAGTTTCGCTCTTGTCGCCCAGGCTGGAGTGCAATGGTGCAATCTCAGCTGACTGCAACCTCCACCTTCCCCAGTGCAAGTGATTCTCCCACCTCAGCCTCCCAAATAGATGAGGTTACAGGCACCTGCCACCATGCCCAGCTAATTTTTGTATTTTTAGTAGAGACAGGGTTTTGCCATGTTGGCCAGGCTGGTCTTGAACTCCTGACCTCAGGTGATGCATCCCCGCCTTGGCCTCTGAAAGTCCTCAGCTGGGACTACAGGCATGAGCCACCGAGCACGGCATGCAATAAATACTAAGTGAATGAGTCAGTTTAAACAAATGGGCCTGAATGAATCAAAGAACAAAGGAGTTTGAAAATAGCAGAATAAAATTGTGTTAGTCTACCTGCTTTAGAATTACTCAAGGTCTGTTTCAACAATTCTATTCACCCAATAAATATTTTGATATGCAGTGAATGAATAATTCCATCATATAGCTAAAAAGTAGTTAATATATCACTTACATATAAGATTATTCAAACTCCTCTAAGGCAAACTGAACCAAGCTACAAGCAGAGCTGGTATTTAAGAAAGCATGATGCTCTACTGAAAAATAATACCAAGTAATCTTGATGTCAGATCAAATGATTAGTTCTTGTGTGGATTTTTTTTTTCTATTATGGAAGGAAACACAAAATTGGTTCAAAAATTTTCTAATAATCACTGAGAAGTAAGTAGCAAGTTCTGAGTATCCACATAGGATCGGTTGGTTTGGTGTGGTTGAAGGAATATGTGTAGTGCTGTTTTTTTTTATTTTTCACTTGGCTTCTTCCAAAATAACTCTGTAAATATATATTATTGTGATCATTTTAAAGATAAAGAAAACCATTTTAAAGATAAAGAAAAAAATGAGACTTGGACATTAAATGCTTTGCTCAAGGTTGGAAAGCAGCTTAAGTGGTGGAGCTAAGGTTTGAATCCAGGTCTGTTGCCTTCAAAGCCCATGGTCTTTTTAAACATCGATCTGCACTTCTTCACGGGCACAGCCAGTTTTTGTCTCCCATTTGTGGAGCACAGCAATGTGCTCATGTTAGCAGTTGGTACCTCATACATGTCCCCATAGATTTCAAATAGTCCTTGTGCAGAGACTTAATAAAATGGAGATGGCAGCTCTGCTCTTTCTGAGCTTCCTTCCTTCCAACACATAAACACAACACAACAAATGAATATTAAAATGGGAATATAAATAACATGATACAATGTGAAACTTAGGGGTGAGGTAATGTAAAGCAATGAATGAATCAGAAACAAAGCTATATTCAAAGATCATTGTCTTTTTAAGATGCACAGATTTGTACAGAGGTATTAAGACTTTCTGGTCATCTAAAATGCATAAGCATTCTAGTTCTAAGCCAATCAACATGTGACTAGTAATGCTTTAACAAAAATCAGCGTGCCAACCATTTACTCACAGAGCAAAACTATATTATTACCCAGGAGATTCCTATAGAAACAAAGCCATTTTAACTAAATTTTTTCCTACAGTTTCTGTTTCCAAAAATATCTCACCGTGGAATACAATTATCCTCAGAACTATTCTTCCCAAGTGATGTCACTGTATAATCATAGGGCACAGCCTTGCCAGCTGAGGTGCTCAAAAAGCTTTTGGCTGATGGTAAGGTTTTACCCTATATTAATTTTCTGTCACTACATTCAAATGCAAATGTTTCTAGTTTCAAAACACATAGCCCTGCTAAATCAAAGGAAATTTTTTATCTTTCATCTACCTCTAAAGGTCCTAGAGAATGTTTGCATATTCATGCAACAAGTTGTATTGGGGGGGTCTGTTTATGTCCCCCTCTAGCTCTCACTACACCTGACAGAGCAGGTATTGATAGTTCCCATTTGCTCATTTACTCTTTAAATGGCACAGTCAAAATTTGAACTAAATCTGTCATACTACATACACCCCACCACAACAATGTATCTAGTATCAAAAGATAGTGAATGAAAATTTTTTAAAACTAGAAATAGGAAATTAAAATACCACATCAGTAAGTGAGGAGGCTAAAATAAACATTATGTAAATGAGAGCCCAAGGAAACTGTATAAAATATTTTTCATTTATAAGGTCTGTTCTCCAATAGCTTTTAATTCTGTTTTTATGGAAATGTCCAGATTATAAATATAGTGAATATAATTTTGGGCAGGTTTTAAGATTCTGATAGCCTGAAAACGAAGAATAAGCAGCAAGAATGTGCTGGGAAAAAAACACTATTCTTCTTTAAGCAAATCAGGGAAGCAGCTTTCTAGAAACATGCAAAAAATATTTTTTCTTCAATGATGATTAAATCTTTACACCATTTTCATCACACCACCAATATTCGAGAGAAGTAATGCCCTTCAACCTGTCCTATTTACTAGACATAAACCTGGCCTTGGCTGTCAGTTTTAACAGATTAGCAGACACCAAATGTATGTGTTGAAAGGTGCCTTATATATGATAAGACAAAAACTTCAGCCGAATTTAAAGGAGTTTAAATGAGCAATGAACAATTTGTGAATCAGGCAGCTCTCACAGCAGATTGACAGAGACTCCAGGGGTGCCTCATGGTCAGAAGAAATTCATGGACACAAAAATTAAAGTAAGTACAGGTATCAGAAGTGAGATACGGAAACAGCGAGACTACTAACAGCTCCGTGTTTGCCTTATTTAAATGCAGTTTGAACACTCAGCAATCTATGAGTGGTTGAAGTACAGCCACTGGGATTGGCCCACACTCAGCTATTGTTATGGGTGCATACTATCAAGTTAGGTTTTCAGTTTTGTCTATTAAGCTTGGTTGCAAGTTCATCCACAAGGACTCAAATACAGAAGTACAGAGTCCTCCACATTTAGTTTGCTTCAACAATTCCCCCCTTTTGGTCATTTTCTCAATTTTGAGAGATTGACTAAAACATTAGTCATTTATATTACTACCACGGTCATAAATGTACTCATACAGTTTTGAAACCCGCTGGGAAACAGAACAATGGGTTTTTCAAGAAGAGAATAAGGACTGAGTAGAAGGTACCTCCTTATGCCAGAACATCCTGTTTACGGGAGAAAAACAAAACCTGGTCTGTTCTAGGATCTATACGTCTTCTTGAAGCCTAAGTTTGATTATGTTACATTTAGCACAAATGACTCCATTTTAGTTTGGTTTGGTTTGTTATGGCCTACTGCACGAACTCAGTCCAATATAATGGCCTCCTATAATTTTGTTTAAAAAAATTTCCCTTTTGGCCAGGTTTTCACTTAGGTGAAGTGTGACCAAAACTTCGGGCCTCACTCTCAGTTACCATCATTTGGGTTTCTGATCTCAGCATGTCATTCATAGGTTATTTTGTCCTCATGGTCACACATTTCTTTCAGCTTTTGTCATTCCAGTTGAAGAGAGGCCATTTGACTTCTAGACATGGCTGCTTGCAAACATTTAAAACCTTTGAGAGAATACAGTGCACCAGGAAGACTATTATGACTACCGGGAGGTTAACACCAAGAGTTTGGAATATGCTCCTTACCCAGGGTCCCCATAAACCAAACCACCTAACACTAAATAGATTAAAGAATGAGCTAAATGAAGAGTTTACTCACTTGACTAAGTGGGTCTTTTCATTAATCCCCTACAACTGAATTCTTGTAATCTACATTTGATGTATTTCTCCATAGACCACAAGTGTCAGCAGCTGCACAGGCACTTTTCTGTTTAGCCAGTTCTATCATTTAGAATAACTTTCACAAGAGAATTTAAAGTCTGTTGTGTAACGATAGCTTTTAAAGTAGAATTTGCTGCAGAGACTATTATGAGGGAGACATTTCTAATTATTGTCTTTTTTATTCTAAACCATGGAAAAAGGACCTAACAAATGATGTCCTTATGAAAAAGTGAAGGCCTCCTGGCAATGTTCTCTTTAATCCATGATGTGGGTTAAGAGGAGTTTTAACTGATTATGAGGCAACATATGTACCACTAAAATTTCTCACCTACAATGGGCCTTCATCTGTTATCTATTAAATTATAAGGTTATTCATATATAAGGCTGGCTGCAAAATCTTGCAAATAAAAGTATACCCCATAAAAGTGCACATAATAGATCCCCTGTTCATCTCTATTGTTCATAGAGACATAAACAAGGAAAAAATATTCGAAGATAAGAGTCTCGTAATAGAAGTTTTGTTCCATGATCTGGGGAACGGCTGTTCACATCAAGGATGCCATCTTCTGAGGAGAAACCTTCCTAGTTAATTTTAACTTAAATGTTCCAATGGGTGTACGGTTCCAAGAGTATGGAGGGATCCTTCTCAGTTGTGAGATTATAAACCCAAGGTCGAACGCTCCGAAGTTTTGCTGCAGTGTGGATGGCAAGGATGGTATTTCTCTGATGTTCTAAGATCCAATCTTCAGGTTCCAGATTGTGAAGGAATTGTCCTCAGTGAACCATAAAAAGCTTTCTTTACCTGATGAAATTACACTGTAGCATAATAATCTACTGTTATAACATCAGCCCTCTTGCATGGGAAAGCTTTTATACAACCAGAAAACAGGCACTGAAAGTGACAATTGAATGAAATCTTCTTATAAATATTTAAACGGCCCATCAGGTAGCCAAATGTACCTGAAGCTTTGATTGTCTTCCCAGGAATATGGAACCAAACATTGGTTTTAAACTATTTTCACAATTTATAAGCTACCACATCAATATATTCAATTTGGATTATTTTATCTTTTCTATGACGAGTCATGGAATGCGGAACCTTCTTAAGAGAAAATCAAGTTTTATGTTTCCATTAGTCTATTTTTAATGTTAAAGCTAGTTTTTAATAACATTTTATAAAACAATTCACTTTTAATTAGTTTGACCATAACATAAGACTTTTATAAAACTTTTATAATAATTTACATTTTTTTCCTCAGAGTAGAAAAAAGTTAAGAAAACTGTTGTGCTTCTATTCCAATGTCCAATTTATGGGAAAAAAAAAACGGAATAATGCTATTTTAACTTTAGCCAATATGTTCACACATAGATTCTTGTAATTTTTATAAACCTTTCACAACTTGTTCAAACCTTTAAATTTAATTTTAAACAACGCTTTAACCCTCTAACCTAGGTAAAATTTATGTTCTAGTACTTTCTTATAATATCTTACAAAAATACATTTTATTCTCCTTAACACACCTTGCATGAAAACTTTTTCAGTAGTCTTAATTACATATTACAATGTTACTCTTAGAGACTTACTTTTGGTGAAAACCTTGGTAAGTAAGGAATTTTAATTATGTACTAGGTTTGGAGCCTAGGACCCAGACAGAAATGCAGATAAGGTCTGAGTCTTTCCAGTGTCTAACTCCCTGTGTCCCAGGCCTTATCTAGCTATAAATCAGGCAAGCTCTACAATTAAGAGTCATATGGCATTTTATGATGCATTTAGGAGGCCCAATCACGTTTAAATTGTACAAAATTTCTGGCATAAATTTCTTTTCATAAATTCTTTCACAACTTACACAGACCATGTATGACATGTTTAGACTTTCTGACTTGCCCTAAACATCACTCTTTTTAAACAAGCCACTTTACTTCAAGACAAAAATTTTCCATACAATGTTCTTATATAAAATCTTTTTTATTTTTATTTTTATTTTTTTGAGATGGAGTCTCACTCCATTACCCAAGCTGCAGTGCAGTGGTGTGATCACAGCTCACTGCAACCTCCACCTCTTGGGTTCAAGAAATTCTCCTGTCTCGGCCTCCCGAGTAGTTGGGACTACAGGTGCCTGCCACCACACCCGGCTAATTTTTGTATTTTTAGTAGAGATGAGGTTTCACCTTGTTAGTCAGGCTGGTCTCGAACTCCCAACCTCAAGTGATCCACCAACCTTGGTCTCCCAAAGTGCTGGCATTACAGGCATGAGCCACCACGCCTGGCCAAAATTTCTTCTCTTTATAAACTTCTTTGCATAGCTGGGGGCATGGCTAATTCCATATATCCCCAGGCCTTATTTAGAATTTAATGTTTTCAAAATAAATTCAACAATTTTCAAAAGGCAAAGCAGTTTGACCTTAAAGCATTTAGCAAACCTAATATCTGACCTGCATAATTTAGACAAAATGTATTTTATTAATAATCTTTACAGCTGTTTTTATTTCCCAAAGATTACTAAAGTTACATGAACTGAAAGGCATTACAGTTTTTATTTTGCTTTCAAATATTTAAGTGCTTATCTTTAATTAGAGCTCTTTTAGATAAACATTACATATAACACATATATAATTACACAGACAGATTACTACAGTAGTTAAGATTTTTCATTTGCCAGTTTTTAAATTTCTTAAATTGCTTATTGGCTTTAGGGTGGAGCCCTTGGAAGAATAGGGCCAGGAAAGGGATTTCTGGTGCCTGGTTTTCTCCAACGAGTGCTGTTAGAGCTTGAATATCTGCTTTTAATTAAGCTGAATTTTAACCATGGCACTCTAATAGAGTCCTTTTAAAATTTCTTATTACCCAATTTTAAGCAGGCCAAATGGCAGATATTTCTAGCTTTTGAACTTTACCAAAGGTAACACCCCAGGTGCTCAGAGAAATAAAAATTTAAGATAGTCCATGGAGGAAAAGAGACCACACAACGTTATACAGATATTAAACCAGAAGGAGCTTACTTCCTAACCAGGGAATTGAACCCAGCCAGCCAGTGTGAAAAGCCAAGATCTAATCTACTGAGCTACTGCACAGAGCAGTCTCTATTGTCCTTCCTAGAAGGACTCTAGAGTAGTTAATTTTGAGCTTGCAGAGGCTTTTAACTACTCAAGATAATTTTAGAACTAACCGTGACATAAACCTTAAAATTCCTGTTCCCTGAGAGGCAGAGGCCAAGAGAAAGTACTGTCAAGTGGTTACAAGGTTAAGCTCCAAGAATATAAGACAAGATGGAGACCCCATCAAGTTTTGTTTGTTTCAGGGACATACAGAAAAGTTTGTTACTGGCCAGCCTGCTGGGCTCTCTTGAGCAGCAACCTCATGGGGATCCTAAGACCATGTTCAGGTGAAATGCTCAGGGAGGCCAGTGAAAGACCCACCCATTGCAGCAACACTGAAAAGTTCAGGTGGCTGCTGCTGCTGTTGTTGTGAAGGGATTTTTTTTTTTTTCCAACAGTCCCATCAGCTCTCAAGTTTTCCCTTTGGGAGGAAGAAAAATTTCCCCATGTCCCACGATCCTGTATATGCCAATCCTGTCACCCACAGTTGTCAGCAAAGAGTACAAGGCACATCATTCCAAAGAGAATAGTAGTTGACATCCTGTAGTGCCAAACCTGTTGTTGGCCAACAGGGATCTTACCAAGAGCCCTCATTTTTAAATGTACTTCAATGCATTGTTGTTCATTCAAAGCACTTCACTGTAAGTTATCTTTAGTAAGATTTTGCCATTTCTGTCAAGACATTGCTGTCTCCCAGGCCTCAAGTATAAGCCAGAAGGAACTCAGTTTTCCAGAAATTAAGAATCCTATTTTTACCTAAAATATTGGCTTTATGCTCAGGTGCTCTTGATTAACGTAGCCAATTTTTTTTTTTTTTTTTTTTTTTGAGACGGAGTCTCGCTCTGTCACCCAAGCTAGAGTGCAGTGGTGCAATCTCGGCTCACTGCAAGCTCCGCTTCCCAGGGTTCATGCCATTCTGCTGCCTCAGCCTCCCGAGTAGCTGGGACTACAGGTGCCCACCACCACGTCCGGCTAATTTTGTGTTTTTTGTTTGTTTTTGTTTTTGTTTTAGTAGAGTTGGGGTTTCACCATGTTAGCCAGGATGGCCTTGATCTCCTGACCTCGTGATCCACCCGCCTCGGCCTCCCAGAGTGCTGGGATTACAGGCATGAGCCACCGCGCCTGGTCGCCAATGATTTTTTTTTTCCTAAGCATGCAAGAAAAATGAAACAAAGGGGTAGAACACAAAAAATCCCTGTGAATTTTCAAAAGGCAAATTTTATAACCCCTGCAATATTACTGCTTACTACCAGTTCCTTCCTGACCCAGTCAGATGTAGGAGGCCTCTAACTAGATCCAAGCCAGTTCATTCCTGGATCAAATTCATTCCTGGACCCAGTCTAGTTTCTGTTGCAACTCCAAACCCAGTTTGGATCAGAAACTTGCTCAAATAAAGTCAGAGCTCAAAAGACAAATCCGTGGAGCTTGCAATCTGAGAGGGAGCTTACCCGTGATCCCCAGCCGCTCTGAGAAATCAATGGACACAAGTGGGTCCTGCGGGCACCTTGTATATTCATTCAGTGCTCCTGGGGGTTGCTAGAAGCTCCACTTCAGATCCCACTTCTGGTACCATCTGATAAAATAAAAACTTCAGAGTTTAAAAGAGTTTAATTGAGCAATAAACAATTCACGAACTGGGCAACCCCTGGAATCACAGCAGATTCACAGAGACTTCAGGGGTGCCTCCTGGTCAGAACAAATTCATAGACAAAAAAGTTAAAGTGATGTACAGGAATTGGAAGTGAAGTACAGAAACAGCAAGATTGGTTACAGCTCCACCTATGCCTTATTTGAATCCAGTTTGAATACTCAGCAGTCTATGAGTGGTTGAAATATGGCTGCTGGGATTGGCCAACACTCAGCTATTATTATGGGTACATACTATTAAGTTAGGTTTTCAATTTTGTCTATTAAGCTAGGTTACAGTTCATCCACAAGGACTCAAATATAGAAGAGTCCTTCTCTGGCCACATTTAGTTTGCTTTAACCTACATCATCCTATGGATAGGGAACTGATTTCACCTTCAAAGCCAATTGACAGTGGCTGCCCAGAATGTTGTACTGAGGAGCAGTCTGATCTTTGTTGGAGCTCAGAAAATAGTTAGCAAGGTCTGCATGGTCCCATATGAGAGTGAGACTGTAGGCCGGCTGAATGGTGTCTCCCATGGAAATAGATCCACATACTAATACCTATGCTATCAGAAATGTTAAAGATTTACAGGAGAAAAAAACAAAACCCAGTGTGTTCTAGAAGCTATGTGCTCCCCTAACGTCTTAGCATGAGCAACTCCATTTTGGTTTGGTTTGCTTTGTTGGGCACTAGTGCATGAGCCTAGTCTAAAACAATGTCCTCTCATAATTTTGTTTTAAAAAAATTTTCCTTTTTGTTCAGGCTCTCACTTAGGTGAGAGTGTAACCAAGATTTAGGGCCTTAGTGCCACTCTCAGTTACCATCATTTTGGGTTTCAGCACATCATTTATAGGTTATGGTGCCCTCACGGTTACACATTTCTTTCAGCTCCTATTATCTTTAGTAAGATTTTGCCATTTCTCTCAAGACGTTGCTGCCTCCCAGGCCTAAAATATAAGCCAGAAGGAACTCAGTTTTCCAGAAATTAAGAATCCTATTTTTACCTAAAATATTGGCTTCATGCTCAGGTGCTCTTGATTAACATAGCCAATCATTTTTTTTCCCAATGATTTCTTCTCTTCCAGTTGAAGAGAATATACAATGTTCTAGAGATGGTGCACGCAAGCATTTAAAACCTTTGACAGAATACAGTGCACCAGGGAGACTATTATGTTTATTGGGAGGATAATACCGAGTTTGGAATATGCCGCTTACCCAAGGTACCACCCCCAAGCCAAACCTCCTAAAATCAAGTAGATCAAAGAATGAGCTAAAGAGTTTACCCACTTAACTAAGCAATCTCTTTGTTAATCCTCTATCCCTAAATTTCTATAATCTACATTTGATGGATTTCTTCATAGGCCACAGTGCTAGCAGCTGCACAGGTACTTCTGTTTATCCAATTCTATCATAACTTTCACAAGATAATTTGGAGTCTATTGTGTAACGATAGCCTTTACAGAATTTTCTATACAGTTTATGATGAGGGATAAGTTTCTAATCATTGCTTCTTTTACTTTAAACCATGGAAAAAGGACCAAAAAAATGATGCCCTTTTAGAAGAGTGAAGGCCTTCTGGCAATGTTCTCTTTAACCCATGATGTGGGTTAAGAGGGGTGAACCAATGTTTTGTTTTGAATGATTATGAGGCAGCACATGTACCCTTAAAGTTTCTTACCTACATTGGGTCTTCATCTTTTGTCTATCAAAGTATCAGGTTATCCACGTGTAAGGTTGGCTGCAAACTCATTCACAAATAAAAGTACACCCCATTATTGCACATAACAGACCTCTTTCCACTTCTATTCTTAGAGGCATAGTGAGAAAAAAAAAAACATTCAAAGATAAGAGTTTCATGACAGTAGAAGTTTTAATCTGTGAACTTGGGAAAAGCTGTTTACATCAAGGATACCATCTTCCTCTTGGGAGAAATTCTCCTGGTTACTTTACCTCAAGGGTTACAAGGGGTACACAGTAACAGAAGTGTGGAGGGACCCTTCTCATTTGCGAGGCCATAAACCCAAAGCCCAAAGTCCCAAAGTTTTGTTGCAGTGTGGATGGCAAGGACAGTCTTTCACTGATGTTTCCAGAAGATTCAAACCTTAAAAACCTTTCTTTACCTGGTGAAAACAAATTGTAGCATAATAATCTACTGTTACAACATCAGCTCTCTTACAAGGGAAAACATTCATACAACTAGAAATTATGCATTGAAAATAACAGTTGAACAAAATCTCTTTATAAAATGTTCAAATGGCCCACCAGGTGACCAAATGTACCTGAAGCTTTCATTATTTTTCTAGGAATATAGGATCTAGCATTGGTTATAAACTATTTTAAACAATTTCAGTACTAGCTGGTTTAACATGAAGGTAATTTATTCTTCCAATTATATGGTCAATTTTAGAATAAGTGCAATGTGGTGCTGAGAAGGATGTAGATTCTGTTGATTTGGGGTGGAGAGTTCTGTAGATGTCTATTAGGTCTGCTTGGTCCAGAGCTGAGTTCAAGTCCTGAATATCCTTGTTAATTTTCGGTCTCAATCTAATATTGACAGTGAGGTATTAAAGTCTCCCACTATTGTGTGGGAGTCTAAGTCTCTTTATAGGTCTCTAAGAACTTGCTTTATTAATCTGGGTGCTCCCGTATTGGGTTCATATATATTTAGGATAGTTAGCTCTTGTTACATTGATCCCTTTACCATTATGCAATGCCCTTCTTTGTCTCTTGATCTTTGTTGGTTTCAAGACTGTTTTATCAAAGATGAGTATTATAACCCCTGCTTTTTTTTTTTTTTGCTTTACATTTGCTTGGGAAATATTCCTCCATCCCTTTATTTTGAGCCTATGTGTGTCTTTGCATGTGAGATGGGTCTCCTGAATACAGCACACTGATGGGTCTTGACTCTTTATCTAATTTGCCAGTCTGTGTCTTTTAATTAGGGAATGTAGCCCATTTACATTTAAGGTTAATATTGTTATGTGTGCATTTGATCCTGTCATTATGCTGCTGGCTGGTTATTTTGCCTGTTAGTTGATGCAGTTTCTTCATAGTGTCTATGGTCTTTTCAATTTGGTATGTTTTTGCAGTTGCTAATACCAGTTGTTCCTTTCCATGTTTAGTGCTTCCTTCAGGAGCTCTTGTAAGGCTGGCCTCATGGTGACAAAATGTTTCAGCATTTGCTTGTCTGTAAAGGATTTTATTTCTCCTTCACTTATGAAGCTTAGTTTGCTGGATATGAAATTCTGGGTTGAAAATTCTTCTCTTTAAAAATGTTGAATATTGGCCCCCACTTTCTTGTGGCTTGTAGGGTTTCTGCAGAGAGATCCACTGTTAGTCTGATGGCCTTCCCTTTGTGGGTAACCTGACCTTTCTCTCTGGCTGCCCTTAACATTTTTTTCTTCATTTCAACCTTGGTAAATCTGACGATTATGTGTCTTGGAGTTCCTCTTCTCAAAGAATATCTTTGTGGTATTCTCTGTATTTCCCGAATTTGAATGTTGGCCTGTCTTGCTAGATTGGGGAGCAGAGGCCTCAGAAATACCACCACACATCTACAACCATCTGATCTTTGACAAACCTGACTAAAACAAGAAATGGGGAAAGGATTCCCTATTTAATAAATGGTGTTGGGAAAACTGGCTAGCCATATGCAGAAAATTGAAACTGGACACCTTCCTTACACCTTACACAAAAATTAATGAAGATGGATTAAAGACTCTCACATAAGACCTAAAAGCATAAAAACACTAGAAGAAAACCTAGGCAATACCATTCAGGACATAGGCATAGGCAAAGACTTCATGATTAAAACACCAAAAGCAATGGCAACAAAAGCCAAAATAGACAAATGGGATCTGATTAAACTAAAGAGCTTCTACACAGTAAAAGAAACTATCATCAGAGTGAACAGGCAACCTACAGAATGGGAGAAAATTTTTGCAATCTATCCATCTGACAAAGGGCTAATATCCAGAATCTACAAAAAACTTCAACAAATTTACAAGAAAAAAAAAAACAAAAAACCCATCAAAAAGGGGGCAAAGGATATGAACAGACACTTCTCAAAAAAGGATATTTATGCAGCCAACAAAAATGAAAAAAAAAAAGCTCATCACTGGTCATTAGAGAAATGCAAATCAAAACCACAATGAGATACCAACTCAAACCAGTTAGAACGGCGATCATTAAAAAGTCAGGAAACAACAGATGCTGGAGAGGATGTAGAGAAATAGGAATGCTTTTACACTGTTGGTGGGAGTGTAAATTAGTTCAACCATTGTGGAAGACAGTGTGGCAAGTCCTCAAAGATCTAGAACCAGAAATACCATTTGACCCAGCATTCCCATTACTGGGTATATACCCAAAGGATTATAAATCATTCTACTATAAAGACACATGCACATTTATGTTTATTGTGGCACTGTTCACAATAGCAAAGACTTAGAACCAACCCAAATGCCCATCAATGATAGACTGGATAAAGAATATGTGGCAAATATACACCATGGAATACTATGCAGCCATAAAAAAGGATGAGTTCATGTCCTTTGCAGGGACATGGATGAAGCTGGAAACCATCATTCTCAGCAAACTAACACAAGAACAGAAAACCAAACACCACATGTTCTCACTCATAAGTGAGAGTTGAATAATGAGAACACATGGACACAGGGAGGGGAACATCACACACCAGGGCCTGTCGTGAGGTGGGGGGCTAGGGGAGGGATAGCATTAGGAGAAATACCTAATGTAGATGACGGGTCAATAGATGCAGCAAACCACCACAGCACGTGTACACCTATGTAACAAACCTGCACATTCTGCACATGTATCCCAGCACTTAAACTATAATAATTAAAAAAAAGTATTTTCTTGATATTTAATTCCTTTTTTGTTTTACTTGGGTTAGTATCTTTATACAAGTAAATTTGGTTATTTCTGTGGTTTATGGTAATAAACCACAGAATTAGATAATTGTGTAATAAATTGGTATTTAATAATACCAATTAAATTATTAATTGGTATTAATTATTAATTAATACCTATTAAATTATTAAATTAATAATTTAATAATAAATTAGGTAATTGCTAATAAATCACAGAATTAGGTAATTGTGATTGTTAGCATATACTTAGACATTGGAATTTTAGAAATCCCATACAATTTTGGAATATATATTAGTATTATTCATGAAAATATTACCTAAAGAAGATCGAACATCATTTTGGCCATCTCATATGCCTAAAAATGTCAAATAATCCTGTTTACCTCTTTTCTGGATGTTTTCAGGGGCCCTCTGATCTATCAAGAAACACAGGCATTAGGAAAGACAATTTTGAAAGTGAAGTTTGATTTTGGAATTTCAGATTACCATAAATTATTTTGCCAAAATGACTCAGAAATGTTAAAGCAAAAACCTTTTATAATCTTTAAAAAAAATTAAAAAATGCATTCTACCGTTTTTACACACCTTGAATGTAAAACTGTTTCTAATAGTCTTAATTGCATGTTACAATTACAATCTTAGCAATTTTAACTTTAACATAAAACCTGGTAAGTTATGTTTCCATAAGGTTTGACTGTTTCCAGCATAGCTAGGGCCTGGCCAACTCCACATGGCCCCAGCCCTTACCTAGCTGAAAGGCAGGCAAGTTAAACAATTTTCAAAAGCAAAAGAAGCAGTTTATGACCTTAAGGTATTAAGCAAACCTAATATTTGAACATAATTTAGAACACATATTTACATTTTGAAGACAATTGTATTTTACCAATAATCTTTAAAACTGTGTCTATTTCCCAAAGACTGCTAAAGTCACGTGAACTAAAACATATTACACATTCTACTTTTCTGACAAAATGTTTGATTAACCAGTTTACACAAAGAGGCCAGACACTGGTAAGAAATTCATATCCTTTTGCTGGCATGCCAGGTTTCTGGGTTCTCTCTCCCTGAGCAGCCCTGGCAACCATGCTTGACTGTATGCAAACAAACATATTACCATGAATTAAGAATATTCAAGGATATATTACAAATTTTGGAGAAACTAAGCAGAAATATGTCTTAAGTTCTATTTTTAAGAGTATACTCAACACCTTTAAAACATCAGGAAGCCTCAAGTCCAAAAAGTTAGTTTAAGGATAAAAAGCTGGTGTGTTCATTAATTCCTGAAGCCCAACAAAGGTAGCTTAGGAGTTCCAGATAAATGGAATGAATGATGACTTGCTAGAAATGCATAGGAAACAAAATAACTATTCACAGAACCAAATAAAAGCCTTCTACTAGAAACTAAAAAGCATCATGGTTTTTTATATATGGATACACAAGCAAAGCCAGAGGGGAATAAACAGCGAAGTAATGAAAACTAGAAACAAAAACAGATAAACAGGAAACCAACCCTAAATTTTTCTGCTCAATTTACCCTGGAAGCTACAGTGTTATCTAGGGCCCCCAAAACCCCACATATTAAATATTTTATTCCTGATACACAATTCAATATCCTCAAGTTCACCAATATCATTATACATTCCGTGCAATCAAGAAATTCACCTTAGGGCACATGACTAATAAATAGCACTATCCACTCAAACAGTAAACATAGTGTGAAGCAATGCAAGCCATGTATGTGAAATTTGGCTCCACACTAAATCCAGCTTTATGCCTAAATATATTGCAAAGAGAATTGCCAAACAGCTGATGCATTTTTACAATAGTTGTTACTTTAATCAGTATTAAGAGCTTTAACTATGAAAATGTTAATTAGCCAATTATTTCCAATTCTTATCAGATTTTAAAGAATATTTTATTATTTAAACTTTTTCCACATCTTTCTCCCCTGCTTAATGATTCCTTACTACACTGTTTCATAATGACCTTTTCAAATCTGTAATTTGAACTTTTAGATAACTTTTGAATTATACAGTTATTTTTTTCCACTAATAACTAACCCTTTGTGGCACATTTTGTATGCAGAATTACATGTTAACTATAATTTTATCTGTAGTAACCTAAAACTTTCGTGAGATCCTAAAAAGCAAGAAATCCTGAACTATCAGATATGGCTATTTATAGATAAGAATGATTCCACAATTTTCAAAACATATTTCCCCTATCACAACCCTTTCTTAATTGGAAATTACCCAGATATTAAATAAGTATCAAAAAAAACTAAGATTTTAATTTACACAAAAGTTTACCTAAAACATTTATCCCATTCACTTAACTTTTACTTTTAACAAGGGAGACATAAGACATCAATCAACATATGTAAAATGATCACTGGTTTAGTCTGGAAAGGAGGGACAACTTGAGGTGAGGAGGGGGGTTGGGGGCTTCGGATCACACGTGGGAGACCAATGGTTACATTCTTTTGAGTTTCTGATTAACCTTTCCAAAGGAAGCAATCAGATATGCATTTATCTCAGTGAAACTTTGAATAGAATGGGAAGTAAGCTCGCCCCAAACAGCTCCCAGCTTTAACACTGGCACTTAAACATACCTAACAAAGATAGACAAAAAATACAAACTGAAGCTGAAAGGTTCCCTTGTCCCCCTCACAGGGCGTGCAATGGCGCTGTGGCTCACTTCCTCAGTGCCCCGCTCCTCAAACCTCTAGGGAAGCATACAGATTCCCCCTCCCCCTCCCCCTCCACGGCAATGTCTAGGGGTAAATGTTTACAGCTGAAGCACCAGTAGGCATGTTACAGGGTGCTCTTTTGAGTTTGCCGTCTACAGGTGGCTTGTGTTAACCAGCTCAATTAGACCCCCTTCCTTATCACAAGGACAGAGGGAATTCTGTATCCCAGGGTTTCTTACCTTGGTGTACCAGGAGAATTGGAGCACACACGGGCTTAGAGAATGAGTACAAGGTCTTATTGAGTAGAAGTAACTCTTAGCAGATGGGGGAGCCAGAAGGGAGATGGTTTTCCCCTGGAAAACTTCGCGTCATTCCACCAGTCTATGGCCCGGCTTGTCGACCTGCTAGTGCCTGTTGGCGTGCTCTTCTGCCAGTGTGCCCTCGATGACCAGTGGCTTGTATCTTCCTCTGCCGACGTGTTCCTCACAATGCTCAGCCGCTTTTTGTGTCTACCTGCTGGGGGTAGGGCGCCTCGGGTTTTTATAGGCCCAAGATGGGGGCGTGGCAGGCCAGGGTGGTCTTGGGAAATGCAACATTTGGGCAGGAAATACCTGTCCTCACCTAGGTCCGTCGGGGTGGAGCCCGAGCCAGGAACCCACCTTTCTCTACCCAGCACTTCCCTTCCCCGTTTCCATATCATTTAAAGGGACCATGTTCTTCCCTTCCCAGCACTCTCGTACCAAGACAAAATGTATGCTGACAATCCTGAAGGCCTTTCTATTTTTATTCTACCAATACTTTTAAAGCTAGCTTGTTTACTACAGTTATGCTTAGGCCATGTGAACCTGAAAATTGCTTAGACTTATTTACTTAATTTATGAGTGCTGTTTTACTTATAAGCCAATTTGGTAGACAAAACATATAACAGTAAGTGTACATACAAATAAATGCATCTAGACATGTATACACACATATAAACAAAGATCCAATTGCTTGGAACCTTAGCCATGAGAAAGCAATACAAGCTTGATGGTTTTGCTTTGTCCCAATAGATAACCCAAGGAAGGCTGTGAACCAAAATTTGAGGTAAAGCAGTCTCCATGGCAGTTTGATTTTTAAAGGCTAAACCTCCCCAGACTCCGAGGAGCACTGAGGCCAAACAGTACCAAAGCAGGGTGTCACACGTTAACTAGGAGCCCTGCTTACAACAGCAGCACAAAAGCCTGGATACATGCAATGCCATCCCACTTTCCCATTAGACAGTAAGTTTCAGATTCTAAACAATTTTGGGGCCAAGCAGCATTGCACCTGTGATAGAAAATTCTAAGGAGGGCTTAATACTAGACCTCAGAACCTCTGCCAAGGGCAGCCCCTTTGGATAGGTTGAGGTCCACAGGACCCGCAGAGCATCCTCCTGTGGGGTCCAATCTTAGAGTTCCAGCTGTCTCTGGGCTTACTTAAGTGGGCACCAGTGCCACTTTGCATGCGTTCCCTCCAAAGCCTGCTACGAGCTTTCCTTTGGTACCTGAGTGTAATCCCCAACTTCTAGCATCCTTATAATTGATAAGGACATGCTTTCCCATGCTTCCCATTAACTTTAATGATAAGAACTGGAGGTTGGGTGGGTTTCCTTTGCCCTTAGCCAGTTGAATAGAAGGAAAGAATTTGTGAGAAAAGAAGGTTTAAGTAGCCTGAAACGTGCAAGTTTGCTCCAACCTGCGATGCAGGTAGGGATCAGGGACCACACGCAGAAGAGATTAAAAAAAAAAAAAAAAAGTCCTTTCCCCTGCAGGGCAGGGCAATTATTCCTATTCATTTCTAGGCCTTCAGGCAGTACTGGGGAGTGACTCCAGCCAACTGCCCTCAATTTCCAAACGCGCTACTAAGAAACAACTGCTGAAAGACTGAAAAGAAAGGAAAAAAAGTGAAAAAGACCCAGATTTCTTAAATCTGGGTGGTGATGGTCAGGCTTCTCCACATGAAAACCCTTCAGTTTCACTGGCCATGGCCAGAAACCTGCAGTTACATCCATGTTTAGGTACTACCCACCAAGGGTCCCTGCTTGGGAAGGAAAAGAGATTCCATGTAAGGAGCAGAAAGGAAAAGGAGGAAGGAGAAGAATAAATCCCAAACTTTGGGCTTACCTCTTCCTCCTGGCTGGATTACTAAAATATGTTAATAGTAGAAGGGTGTCCAGTTCCTTGGCATCTTGAACAAAGAATTGGACAAAACACATAAAGCAAGAAAGGAATGAAGTGATTAATTGAAAATGAAGGTACACTCCACAGTGTGGGAGTGGGCCTGAGCATAGGGGCTCAACAGCTCCATTACAAAATCTGGGGGAGTTTAAATACCCCCTAAGAGGATCCCATTAGTTACTTGGTGTACACCCTATGTAAAAGCAGAGGATGAAGTAAAGTTACAAAGTCATTTACTTGGCCTACGCCCTATGGAGAGGATATTTCCTGTCTTAGCTGAAGTGTGAATTGGCCTTATGTTCCCTGCCTCCAGACCCTATTTTCCTGCCTCATCTAGACATACTAGATACACAAATATATACCATCGTGTTCCAATTGCCTACAGCACTTAGCACAGTCACATGCTATACAAGTTTATAGCCTAGGAGCAATAGGCTATACCATATAGCCTAGGTGTGTCGTGGGCTATACCACCTGGGTTTGTGTAAGTACACGCTATGCTGTTAGCACAATAACAAAACTGCCTAACAACACATTTCTCAGGATGTATCCCCACTGCAAAGCAACACATGATTGTATTTGATAGGGCTATTGTCAGAATTAACTGAGATAATTTACATAAAGCTTTCAGAAGAATATCTGGCACTTGGTTTTCATTCTGTAAGGTTTTATAGTTGTTATCATTAGTATTATTACCAAGAAGTCTTACAGAGGGTGAAACAGAAAATCAGACCGGAGCTCAAATAATAAACATAAACCGTTTATAGAAATCTATTGTATGTGCTTCCAGCTGTATTTTATTCCTATTTATTTCTGACACCAGGGCCTTAAGCGATCAAACAGTTCCTGAAAACTTTGGCAAGTCGTTTCGAAAGAATCTGCATGGGCTTTTCAAAAGACACCTTTTGGTTGTCTTCTGTCAACTTGGAAGTTGGCTGTTTCTGTCTGAAAGTGGCTATGTGCACGGCTCTGTGTAAAAAGTAAAGTTGAGGTTCTTCTTCAAAGACTTTCCTCCCCATCTAATTAGGAATAAACAGTAACTTCTCTTAGAAGCAAAATTTATTCAAAGACCTGTGCTAACATTCTTAAATATCTGCTAGCCGTAATCAAGAAATCAATATACTTTATGTTCTTAGCTCCCACAATTTAGCCTAAACATTTGCCCTGGCATGCCTATACTGGTCCAAGCAGGCATTAGGTCATAGCCTGTTCCTCTTCCTTATTTGAAGGCGTTTTTACCTTTCTCAGCATTCCACAAGTTACTTCCTCCTTCCTTGGTTCTCCTCTGCCTTTGCCTCTTTTAAAACGTTCTAAGTTGCTAGCCAATCAGGACAAATACAGAATGTGAGGTCCCGTTCCAGCCAGTGGAAACCGGACACAGCAGTAGGGTGGACACGTGAGGTTATAAATCACCCTGTCTCCTTTGTTCAGTGTACTCTTGTGGCAAAACTGCTGACGAGTGTGCCGTTTCTGCAGAAAGTATAAAAATGGCCTTGCTGAGGAAATTAAATTTATGTTCAAGTGCTATTTCTTTATGGCGTTGGGGAAGAAGCATTTCAAACATCTGCATACAGAGGAATGGGATGGGAGATAAGTGTATGGATTCCCTGCCTCATGCTCCTCTGAACCTAGAAAGTTTGAGACAGGTCTCAGTTAATTTAGAAAGTTTATTTTGCCAAGGTTGAGGATGTGCCCGTGAGATAGCCTCAGGAGGTCCTGACAATGTGTCCAAGGTGGTGAAGGCACAGCTTGGTTTTGCACATTTTAGGGAGACATGAGATATCAATCCATATACATAAGAAGTACATTGGTTCCGTCTGGGAAGGAGGGACAACTTACAGCAAAGGCAGGAAAACTCAGAGCTGGTAGGGAGCTTCCAGATAACACATAGGTGAGACACAAATGTTTGCATTCTTTTGATTTCTGATTGGCCTTTCCAAAGGAGGCAATTAGATATGCATCTGTCTCAGCAGAGGGATAACTTTGATTAGAATGGGAGGCAGGTTTGCCTTAAAGAGTTTACAGCTTGAGTTTTCCTTAGTAATTTTGGGAGCCCAAGATATTTTCCTTTCACACTCCCAAACAGCCCTCTAGTCACAAACTTTTTGTAGAGCTCAGAAGTGTCTGTTACCTCAAAGATCATAAAGTGTTTAAGGTTAAAAATTATCAATTCCTTCTTCTTGAATACAGAGACAGGACGCCCAGACTCGGGCAAGAATAGAACTTGACCAAATTCCACACTTATTGATAACTACAAACAGATTCCCTAACGTTAAACAAAAATTATAGGAGTCCATTGTTTTGGACTAAACTCCTGCACTAGACCCCAACAGATGAGACTAAAATAAAAATAGAGTCATTCATGCTAAAGTTTCAGTCACAAACTAAAACTAAATTGTTATCTGATCTTCCAAGACATCATGAGAGAGAACAGCCAATTTCCAAACAGGTCATTTTCAATCCTCAATCAGCAAGATATTGGAGTTCTCTCTGTTTTAATCCTTACAACAAAAAGTAGCCTGAGGTAACCTGATGCTAACCGATAAGTTATCCTTCTATTTTTCTGTCTCCCTGTCCTCACATGATCAAGCCAGTTTTTCTCTTTTGCTTTTGCTTTCTTCAGCCTTTTCTGTCCGTAACACTAATGCTGTCTGCTCAACTCATTGGAACATTTATTTTTATTTTACAGGATGAAGTTGTCAACCTAAAAGGAATAGACTAAGACACAAAATGTAATTTAAAAAGTTTGTTTGAGCCAAAGTGAAGACAGCTGTTCAAATAGCCTCGGGGAGTGTTATGGCAGCCTTTATTACAAACAGGTTTTTAAAGCAAAGGGAACAAGGAGTGGGCTGATACAAAGTTGTTTGACAGGAATTACCATTGGCTTACAGAAATAACATTAGCCAGTGATTGGCTATACACTGTTGAACTATAAGGGTATAGTTATGGTGCCCAGCGTATAGCATTTTATGGCTTCTTGGTATCAGTTAGTCTAAAGCCCACATACCCTCAGGAGATTATTTAGCTCAAGGAGGAGTGACAGAACTGCTGTTTCATTCCAGTGCCTCTCTAGGCCTAATAATTTAAAGGTGATCTCATTTTTCAGGTAAAAACTTCTTCTTTTTAAAATAAAAAAAAATGTTGCCCAAATCTAGAATTGCAAATAAAGCCAATTAAGATCCATAGTAGTCAGGGTTCTCTAGGGTGACAGAACTAATAGGATAGATGTATATATGAAGGGGAATTTATTAGGGAGTACTAACCCACACAATCTCAAGGTGAGGTCCCACAATAGGTCATCTGCAAGCTGAAGAGCAAGGATGTCAGTCCGAGTCCCAGAACCTCAAAAGTAGGGAAGCCGATGGTGGAGCCTTCAGTCTGTAGTTGAAGGTCCAAGAGTCCCAATGCTGGAAGAACTTGGAGCCCAATACCTGAGGGCAGGAAGCATCCAGCACAGGAGAAAGATGTAGGCTGGAAGACTCAGCCAGTCTAGTCCTTCCATGTTCCTCTGCCAGCTTTTATCCTAGCCGCACTGGCAGCTGATTAGATGGTACCCACCCAGAGTGAGGGTGGGCCTGCCTCTCATAGTCCACTGACTCAAATGTTAATTTCCTTCGGCAACATCCTCACAGACACACCCAGGAACAATACTTTACATCCTTCCATCCAATCAAGTTGACATTGAATATTAACCATCACAAGATCTTCAAACTAAATTGTTGTAATCTTGTCATTTGACCCTAATATCCAAAAATTTACAAAGCTTTTTAGAAAGAGGTGGGATAATATTCTTCTCTGTAAGAGTCTATCAACTTCCCTTCCCACATTCAACAAGGATAGGTGACAGTGGCCTCACGTTTATGCTCTGGTTTCCGTTCACTATCAGTAAAGCTGCAGAATAAATTAAACAGAGTGAAAATTGTTTCTAGGGCCAACACTCAAGCAAAATGTTTTCAGTAAGCTCCCTTTAGCGTAATGTTTACCCAATACCCAGACACTAACTATACCATTTCTGGAACATTTCTGAATCAGTGGCTATCAATAGAAAAAAAGAATTATTTTGTTACATTTGTGTTGAAAATTTCTCAGTAAGTATACCCTTGCTGGAGGCTTTCCAGTCAGTTGGTTGAATTCATCTTCAAAAATACTTTGTGAAGTGGTTTGCTAGTGTTACAGGAAAGGGGTCCCAATCCAGACCCCAAGAGAGGGTTCTTGGCTCTTGAGTAAGAAAGAATTCAGGGCGAGTCCACAGATTAAAGTGAAAGCAAGTCTATTAGGAAGTGAAGGGATAAAAGAATGGCTACTCCATAGACAGAGCAGTCCCGAGGGCTGCTGGTTACCCTTTTTATGGCTATTTCTTGACGATTTGCTAAACAAGGGGTGGATTATTCATGCCTTTCCTTTTCAGACCATATAGGGTAACTTCCTGATGTTGCCATGGCATTTGTAAACTGTCATGGCGCTGGTGGGAGTGTAGCAGTGAGGACCACCAGAGGTCACTCTCATTGCCATCTTAGTTTTGGCAGGTTTTAACTGGCTTCTTTACTGCAACCTGTTTTATCAGCAAGGTCTTTATGATCTGTATCTTGTCTTGATCTCCTGTCTTATCCTGTGACTTAGAAAACCTTAACGATCTGGGAATGCAGTCCAGTAGGTCTCAGTCTCATTTTACCCAGCTCCTATTTAAGATGGAGCTGCTCTTGTTCCAATGCCTCTGACACTAGGATCTTCACTTTACATAGAAGGAATGGAAAGAGCCCAGCAATTCTCTTAAAGTTGCACTGCAGTACTTAGCAGAAAAAGTATTAAAATCCAAGGCTTCCTCCCTTTGTAACCATAATAGGTTTGTTGCTTGATGCACACAGCAAGTCAATACAGTGAGACACTGGGTTGCAACAGAAAAAGAGGTTTAATTGTAGGGTCACCAAATGAAGAGATGGGAGGAAACCTCAAATCCATCTCCCTGAGAAATGTATAATTAGAGTTTATAAACGGTTTGGAGTTGGCCGAAGTGTGAAGGTCATTGATTAGTTGAAGAGTGCAGGGTGACGTATGGGACAAGGACAGGAAAAGCAGCATTTTCATGCTGATCGCATTCATCTGTGGGGGTCTTCAAACTGGTTGCTGAAATTTAGGGTCTGAGAAACATCTTAAATGGTCCTTAAACAAAAGCCTTATGATTCTAAGGTCAGACAGAGGTCCTGTCTGTAGGAACAATGGGAATGCAAATCAATTCCCAAACAGTCTTACACCCCCATTATCAGAAATCCTATCTATAGGAACAATGAGGTTGCAGATGGGCAGTATCTAGTGGTGTGTGACATTCAGCAACAAGGAAGTGAGCCAAAGTGTATCCTGATTGATGCTTAATTATAGGTATTAATATCTTTTCTGGCCAGGACCTGGCATGCAATTATTGTCAACCCTGTGGGAATGGTTTCAACTTTAGTGACTAAACCATGTTGCTTTTCATGTTATTGTACAGTCAGATCTCTTTCTTTCATATGTAGAGCTTACCACATGGTGTTCAATAATTTTCAAGTCTAAAGACCTCTCTGTTTGACATAGAGAGATACCACTAAAAATGGTAACTAAAATGACTACATGAAGCACTAGCCAGAGTTAAAATAATAACATCCCCAAGCTAGCCAGAATTTGTAACACACTCTATGTTGAAAAAAGCAAATGCCTAAAATATCAGGGGCATACATATTCTAAACCAAAGGGAGCAGAAGAAACTGGAGTCCCGTTCTACAGACATTTATTTTGCATGCATTATGTGTCAGATACATTGCTAGGAGGATAATGTAGAATGGATGGAACATGATTCCTGTTCCCAGGCGGTTTGCTTGTATTGTAGGAAGATGGGCACATAATAAATGATTTTATGACATAGAAGTAGTCAGGCTGGGTACAGTGGCTCATGCCTGTAATCCCAGCACTTTGGTAGGCCGAGGTGGGTGGATCACCTGAGGTCAGGAGTTCAACACCAGCCTGGCCAACATGGTGAAACCCCATCTCTACTAAACATACAAAATTAACTGGGCATGGTGGTGGGGGCCTGTAATCCCAGCTACTCGGGAGGCTGAGGCACAAGAATCGCTTGAACCTGGGAGGCAGAGGTTGCAGTGAGCTGAGATCATCATGCCACTGCACTCCAGCCTGGGCTACAGAGCGAGAATCTGTCTCAAAAAAAAAAAAAAAAAAAAAGAAAAGAAGTCAGACAGAAGTATGAAAAGGTTACCATGAAAACACAGAGGCAGAGCCCCTACCCAGAATGAGGAAATCATAAAAGGCTTTAGGAAAGAGGAAACAAGTGAACTAAGGTTTGAAACATGATTTGGAGTTAGTTAGCTGAGGAAAATAGGACAAAGAGTTAAAGGGGGAGAGGGTCAAGGACAGGGGCCTATGCAGCTAACATTATTAGCAAAGACATAAAACACTAAAATGGATGTGAGAAAACATGAGCAATTTTATGTTGTTGAAAGATAAAGTGCTTAATAGGGGATGGCTGGAAGCAGGACCTAAGACATAGGCAGAAGTCACTGTCATAGACAGCCATTAAAGATACAGATTTTAGGCCAGGCGTGTTGGCTCATGCCTATAATCCCAGACCTTTGGGAGGTCGAGGTGAGTGGATCACTAGAGGCCAGGCATTCAAGACCAGCCTGGCCAACATGGTGAAACCCCATCTCTACTAAAAATACAAAAATTAGCCTAGCATGGTGGGTCATGCTTGTAATCACAGCTACTAAGCGGGCTGAGACACCAGAATCGCTTGAACCTGGGAGGCAGAGGTTGCAGTGTGCTGATATCATGCCACTGCTCTCCAGCCTGGGCAGCAGAGTGAGACCCTGTCTCAAAAAAAAAAAAAAATACAGATTTTAGCCAATGGGTAGTAAGCAATAAAATTTAGAAAGGTGCAAAAATTCAAGGCAGATGAAAATCAAAATTAAAAACAACATATAACATTCTGTAGAATCATACAAGTGAAAATGGAAATATTGAGAAACTAGTGAAATAATTCTTAAATAATTAAGAATATCAGTAAAACAAAACATACTAGGAAGGAAACTCCCACTGTTAGATAAATGAGATAAAATTAGGGTATTTATCTTCATAGGAGAAAAATGTGTGCTTAAGTGCTAATATGATTTGTCTCACCAAGAGCCATTTGAAGATTCTTCTTAGAAAATGTTTTCACAGAACATTTTACTATTCCAGGAAATCAGAATATTTCACCCCAAAATATACTTCTTTGACATAGTTTGAGATGGCTTCTCAGACAGCCAGCTAACACAAATGGCCCTGCAAAGCTGTCTTTTATGGGGAAGATTTGCATCTGTAGAGAATCTTCATTGATGCAGCCAGGTTTTCTCTGAGGCTGTGCTTTGTCCAGATCTAGGAAAGATTAACTGACACTCTGACACCCTAAAGGTCTAAAAGAAACATTTACCATTCATTCTCTCTGAGGGCTCCTACCTATGGGATTTCACCTACATATAAGGCCACTTTCATAGGTAGGCCTCACCTTCTCCCCCTTTCATAACCTGTCTTGCCACTAAAACATGATTTACCACCTGGTTTTGGCCATGCTCCAAGCCCCTGTTCTTTCTGTAGCCTCAAGATGATATGGAAGCTTCTGCACCCCATTGAGGGGTTGAGTAATCACTCTGTGAGTCTTCCCCATATACATGTGAATAAATTTGTGTGCCACTTCTCCTATTAACCTGTCTTTTATCAGTTGATTTTTCAGCAATCCTTCAGAGGGTGAAGGGTAAGTTTTCCCTTGGTCCCTAAACTATGAAGCACACAAACTGCCAAGACCCTTTCTATCTACCCTTTGTGATAGGTCAAATATACTTCTTTATTAATTCCCAATAATTTAATAAGTTAATTCTCATTAGTAAAGTAAAATAGCATAGAGGTAAAAATTTAGATTTCAGGGTTTTTTAAATATATGTTTGTTTTTCCCCTTGCAAGTGGATGTCATTTTATGAATAGTGTTATGGCCCAGAGGGTTCTTCCTGCCTACTGCACAGAAAAGCCAATACACTGAGACAATGGTGTTGCAATGGAGAAAGCATTTGATTATCACAAGGGAGCTGAGCAGCAGGACAAAAGATATTTCTCAAATCTGCCTCTCTAAGGACTTGGAGGCTAGGATTTTTAAGGATAATTTGCCAGGCAAGGGACTAGAGAATTGGTGCTGCCAATTGGTTGGGGATGAAATTATAGGACTGTTGAAACTGTCTTCATGAGCTAAGTCAGCTATTTGAAAGTAGGGAGTCACAAGAATCAGAGTGGCTGCCTATAAACCCTGAAGCCACATTGCTACCAGGCTGCTTGCAGCCAAGGCTGAGTCTAAGAGGGTAAATAGTCTGTCCTGTTTATGCCCAATGTAGGACTCTTTTCATTAGCAACTTTGACTCAGGATCTCTTTATCAACATGGCCAAAACTTTCTCAGAAAGGTGTCACAAACTGAGACCTTTCCTACCCAATTTTTTTTTCTCTCTCTCTTTTCATAGATTTCAGACCTGGATCATGGCCTGAAGGCTCTCTCTGCCTACTTTTCCTCCTTCCCACTTTATCTTTCAAAGGAGTTTCCACAATAAATCCCCTGCATATCTAATCCCACATAAGTATCTGTTTATCTGAAGGATGTGAATAAGAATTGATTTTGTTAGCATAATAAACCACCAATATTATACCCTGATTAGGGCAAGGAGGAGAAAGACTTGTTTGCCTTCTAGATATTTTATTTTGAAAAGTATAGAGGGCATAGCTTCACACAGTGCTTACAAATGTGAGATGGCCTCTTCAAGGGCCTGGAAGGCTAGAAGAGATCAAAGGGATAAAAGTAAGGAGGGGAAGGATGTTGATATGGTTAGGCTTTGTGTCCCCACCCAAATTTTATCTTGAATTGCAAATCCCAGGTGCTGAGGGAGCGAACTAGTGGGAGGTGAATGGATCATGGGGGTGATTTCCCCCATGCTGTTCTCATGATAGTGAGTGAGTTCTCACAAGATCTGATGGTTTTATAAGTATTTGGAAGTTCTTCCTTTGCTCACTCTTCTCTTTCACCTGCCACCATGTAAGATGTACCAACTTCCCCTTCTGCCATCACTGTAAGTTTCCTGAGGCCTCCCCAGCCATACTGAACTGTGAGTCAATTAAGCCACTTTCCTTTATAAATGACCAGTCTCAGTTGT
Source organism: Homo sapiens (assembly GCF_000001405.40). Lineage (NCBI taxonomy): Eukaryota > Metazoa > Chordata > Mammalia > Primates > Hominidae > Homo > Homo sapiens. Next base: position 106,166,158 of record NC_000011.10, on the reverse strand, counting down.
TTATTTATAGCAGTGTGAGAACCAACTAATACTGGAAATTTGTACCATAGAGAGTGGGGTACTGCTAGAAAGATACCGAAAAATGTGGAAGCGACTTTGGAACTGGGTAACAGGTAGAGGTTGGAACAGTTTGGAGGGCTCAGAAGAAGACAGGATGATGTGGGAAAGTTTTGAACTTCCTAGAGACTTGTCGAATGATTTTGACAAAAATGCTGATAATTGCGTGGACAATGAAGTCCAGGCTGAGGTGGTCTCAAATGGAGATGAGGAACTTCTTGTGAGTGGGAGCAGAGGTCCCTCTTGCTATGCTTTAGCAAAGAGGCTGAAGGCCTTTTGTCCTGCCCTAGAGATCTCTGGAACTTTGAACTTGAGAGAGATCATCTGAAATTTAAACTTAAGTTTAAAAGGGAAGCAGAGCATAAAAGGTTGAAAAATTTGCAGCCTGATGATGTGATAGAAAAGAAAAAGCCATGTCCTGGGGAGAAATTCAAGCCAGTTGTATAAATTTGCATAACTAATGAGAAGCCAAATGTTAATCGCCAAGATAATATGGAAAATGTCTCCAGGGCATGTCAGAAACCTTTGCGGCAGCCCCTCCCATCACAGGCCCAGAGGTTTAGGAGGCAATAAATGGATTAGCAGACCAGGTTCAAGGCCATCCTGCTGTGTGCAGCTTCAGGATTTGGTGCCCTGTCCCAGCCACTCCATCCATGGCTAAAAGGGGCCAATGTACAGCTCAGACCATTGCTTCAGAGGGTGCTAGCCCTAAGCCTTGGCAGCTTCCATGTGGTGTTAGTCCAGCAGGTGCACAGAAGACAAAAATTGAGATTTGGGACCCTTGACCTAGATTTCAGAGTATGCATGAAAACACCTGAATGTCCAGGCAGAGGTGTGCTGCAGGGGTGGGGCCCTAATGAAGAACCTCTGCTATAGCAGTGCAGAAGGGAAATGGGAGGTTGGAGCCCCCACAGAGTCCCCACTGGGGCACTGCCTAGTGGAGCTGTGAGAAGAGGATCACTGTCCTCCATACTCCAGAATGGTAGATCCACTGACAGTTTGCACCATGCGCCTGAAAAATATGCCCACCAGCTGTGAAAGCCAACTTGAAAGAACATGAAACATAGAAGACATTCAATAAATAATGAAATCACAATTTTGAAGATTGTATCTTACAATCCATATTTTCCCGTTTTCTTTCCTGGAATTCACTTAGAATCAAAAAGGAGAACAAGAAACAAAATCATTCACCCAGCTTTTGTGGCAACAGGAAAAAGCTAAAACCCCAAAACACAAAATACTTGTAGCAAGCTGTCAAAAACCATAAAGATAAAGCCAATATGTTAGTGGGAGGAAGTGGAAAAGAAAATCTATAGAGGCAGAGAAAGGATAAGCAAAATAAGCATCCCAAAGGACAGAAAAGCAAAGGAAAGGAGGACAGCCAGAGACGTAAACGCTAGCCTCTTGCTTGTGATGAGAGAAGCAAAATGAAAAATGAAGAGCAGAAGCTTCCCTGTACCCGTTTATTTCTAAGAAGCAGAGAAGGTGAGACTATAGGAAGAACCATATATAAATAAGTCATATTTGTAGGAACCCATATGTTTTACAGACAGAGGTAAAGATAAGACTTTTTATTGTGGAAAAAAACATCTCATAAACCGTATATTTGTTTACTGGGAAGAAGTAAAGGATAAACAGACTTACACATAAAATCATTCAGAAGATTATTTCAACTAACCTGGAACATAGCCCTGGTATGAGCTTCAGGTAAACATATAAAAGTTCACTTTTTTCCAAAAATGAGCAATCAAATAGCAACCAGCACAGAATCTCTATGAACCCACCCTAAAAGAGGAAAGAAAAAGGAGGAAACACAAGAGGACACAAAGCATGAAAAACCAGTCATCATAAGGAAGTTAAAAATTTAAACGTATATTTTACAATATATGTTCATATTTATAAGGTATTATCCTAGATAAAGAAGTAAAAAGCTAAGATTTAAGAGCTAAGAGAAATAGTAGAAAAAGCATAGGAAAAGCAAAGAGAAAGGAAGCAATAAAAGATAAAACACAGACTGTCAAAGCTCAGGAAACAGACGGAGGAAAAAAAGAATAAAACCATCACAGAAATAAAGACAAAACTGAGGGAGACAAAATGAAGTAGACCAATAATTAAAGCAAAGTAGAAGCATACACTATAGAAAGCTAAAAGCAAGCAAAATTAAATTTAAATGAAAAATGTCAAAAAGAATTAGAAGCTCTATGTACACTTAACAGTAAATGGTTGTATGGGGGCCAAGGAAGAGTTTTCTCTGAAGGCTCACTGAAAAATTAACTCACAAAAGGCAGATTAACAGGAGAAAAGGCATACCAACTTATTTAATAAGTATACATGGGACCCTTCAGAATGAAGATGCAAAGATACAAGGGAAATTGTCCATTTTTATGCTTACGTTCAATCAAATATGGATAGCCATGTAGCAATATGATTGGACAAAAAGAGTGTGATCCAACGATAATAGAATGGGTGGGAAAACCCAGCAAGGCCTCTCTGTCTAGCTGCTTCTTGGTCTCTTTGAACACATACTCCCTCCTTCTGTGTATGGGCAGGATCTTCTCTGAAATGCGGGTCTTGACCTACAGTCAAGACCTCATATGACGTACAGTCAAATAAATTAGATCAGATAATTTCTTTAAGGACAGTTTTTAGATAGAATATTTTAGATTTTCTGGCTGGCTTTGAGGAAAAGGAGATTCGGTTTCTATGGCATACCTTGGGGAAGAGAGATTCTAGTTTTTATGGCTAGCCTCTGGGGAGAATGGGACTGAGAGACAGGAAGACAGGAAAACATCAGAGAAAATCTTTTGCTTCTGAGGCTGCTGCTGAGGCCTTCATTTGCGAGTACTGTTTTCTGAGCCCCAACAGTTGCAAAAAGCCATCATCCTGTGGTAACAATGAGAAAACACCAAGGAAAGAGGGGAACTATTTTTTTCTTTAAAGTTATTGAGGATCTGTGAAGACAAAGAAGTTAAATAAATTAGCAAAAGGAACAAGACCTTTTTAGGTGAACAAATCTCCATGGTCACTTTTATCTCCAAGGGCATATTTGAGGAGTAGGGAAGCACGGACAAGTGGAAGAGCAACCTTGTCTCAGCAGCAGACTTGCTGAGACAGGCTGAAACCAACTGAACTTTTACTGGCTGCATGTTGTTTGGCACAGTTGGTTGGAATCATAAGAAGCTCCAAACACAGGGTTAGCTTTTCCTGTACACCAGTTTTTCTCCACAAGACTTTTGCTCAGTAAGTAGTGGCATAGAGGATGTTCTGGAAGACAGAGAAAGATCTTGTAGATTTGCAATTGCTTAGACTCCAGACAAATAGGAAGAAATAGTTTTGGAGAATTTCCCAAAATGGATGAAAGACATTAACCATGCATTCAAGTTTGGCAAACTGTAAGCATATCAAATGAAGAAATCCACTCCTAGGTACATCATAGTGAAAATTAAATGTTTAAAAAAAATCATATGAGCAACCAGAGTAAAAAAAGACAATAAGGGACAAGCTAAATAAATTATACTGCATTAAGAAAAAGAAGGGGAAAAAAAGATATTTTTGCTTGAATTGAAACCACTTGGCAGTGAAAGAAGTCTAGCATTACTGATTCCATTTTGCTTCTAGCCTCACAGGCCGGATGTCCTCATTCTTTCCTGGGCATAGGCCAAGCTACCATAGAAGGATCTTAGTTTATAGTTTAACTTTGAAGCAAGCTACCATAGAAGGATCTTAGTTTATAGTTTAACTTTGAAGCAAGAATGCTAGTAGTCCCTCCATAAAACTGACTCTCTCCCTGTTTGGGAACTGAAACCACCTTTGTAAGACTAATGAAAGTCCACAAGATTAGGATTAAAGGAGGGGTCTGAATTCAGCTAAGTTGTGGGCATAGTTCACCTTTCTATAATTGTTTACTGTGCCAGAGGTCACAAGATTTGTAACTTTCTCAGTTGCTCCTATGGAAAACATCATTAAGATTGGTCACTAAGATTGAAAAAAGAACCTAAGATTGGTCTTTTGAGATGTTTTTCAGACTTCTTTATTCTGATGACTGATTTACTTCGCCTGGATCCAGACTCAAGACTCAACTGGTCCTGTGGCCCCCACCCAGAGGCTGACTCAGCTCACAAGGACTGTTTTTCACAACCCTATGATTTCATCCCCAACCACTCAGCAGCACCCATTCCCTAGTCTCCTGCCAACCAAATTATCCATTCAAAACCCTAGCCTCTGAGTTGTCAAAGAGGCTGATTTGAGTAATAAACTCCATGTTTCACTTTGCTAGCCGTGCATTAATTAAACTCCTTCTTTGCTATAAAAACTTACTGTTCTCTGTGCCCTGAATTTTCTGGGTCGTGGACAAGATGAACCCATCAGGCAATTACCGAATATGCATAAATATCTGGAAGGATAAATGCTAGACTGGTGACATTAATAATCTTCATGAGGGTGTGGAAATGTTAGTGAAAAAGGCAAACTCTACAAAATATTTTAAAGAGATTTATTCTGAGCCAATATGAGTGACCATGGCCTGGGGACCATTCTCAGGAGGTCCTAAGAAAGTGTGCCCATGGTTAAAGAAGTCAGTAGAAAGAAACGCTTGAGTTAAGATAAGAGGGGTTGGGAAACCAAGGCTCTTGTTATGTAGAAGAACCCTCCAGGTAGCAAATTTCAGAGAAAATAAACGGTAAATATCTCTTTTCAGGCCTTAAAGGATTCATACTCTCATTTAATCTCTCCTGTGTCAGGGAAAGGGCTTAAAAGGGAAGGAGATTCTTGTAGATACAAATTTCCCCCACAAAAGCTGCTTTACAGAACTATTTCAAGAGATGTCAAAGAAATATATTTTGGGGTAAAATATTTTTATTTCCTTCAGGGTCTGCTGTCATGTGTATGCTATACCAGAGTCAGGTTAGAATTTGGAATCTTATTGCTAAAGTGAGTATGTTTTGTCAGTCTTATAATCTCTGTTTTAAGGTTAACACTGGTCAGTTGTGTCTAAACTCCAAAAGGGAAGGTGTTTAACGAGGCATGTCTGACCTCCTTTCCCATCATGGTTGGGAATTCAGCTTTTCAGGTTTCCCTTGGCCCAGAGGAGGTCCATTCAGTTTTTTGTGGGGGGCTTAGGATTATATTTTTGTTTATAGAAAGCAGAGACTGCGTAGATGGGAAACACAATTATGAGGGAGATTTTTGTACATTTTGATTTTAAAACAATAACAATAAAACGTAAATCTAAAAATTAAACAGTATCCTTTGATCATGTGTAATTTAGTTGCAAGGTTAGAGAAAGGAAGAGTTTATGCAAAGAAAGAGAGAATCTTTCCGTTTCCTTTTCCTTTTTCTTTTGCAGAAAACGAAACCAAACTTTACCAGCAAGCCCTGCTTTGTCTCTCTGTCTCTCTAAGAGGTCCTTATCGCCACTTCCTCCTGTGTCTTGCTACAGTCTTCTCTGTGAAGGCCAGTGGCCTCTAAACAGCTCCTTGGTCTGTTCTGCCATGATTTTGGCTCACTTGTAACTGTTAATCTGTATGACCCTTACTCTGGCTTCAATGCTACACAACGTTTCAGCTCCAGATTCTCACTCCGTCTTACGAACTCTGCCTTTTCACCTTAACTCCATATGCCTGGAAAAAAAAGTCTAACTGGCCTGGAAAACATCGCCCTTGGCCAAGTAAGTCATGGTTGGGTGGCAACATAGAACTCTTCAGTGCTACAGTGCTACAGGTAGGGCTACTTATCCAAACAGAGGAAAAACTACTGAGAATCTCTAAATAAGGACATAAAAGTTTACACTGGCAGTGGGAGAATTTCGTACAGACCCTAGAGTTATTTTTCCCTTTACAGTGGGGAAAGGTTTATAAGATTCAATTAGGTGATACCAGGTATCAACCTATAAGTTTTATGCTTCAATGTACAGTTCTCTATTGCTATGGAACAATATTACTACAAACTCACATCTGAAAACAATACACATTTATTGTCTCATAGTTTCTATGAGTCAGCAGTCCAGGCATTGCTTAATTGTGTCCTTTACAATGAAAGTGTTGGCCAGGACTGTGTTCTCATCTGAAGCTTTAATGGGGAAGAATCCATTCCTAAGCTTACATGTTTCTTGGCAATACTATCAGTTCCTTGCAAGCTGCCAAACTGAGGGGTTCAGTTTCTTCTTTGTAGGAGTCTGTTCCCAGTTCCTTGCCACATGGCCCTGTCCATAGGGATGTAAGCAACATGGAAGCTTGCTTCTTCAAAGTCAGCATGGAAGAAAGGGTCTCTTTACAAATTGGAAGCTGTGACCTTATTTTTAATTTTTATTTTTTATTTTTGAGACAGAGTCTTGCTCTGTCACCCAGGCTGGAGTGCAATGGCGCAATCTCAGCTCACTGCAAACTCCGCCTCCAGGGTTCAAGTGATTCTCTCGCCTCAGCCTCCTGAGTAGCTAGGATTACAGGCACCTGCCATCATGTCCAGCTAATTTTTGTGGTTTTCTGTTTGTTTGTTTGTTTGTTTTGAGACAGAGTCTCGCTCTGTTGCCCAGGCTTGAGTGCAGTGGCACAATCTCGGCTCACTGCAACCTCCACCTCCAAGGTTCAAGCAATTCATCTGCCTCAGCCTCCCGAGTAGCTGGGATTACAGGTGCGTGCCACCACACCCAGCTAATTTTTTTGTATTTTTGGTAGAGACGGGGTTTCACCGTTTTAGCCAGGATGGTCTCAATCTCCTGACCTCGTGATCCACCCGCCTCGGCCTCCCAAAGTCCTGGGTTTACAGGCGTGAGTCACCGTGCCCGGCCTTAATTTTTGTATTTTTGTAGAGACAGGGTTTCACCATGTTGGCTAGGCTGGTCTTGAACTCCTGACCTCGGGTGATCTGCCTGCCTCACCTCTCAAAGTGCTGGGGTTACAGGCATGAGCCACCAGGGACACCTAGCCTGGAAGTTGTGATCTTATTTAATATAACCATATATGCATAATCCCACACATCTCATTTCCTTTGTCATATTCTAATGCTTAGAAGGAAGTCACAGATTTCTTCTACACTTGGAGGAAGAGGAGGAGAGGAGGACTACATAAAGGTGTGGAAGGCAGGAGCAGGATCATAAGGGCCTCTTTAGAATCTATCCACCACACTCAGCACCAGAAAGATGAAAATTTAATATTCTCTAATCCCAAATCTTAATATTGGTCTTCAAGGAGTTGAATAGCCTTCTGTACTTAAAAATTAGTCTTCTGCTAGCTTGCTCTCCACAGCTAGATTATAAGTGCTCTCTGGGCAGGGATGATTTGATTGCCTGTTGGTTTGCTGGCTTAGTTTTTTGTTTGTAACCCACATCCCCATCATATTCCACCCCCTACTAGTTCAATAGATTATCTGAAAACTCAGCTGAATGCATTTATTTCTTCATGATCCCTAACTCTTTTTGAGAGCTCTGTTGAATATTAAGGAAGTGCCATAAAAAGAGATTTCTGGAAGGCAAACAAGTACGTGAGAGTTGGCCTTGCCCTTCAAATCAAGGAGGCTATTATTTAGAGGGGCCAATGGTGCTGCTTATGTTGCCCTGTTAATTCCAACACCTCATTAATCTTATCTCTAGAGTTATTTCCAGGTGTAGAAACTGAAAACGCATTTGAATTTGCTGTTTCACTTGGCGAACATAGAAACCTCTTTTAAGAACTATTTTAACATTATGTTAGTTCTTAGACCTTTTATATATTCTAAACTCAACTCCATCCAGAATATCTCTGGGAGCATTAGTCCTCCCTCTAAGAAAATTATCATTGCAAGTTTTCTTGTGCAGAAACACTATATGTCAAATACATTCCAGCAGTGTTGTTTGTTTTTATATAGCAAAACTCACAGTATGCTTTTCCATTTAACTGTGAGCAAAATAATAGCAATAACATAAATAAATCCCATTTCTAAAGTGATGTCTGTACGGATTGGTTGGTTCTAGCAAGAGGCCCTACACAGCAAAAGAAACTGCTGGCTTTTAGTTTCCTGTGTGTTTTTTCTATTTGTTCTCTAAGCCCATTTATATGAAAGATTTCTTTAACCATAAAACAACTACATCTAAAGATTTATGAGAATCAAACTTTTATTCTTGAGGCACTTCACCTTGTAAATAAAAAACTGAGTATTTCATACAGAGGCAGAGAGATAAAGAGATAGAAACAATTGTCCAACTCATTCTGTTTATTCATTGCCATTTCTCCCACTCATTTCCTTTTGCTTCTTTATTTCAGCAGCCCTTGCAAAGTATTACTTTATATTCTCTCTGTCACTATTTCTAAATTAGCTTTTGAAATTGCTTTTACCATGAGGTACAGTTGAACATACTAATGCAGAAAAATGCTCACAATAGAGTAAGTGGCTGGAGCAAAAATCAGAAGAGTTATAGTAGGAGTCCAATTTTTGTTTAAATACATATACACATTATATATAATAAATGAACTATAATACATAAATATATGCATTTATAATCCATATACATATTGTGTGTGTATTTGGAGAGAAAGAGAGCAAATACATATATTTAAGAGAGAAAATATGCTAAAATGAGAGAAAAATACATGACAAACTTTTAGCAGAGGGATTGTGGGGAAAGATGAAAATTGGAAAATGAGACATTCACTTGATCGATATAAATTTTCTTGCTTTTAAAAAATAGACGTATACTGCTTTTGCAAAGGAAAAGTAATACTACTTTCAAACTGCTTCTATTTGCACGATATCCAATTCTCCCCAAGGCTGTCTAATCTTTATTACACCTATTATTTGTACACTGCAGGATTTGGACAGAGATGGAGTTCAGTGGTGATTGCTTCCCTGTCTACTATTATAAAATGTCATTACCTCAAAAAATTCTGCCTAAAATTCAAGCCTAAGTGTATGTACCTTCCACCAGAACTTGTCAGATTCTGCCATCTGTATTTCCATAGTACCTATCTGGATAGAATCTCCTCCCAGTTTCCAGCTGTTCCCAGAAGTGCAAACCTACTGCTGCTGCTGCTGCTGCTGTGCATTGCACCTGCCTGCAGCTGTCAGGTTTATGAAGTGAGCTAGTAAACGCTTCCCCAGGAAAAGCCAACATTCTGTAAAAAAATCAATTATAAATCACTGCACAAATAGGATCCAAAGGATAATTTTGCAAACAATAATAACCAAAATCATTAAACCCCATATTTGGAGAGTATACTTTTTGTTGTGCTTTTTTTGGGTCCATTTCTCTTTTGGTTCTTACAATAACTTCATGAATTAAGAAAGGCAAGAACATAGAGTCCCTGGTTATTGCTACTTTGCGTTTCACTGATCTGCTCATATAACTCTGCTAAAAATCCTTACACTTCATTTTTTCATGATTAATTTGCTTAATCATCAATTCACCTGCAATCTCCAAAAATGCTCAGTGCTTTGCTATCTAGGGAACATAGCTGAAATAAGCATTTTTCTTCTCCTTTTCTTCTGAGAGGAAACACAGTATAGGAAGAGCATGGGGTTTGGAGTCAGATTTGTGATCTAATCTTGGCTCTGCCACTTACTAACTCATGCAGACTTGGTCAAATGACTTAACCTTCTCAGCCTCAACTTTCCCATTGTAAAACAGGTTATAATTTCTACTTAATAGGGCTGTTGTGAGGATTGTGTAAGAACCTGAGATAAAGCAGCTGCTTCAAAGAAACGTCAGCATTTGGAATCTTGGCGAAATCTTTTCCCTGGCCCCATCTGCTGGCGATAAAGAGTAAAGTCATGTTTATAATTAAGCAAAATATAGAGCTTTCAGTATGTGACTGTTCTGTGATCCAACATCATTTAAAGAAATTCATAGTATTGAAAAGCAAGAATTAACTATCAATCTTCCTGTGTTATGGCAAGAGTCACACAGCTAACTGGTAGAAGAACTTCTGACTTAGAATCCTTAAAACCAAAATGGAAGATTGGTAGAAGAATGGATATGTACAAGTGGAAGTAACAGAGACCAAGAGACCCATCAGGAGGCAATGGCTGTCACCTCATTTGCTAGAGGTGGTGGAAGTGGAAACAGACAGATTCTAAGAGTCTGTTAAAAGAATATAACCCATGGCTGGGCATGGTGTCTCATGCCTGTAATCCCAGCACTTTGGTAGGCCAAGGTAGGCAGATCACCTGAGGTCAGGAGTTTGAGACCAGCCTGGCCAACATGGCGAAACCCCATCTCTACTAAAAATACAAAAATTAGCCAGGCATGGTGGTGGGTGCCTGTAATCCCAGTTACTGGAGGGGCTGAAGCAAGAGAATCACTTGAACCTGGGAGGCGGAGGTTGCAGTGAGCCGAGATTACACCATTGCACTCCAGCCTGGGCAACAGAGTGAGACTCTGTCTCAAAAAAGAAGAAAAGAATGTAACCCAAATGGCAGCTAAAGTCACCTTGTCCTTTGAGGTTTAGATGAAATTGGTTTAGGCTACTTCAATATATAGGAAATTCAATATCTTTCCTGAAGTTTCTGTACATTTCTAAGGGCCCACGTGGTCACTTTTGGCTCCCTATTTTGGGTGAAATCTCTTCGTCATCTTCAAACCCCTGTGGCTTCTTTTTGTCTCTGCTTCATAGAAATTCAGATATAGGGCCCAGCATGGTGGCTCACATCTGTAATCCCAGCACTTTGGGAGGCCAAGGTGGGCAGATCACCAGGTCAGGAGATCGAGACCATCCTGGCTAATACGGTGAAATGCCGTCTCTACTAAAAATACAAAAATAAGCCAGGAGTGGTGGCGGGCATCTGTAGTCCCAGCTGCTCAGGAGGCTGAGGCAGGAGAATGGCGTGAACCTGGGAGGTGTAGCTTGCAGTGAGCCGAGACTGTGCCACTGCACTCCAGCCTGGGCAACAGAGAGAGACTCCGTCTCAAAAGAAAAAAAAAAAAAAGAAAAGAAATTCAGATATAGACCCAGCTCAACACTGAATATTTTTGTATTAAAAAGACTTTGCTAAAGGTTTGAAGTAATGATGTTATACAGTGCTGCTAAGTAAGCCATTTAAACTAAACATTAGACAGCCATGCTCCGACAAGTTCTAAGTAGCCTGACACCCACGGTTCTTCATTAGGAGACTTTCTCTGGAGACTCCAGCTTCCCACTTTGTTGCCTAAATCCCTTACTCCCTTGAGTCTCTATTACTTCTTAATTCCTACCCTTTATTTTATAGAAAATGTCTGTTTTCCACCCACTCCTCAGCTCTGGATTTGCATTTGCATAACCGAACATTCATTAATAAGATCTGTTAAAAATCAAGGTTCAGGCTGGGCGCCGGGGCTCACGACTGTAATGCCAGCATTTTGGGACGCCGAGGCGGCTGGATCACTTGAGGTCAGGAGTTGGAGACCAGCCTGGCCAACATGGTGAAACCCAGTCTCTACTAAAAATACAAAAATTAGCCTGGCATGGTGGCAAGTGTCTGTAATCCCGGCTACTCAGGAAGCTGAAGCAGGACCATTGCTTGAACCTGGGAGGCAGAGATTGCAGTGAGCCGAGACTGCACGATTGCACTCCAGCCTGGGCAACAAGTGGAAAACTCTGTCCAAAAAAAAAAAAAAAAAAGTTCATCAATTCTGAGTGTTACCATTCTGTAAATAAACAAACTACCAGAGACTAAAGTTTCAGCTGTGCCTTGCTTTTCATACCCAAAAGCCTCTGTAAATGAAAGGAAGCAGTATAGATATTTACATTCCCCCTGAAATATATAGTGCCAATTCTCACCACAGTTCCCTCCCAAACTCACACAAAAACCCAGAAGGCAGAAGTAGTTGCAGTTCATTTTGACTTCAAATTGCATTTTTTTCATTCCACTACCCAAAGAAACCATACAAATTGAGACTGATTACCTGTAAAGATTAAAGAAGAAAGAAAAGTCAAAAATAAAGAATATTAGTACAAAACTCAGGAAATTGGAAGGAGAGGCCATTGAGAAGCATGATGAAGTGTTTAATTTTGTGTACGTTGGACCTGAAGTCCCTTGTGTTGACTACACGGACATTTTAAGTAGTGAGCTGGACATCCAGGCTCAAAGCAGGAGGGTGAGGGCAGTACTGAAGCTTGGATGACATAGAGATCAACATAAAAGTGACGACTAAAACTATGAGAAAAGCCGTGCTTTTCAAAAAAAAAGGAATGAAAGGAAATAAGGAAAGAACAAAGACTGAGCCTTAGGCAATGCCTACAATGCCAGTTGGTGGGAGAAAGAGAAAAACAATGACACAGAAGGAACCTAAGCATTGTAGTGATTGGAAGAAAATCAAAAGAGCATCAAAACCATGTGTCGTCCCAAAGGCACAAGAAGAGAGAACTTCAAGTAAGAGTAGTCGGTAATATCAGAGGCTCAAGGTAGGACAAAAATAATCACCTCAAAAGGTCTGCAAAAAGGCCTAATTTTCTTAACACTTTAGTTTTGCAGTGTGTTGGGAATTAATTTCAGTTGCAAGGTGGTAGTGGCAGCAGTAGTAGCATTGTTTAACATTAATTGGGCATTTAATGTATGTACAGGGTTACCAGGTTAAAAAGCTGAGTCCTCATGTAAATTTAAATTTTAGACAAATAATGAATAATTGTTAGGATACATTCCATCTCAGATAAATAATGACTAATTATTAGTATAACTATGTCCAATTTTAGATAACCTGAAATTTAAATTTAACTGGGCATCCTGTATTTTTATTTGTTAAATCTGGCAACCCTACATACACCAAGCACTATGCTGAACATTTTGCATACCTAACTCATTTAATCCTTTTAACAGTTTTGTCTGTTCTTTGCATTACTATAAAGGAATACCTGATTTCCATTCTTGAATCAGTTTTAGGTAACATTTAGCTCACAATTTCCTAGTCGGTTTATTTTCCAATTTCATGGAATTTTATCCTATGTATGCGTATTTAGCAAAGACTCATAAAAACCCCTTTGCAGATTTATGGAGCTCTTTTCTGGTATAATTTTCTCCTTGTCAGAGCTCTCCTCTGAAACTTCCAGCTACTTCAAACTGCCTGAACTCTGATCCTCATCTCATCACAAGAGACCATTATGATCTGCTTAGAATGTCCCTCCTTGCTACACATTCAAGAATGTGCCTCTAGCCAAAATGCCAGTGTAGTCATCAGGCTAACCTCATTTGTTTCTTTTCTCTCAGGGATCATGGTCTTATGCTTCCAGTTGTTTAATGTCTGAAAACAGTTGTTTTATATGCTTTTTCAAGTTTTCTAGTAGTTTAAGACAGAAAGTTAAATCCAGTCCCTTTACTTCATCATGGACAGAAACAGAATTTGTCATATCATGGTTTAATCTGGAATAATTAATTCTTCAGTCTTATTGTTTTTCTTAACACTCATGTTTGAAGAGTACAGACCAGTTATTTTTAAACTATTGGTCAATTTGGTTTGTCTAATCCATCTCCCTGTAACTAGATTCACCAACTCTCAGTACAAATATCAGAAGCATATGATGAATTGATCATTTTTGCAATATATATTTGGGTTCTCTTCACACCTTTGATGCAGGATTTTTTGCTCCTTGGTTCAGCTTAATCTGGGTTCTTGTCTCACGACCAGGAAAAAATAGGCACACAGACACATTGAAAGGTGAGGAGGGCAGAATTCATTTAGCAAAAGGAAAGCTCTCAACACAAACAGGGGTCCTGCATGCAGGTTTCCACCTCACAAATGAGTATCAGGGCACCACACACAAGTTGAAGAGGCCAGGCTCCTCCCCAGCATAAGGCAGAAATTCCTGGTGGCTCCACCCTATTCCCCGAGTGCCCATGCAGACCCTTAGTCTGAGCCACTCCATACTGATTTAATTTCCTTATTGCTCATGTGTTAATGGATGGAATTTTTCACTGTAGGCATGTTTATGCAAGCTCCCACGCACAGTGATGTGGGCAGGTTGGAGGTTCTCCAGGGACCTTTCCCTATTTGCCTAGGCATTTGGCTGTTTCCTGCCTCTATCACCTTGAAATTGTGACAGACTGAAACTGCTTAGCTCTCCCTAGTGGTTAAAATGTATGATCAGACTAATTACTGGAAAAAGCAGTTTGATTAACTGATTAAGTCTATTTGAGGAAAAATTAAAATCCAGGACCGAAATATTGACACAATGGCAAGAAAACAGATCAGCTAATGAAAAGCCTTGATCTTAATTATCTAGTACAATAAAAAGTAACGCCTGAGAAGGACAGTTGTACTATTTCTTCCTCAGGCTCAAATCTGATCTTTTTTCGTAATAAAATCTCACATTTTCCCAAAATGTTTAGCCTTTTCTTGGTATTTATTTATCTCTAGTTGTTCAACAGATGAAATATATATATTTAATATATACTATTATTATAAATATATTATTGCTTTAAATATAATAAATATATGTGAAATATATATATCATGAAATATGTGAAATATATCTGTTGATGAAATATATATATATTTTCTAGATGAATACTAATACATATTGAATAGAAGAAAGAGACATCTGTATACTTCCATAGAGCACATTATCCTAAAAATATCACTTGGTATTGTATGATAAATAGCATTTTATTAATATTTATACTAATAGAAAATGATTTTAGCTTTTTATATTTTTTCTTTATAAAATCAAAATATATGACTTCATATTTTTATTTGATCAAAATTTGACTTCTTTCCCGCTCTGTGATTCATAGCTCTTGACAGATAAGAGGTTCTCAATGGTTGGTGTATGTACTGCCCCATTTACAATGGCAGTTTTCATTAAAAATTATAAATGAGGATATAAAATGTCTTAAAAGCATCATTTGAATAATAGGATCAAATACATTGCTAAGATATCAGCTGTTACAGTTTTTATGCTAAAAAACAGAATATCATTTAACATAGTTGTTAGCACAGCATTCACCTTAACTAGACAGTATTCTCTTCACCACTGTCTCTTCTCCTCTCTGGTCAAGGGGATATCACAATGCCCCCATAGCAAAATAAAAAATGTTTGATTCTGACACCTGTGTTCCTCTCTTCTAACACTAATCTTGCATGTGGCTAAGATTTAATACAAAACTAGCCCAATAGTGTTCCTTTTGCCAATCCCAATATTAATTTTCAAAAGCACATTTTAATCTAAAGTGGCATGCTGGAGCCACTTCATGATACAGTGAGCACTGGCTGTGTATGGAAGCTAACTATCTCAACTATGCAAATGAAGCTGTAGCATCTGTAATTAGAAGGGATCTCACTGTAAATCATTTGACGTGAATAAGCATCTTCATTGCACTTCAGGAAAGGCTTTTTAATTAACAAGGTCTAATAATTTTAAAGGCTTAATGAACAATTACACTAAAACCAATGATAGCACCAAAATGATTCATAATAATTTACTGTTTTTTTTCCTCAGATGTGATTTCTAATTATAGTGTAGGCAGGATCATGATTGAGTTTCTACCCTTATCAATATACCATTTTCATTACAAAATGAATCCTCCCACTGCCTAATGATATGCATTCTAACTAATGGGAAGGAGAAAGACGAAAAAAACTTACATTTATTAAATATCAGTAATATAAAAGTTTTCTTATACATTAACTTACCACACACACACATGAAATATGAGGAAATGCATATATGTTCAAAAACTTCTCCAAAGGTTACAGAGATAACAAGTGAAAGAATTTGGGTTGAACACAGACTTAACAGACTTTAGGTCTAACACCCTTTCCACTATATTACATTGTCTCTTATTTTTATAATATTGTAGTTATGTATTGTTATTAATTCAACATCCAAAACTAGTACTTTAACTTCCATTTCTATTTCTGCATTTTGATAGAGAATTGACTCTCATTTTTAATTTAAGGTGATTTTATTTGTTTCCAATGAAAGACACTCTTTATTTAGTATGTCATATGAATTTTGGATGTTCAGCTAATTTATATATAAAAAACATTTGTTGATAGCTACCTATTTCTGTTAAAATTATTGCTGTCTTCATGACATCCATGACTTCTGCTCATCGTCTGCACAAAAAGGTCAATATGGCTTTCCTGTGTCCCCTAATAACACTCACCATTGTCTCGTGAATTCTGAAACTTCTGTATTCACTGAAGTTTTTCTCCATTCACTGCCAAGCTAGTTCATTAGCTTGTCCTATAAGCAAACAGGTTTCAGCATTTCAAAGATTTTCTAAACACAATGCAAATATGTAGATGTGGTACACTTTTCCTGGGAACTCAAGAGCAGAATGTAGTAGCAATTCTTAGCCCAGATAGCCAATGTCTTTGGGTTTTTTCACCATATCTTATCTGTTTTATTCACCATATTATTAGTTGAATGAATTGAATCCATGACTGAGGACCCTCATTTGTTCTTGACTTTTCAATTAAAAGATTTGTATTATAAAACCAAACTACCAGAAATCCCAAAATACGTAGTAATGACCTATTCGAATTGATAATGTAGAATTGGCCCCTCTCTTAATTTAAATCTTCCAAACTATGATGATCTGAACAATAAGCAAATAAATAAAATTTTCATTGTTTATTCTGCCCTTAATGGAAACTTATTTAATATCAGTAAAATTAGATCTGAACCTGTAAGGTAATAAATAAATAACTGGACAATAAACATAAGGAAATATTATCTTCCAACCACATTCACATCCCCATGCCAAGCACAAATGTGTCAGTTGGGAAATCTAATCTCTCCTGGGGACTAAGGTCATCAAACGTTGTGAGCTCCATTAAAGGCTTCACATTTTACTTTAAATTTACCCATGGTGCCATCAAGTTAAAACTCCACAGCTCATATACAAGTGCAATGTAACTCAGATTCTTATTAAACTGACTCAAAACATTTTAAAATGAAAGCAATTGTTCTAAAAGAAAATGTGCTCTACAAATGAAAATGGTGAAATAAAAACATTGGTTCTAATATACCCAAGTCCAAGAGTTGATCCAAAAGAAAACTACAAAAGGCCCAAGGGAAAACAGCAACATTAACCACTTTGCATAACAGCTCCCAGTCAGTGAGGACTAATTACAAACTAGCCATCCCATATTTCTATGAAATGAAAACATAGTCAGTGTAATTGGAGAGTAGATAGTTAAGTCCTCTTCATCTAGCTCCGTATTAATAAAAAGAAGCTATTTCCTTCAGTATTTGAAAATGTGCCACGATGTCATGTTAAGCAAGTCATACACGTTTAATGATAGAGCCTATCAGAAAGGAAATTTAAATCCTAGACCCTGTATCAACAACAAGAAAAATGGGACAATGTAGATCTTGCCTCTCTCCTGACCACACTGTCTCCCTATCTTCTCCCCATAGTTTACTGGCATATGTTGGGTAACAGACAAGCACTATGCCAGGCACCACAACAATATAAAAAGACACAGACATGGTCTTTAACATGCTTTTGCAGATTTCATAAGTTGTAGGGGCTGGGGGCATGCGTGGGGGATGGGAAGAGAGGAAAGAAAAGAAAATTAGCATTTATTTCTAGCAAGAAGCCAAATCGTATAGCAGTTAATATGGGCTCTGGAGGTCACATATTAAGGTCACATTGAGTTCACATCCCAGCACTACCACCTACTAGTTTTGTGATGTTGAGTAAATTACCTAAGTGTGTTTCAGTTTCCCTATCTGTAGAATAGGGTGATATTAAGTCTACCCATACCCTAATATAGGATAAACAATGAAACATATGATGTAAGCCTTCAATAAATATTTACCACTAACACCAGATACTACATGTCTAGTGCCATCCCAAGTGCTTTTGGAAGCACTCACTTTTGACATTCACATGACCCATAATGACCATTATGGTAGTTACCCTATTATACAGATGTGAAATTGGGCATGCAGAAAATTCAAATTTATTGTCAAATGATACATAGTAAATGGTAGAGTTAATTGGAACTCAGATATGAAATATTGAAGGTGCCCAATAAATATATTTTGAACAAATAAATGAATGGGTTCTGAAGCTTATATTGGCAAAGCTCATACTCTTTTCACTACATGTTCCTATCTGACATGTAAATATCTATAAAGCATTTTACTACATGCCAGCTCTAATAAATTTTTAAAGAGCTATAGAAATCCAGTAATTGCTTCCATACTGTGTTAGTCAGGGTTCTCCAAAAACATTTATTATAGAGGCTAAGTCCCAAGCAAGCTGATAAGTAGTTCCATCCAAGTCTGAATGCCTAAGAACAGGAATGCCATTGGTGTGAGTTCCAGTTCAAAAGCCAGCAGGCTCAAGACCCAAGTAGAGCCAATGTTTCAGTGTCTGAGACCAAACACTAATGTTTCAGCTTAAGCAATCAGGCAGGAAGAGGTCCTTCTTATTTATAACAGAGTCAGACTTTTTGTTCTGTTCACGTCTTCAATTAAGTCCATCCACATTGGTGAGGATAATCTGCTTTGCTTAGTCTACCAATTCGAATGTTAGTCTTATCCAGAAACACCCTCACAGACATACCCACAATAATATGTGGTCAAATGTCTGGGCACCTCATGGCCCAGTCAAATTGACACATAAAATTAACCATCACACATACTTTCAAAAACAAACCTAAGCTGGAGCTTTTATAACATGACTTAACAAGATTTACCTTCCATTTAAGATAGACCTAATTAACTCATGTCCTAATTAACTCTCCTGAAAGTGAACTGCAAATTGATTTAATCTTGTTTTCTTCACATTGGTCTTGCTCCTCTCTTGTAATCAAGAACACACCTTTAGGGTAATTATAATTTGCCATACAATTATGTTCAGAAAACTGAGTTTTCAAAATTCTGTTACAGCAAGAAAAAAAGGGCAACACATCTTGCCATATAAGGCAGTGGATACTACAAATCACCCTAGGCTTACAGGGCATGCTTGGTGCCCAAACTCAGATTTACTCTTACATCTGGCTCTTGACCCCAGATATTGTATCACTTGTCCTCCATTTCTCAGTTTTCCCAGCTCAAGACCTTAAGATTCTAGCATGTGTAGCTTCTGAACCTATTTACTTATTTGTTCAGAATATACTTACTGGGTACCTTCAATATTACAGGCATTGTTTTGGTCTCTGGGGAGGCAGCCGTCAATAAAGTCCCTGCTTGCATGGAGATAAACGTTCTAGTGGGAAAAGATGTCACAGGTTGTGACTAGCTAGGGCTGATGTTGTTGGCAATAAAGGAATTTACCAAGACAGTCATGGGTAAAGAAAGGCAGATTTATTACAGAAAGTAAAAAAATATGTTGCAAGATTGCAACAGGCAGCACAGCAGAGAAGGGGCTATCTGCAAAGAGACGGGGGCTGGAGGGAAGTTTTATAGGGTCTTGCTAGAGGGGGCTGCATGCAGAACCAGGTGGTGCTGTTGGGGCTATGTATGGAAGGAGGTCATTGTGTCCATGGGTTGTTTGTAATTAGTCACCTCTCAGAACAATTGTTCATTGTTCTTCCCCACCTGGGGCCCTTCCAAACATGGGGCACCTTCCTTGTTGTTGCTTATTTATCTTATCAGGACTCTACATTCTTCCCCTGACAGAACAACAATGACAAATCTTTGGTATTGGGGTGGATGTCTAACCTTCCAACTGTTTCCTGCTGGCCTGGGGCCTAGAGTTGACCCTACCTATGGTTGGTGGTCTGTCAGGAGACCTTGTGTGTTATTGTCCCAGACTGTGGGACCTAGGATATTGGATCTTGCTGGAAGAAGGGACTCATCAGAGAAGGGGAGCATGTCAAGGCAAAACTGGTGTCCAGCTGAATCTAGGAGAGATTTGCAAAGGTAGCAGGCATAATTGGGGGGGACTGATATTCTGTTTGCAGCATCATTTGAAGGTGAAACTGCTGAATTCTAGAAGATAAAAGTTTGTTTCTTAACCCAGTTACCGAAAAGGCAAAAAAGTCTTTTGCAGTGTGGCTGTTTTTCCTTATTGGAAGCCCATTTAGATAACCTGGAAGTTAAACTTGATTAAAAAATGTTTCAATTTCATTAGACACAGGAAGAATGTGTTCATGGTTATGAGTATAGCAGGGGAAGACATGACTCTTAGGAACAACACGAGAAGTTTACTTTTTATTACATTGAGAACTTAGACATATCAAGAAAAGCCACGGTACAGAATTATGTTAGAGGAAAAAATTGCTTAATTTTTTGACCTTCAAGATGGAACATTTTAGCCTTAAGCCATAATAACAGTTAGAATTAGAGGAAAAAGTTACAGGAGCTGACAAAAACTGAAGAGATTTATTATCTTAGGCCTTATCCAGGGGAGAAAAAGCTGAAAGTAGCAGAACACTACAAAAATTGAACTTCTGAGATATGATACTAAGAAGTTGCTTAAAGAAACACTTATAAAACTTCTTACAATTTTATTAAGAGCAGATTAATACCTTAAGAAAACCTTGCTTTAATATAAGGGATCATCATTAGAAAGACTGCCTAAATAATCTCCTTTCAATTATAACCAACTTAATCACATGTAAAATTCCTCTCATAAATTCCCCTTCATGAACCTTCTCACAACTTACGCAGACCATCTATGACATGCTTGGACTTTATGACTTGTCCTAAACATCCTTCTTTTTTTTTTAGACAGAATTTTGCTCTCATTGCCCAGGCTGGAGTGCAATGGCACAATCTTGGCTTACCACAACCTCTACCTCCTGGGTTCAAGCGATTCTCCTGCCTCAGCCTCCTGAGTAGCTGGGATTACAGTCATGTGCCACCACCCCCTGCTAATTTTGTATTTTTAGTAGACATGGGGTTTCTCCATGTTGGTCAGGCTGGTCTTGAACTCCCGATCTCAGGTGATCTGCCTGCCTTGGCCTCCCAAAATGCTGGGATTACAGGTGTGAGCCACCACATCTGGCCAACATCCTTCTTTTTAAACAACCAGTCATTTTACTTTAAGACAAGAATTTATCCTAGAAGATTCTTTCTCATATAAAATCTCTTATTTATAACCTTTTTTACCAAGAATATCACTTTACCTTTATAACATTTTTTATGTCTCTCTTATTTCCTGATTCCCTTTAACTTGTTTTATATATAGCCTTTAAGTAACCTTTAAATTAGACAAAAATTATTTTCCTTTTGTTAGGAAGTTAAGGTTTGTACCGCATGATGCTGTGTGAGCTCTGTGAAGGTGGAGCAAATGAGGAGGTTATCTACGTACTATAGAAGTCACCCCCCCTCAAGAGATTGCTCAGATTTTTTGCTAGGACTTGTTTGAGTAAGTATGGGCTGTGTTGAAACCCCTGAAATAGGACTATATAGGTGCAAGTTATTGGTTAAAGATTTAGGTAGCTTTCACAGGAGAAAAGGGCTATTAGAAGGAAACATGAATTCAAAGGTTAGGTAAATATTAAGCAGGTACCCATCTTGGAAAGTAAATGTTTGCCCCAAAGGGGTTTGGGGTAATGAGACATTACCAGGGACTGGTGGGAGAATGGTACTTGGTCCCTTAAGTAATACAAAGGGGTGAAAATTTTTTTCTTTTCGAGGGAGGGGATACAACTTGCCCTCAGTAACTGACAGGATTTGGTGGAAAGTTGCTCAGAGAAGATTAGGATAGAATAGGCAGTTCTTTAACCCAAAAGGGAGATTTATAATTTTATTTGCCACCTCCAGAGTTGCCCTTAGCTTTGTCTTGCTGATCATGATGTCTGATTTGGAAGCCAGCTAAAGCAGAGAGCCCCTTCAGCTCAAGGCCATCAGGGGTTGAGATTCTGTCTCAGGGGTCCTTCAGCCTTCAGAGCAGTACTGTTTCCAGTGGCTGAGCTTGTGGTATGGGGGCAAGCCATGTGGGACTTTTTCCCATTTATTTCATTGGGGCAGTTTGCTTTCCAGTAGCCTGGCCTTCTGCACTGATGGCAGTTACCTGGAGGAGTGTCCTTAGGTCAACTTGGAGGGGGCTGGGGAATTGTAAAGCAGCCAACAGCTGAGCTGTCACTGCATTTTTCTTTCTTCTTAGACCTGTCCTCCTTATTCTGCTCTCAGTTATAAAAGATTGAGGAGGGTATTTTGAGGGTTTTATGCATAGGAGCCATGCTGTATTATACATGAAAATTAGGTGTTTCTTTTTGACAGTCAGAAGGTCAAATTTATCGCAGTGTTTTATTATGCAACCCAGGGATGAGTCTGAAGGAAGAGACAAGATTTTTCCTATGGTAGGACTGAAAAATAATGAGCTGCTGGGGGCTAATGCCCACTGAGACACAAACCGCACTTTTTCTTGGGATGTCCCATCAAGGAAAATAGTTCCACATATGTCCACTGAGGGACTCAGATGCACTTTCTTACTTTCTTTTTTTTCTTTTGAGACAGAGTCTCACTCTGTCACCAGGCTGGAATGCAGTGGTGCGATCTCAGCTCACTGCAACCTCCACCTCCTGGGTTCAAGCAATTCTCCTGCCTCAGCCTCCTGAGTAGCTGGGACTACAGGTGTGCACCACCACTCCTAGCTAATTTTTGTATTTTTAGTAGAGATGGGGTTTCAGCATGTTGGCCAGGATGGTTTTGATCTCCTGACCTTGTGATCCACCTGCCTCAGCCTCCCAAAGTGCTGGGATTACAGGCGTGAGCCACCACACCCAACCTCAGATGCACTTTCTAAAGAGGTGTCCCACCTATTCGGAAGGACCTCTTGGTGCTGGAGCCTTTATGCTAGATGGCCAGTCCAGGTACGTGGTTACGCTAGGTGATCAGCCCAGATATGAGGAAAAAGGGTAAAGGAAAAACTCAGCCTGATGCCAACCCAGGAGAGGGGACGAGAAATGGGAGACTCAGCATTCCGAGGCTGTTTGAGGTCACCTGATTTGGGAAGGAGCAGCCAGAGCAGGAGTTCTGGCTGTCTTCATGGGAAAACTTAGAGTAAGAAAGAGGGTCTGAGTCACCTAAAACTTGTGTGAATTTGCTCTGGATGAGCTACTGCTGCCAGTCACATCATACATAGGGGTTAGGGAGTTTAAACCAGAAAAGAGAGTGATATAGGAGTTAAAAAGAAATTACTTAGGCAGATAGTAAAGGTAAGAAAGTCCTTGGTAAGGTTCTCCTTTTAATGAAAAGGAGCCCCCAGATTATTTTCTTTTCTAACAAAGAGCAGCCTGTAAAATCGAGCTGCAGACATAGACAAGCAAGCTGGAAGCTTGCCAGGGTGAATGCTGGCAGTTGTGCCAATAGGATAAAGCTCTCTGGGACTAGGCATGATCAAAATGGTGGCTTCATCTTCCCTTCTCTTTGCCAGCCACGTGTACAGTAAGGAGCAGACAACATGGTGCCAGTCAAGCCGAAAGCCCATTGGCATAATAAGATTAGGGTGGGGTAGCCAGCTTCCCTGCATGCTATGTAAATGTCACACCTGGTCAAACCAATCTGTGGGCACTAATTAAATCAGACACTATCTCCTCTAGCCCGTGTATAAAATCCAGTTCACTCTGCTGTGGGCTGCAAGTCCCATTCGAGCACCCCTCTCTCTTGCAAGGGAGAGAGCTGTCTTTCTTTTGTTTATTCAACCTCCACTCCTAAACCCACTTCTTGCATCTGCTTCCTTGATTCCCTTGGTATGAGATGACAAACCCCAGGTATTCACCCCAGACAACGACCCTGCTTCATTTAGGGAGAGAGTCTTCCTCCCTTCTAGGCAAGGCAGACAAACCTCTTCACCCTTTGGCCTTTAGGCAACACCAGAGACCAGACCTGGCCAGTTACCATCGGTTGCCAAAGGGTTATTAGAGGCTGGCTGCTGAAAGGCTGAAAAGGGAAAATAAACCTAGGTCCCTCACCCAAAGAGGTGGTGGCAGTCAGACACTTCCACATGGACACCTTTCATTTCCACCAGAGTGTAGCCCTGGCCGGAGAACTTATGTTGTCTCTGTGCTTAGGCTCTGTCCTCTAATGGTCCCGAGTTGGAAAACAGAAAGGGAGAAGGCAGAGAGTCCCACATAGGAAGAGAGGTCTTCATATAGTCACTGTATGGACCAGCAAAGTGTCTCAGGTGCAACTAGCTGGGGCCAGTGTCATGGGTGGTAAAGAAATTTACCAAGACAGTCATGGGTAAAGAAAGGCAGATTTATTAGAGAAAGTTTGAAAATATGTTGCAAGGTTGCAACAGGCAGCACAGCAGAGAGGGGGCTGTGTGCAAAGAGGCAGGGGCTGGAGGGAAGTTTTATAGGGTCGTGCTGGAAGGGCTAAGTATGAAACAAGGTGTTGCTGCTGGGGCTACGTGTGGAATGAGGTCATTGTGCCTGCAGGTTGTTTGTGATTAGCCATCTCTCAGAAAAATTGTTAATTGTTCTTCCCCACCTGGAGCCCTATCTGACCTGAGGCCCCTTCCTCATTGTTACTTACTTATCAGAACACTACAGAAGAGATGTAACAAATCATCAGTATATCCAGTGGTGAGCTACGCAATGGAGAAAAAGCAACAGGGGAAAAAAAAGATAGTGTATGCCATCTACAAAATGTTGCAATTTTAAATAAAATGATCAAAGAAAATTTACTGAAAAGATAACAGTTAATCAAACCCACATGTGGAGCCCAATGGAGGAATACTCCAGGCAGAGATAACAGCAAGTGCAAAGACCCTCATGCTAGAAGATGCCTAATGCATTTGAGGAATAGCCGGTAAGACAGGAGTTTGTTGGACAAGTGGGAAGGTGTAGAAGGTGAGGTCAGAAAATTAAGAAGGAACTAGATTGGGGAACAGAAGAAATCAATATTAATATCTCACAAAATATCAGGAAGGCAAAAAAGGCACAAAGGAACATTATATACTGGTAAAATAAACAATAGAATAAGATGGTATGCCCCTATTAACATCATTGCACCTAAGAAGGGTGATTCAAAATATTTCAAGCAGCAATTGACATAAAAACAGAAAAAAATATGTAAATGAAAAATAGTAATTGGAGATTTTAACACATCTATCTCTGAAACTGGTAGATGAAAGAGACAAAAATGAACAGATCTCAAGAATTTGAACATTATTTTAAATATATGGGTGCTAATACACACACACACACACACACACACACAGAAAAGGAGAAAAAGAAATCTATACTCAAAAATAAGGCACTCAGGAAGTATTTACAAGAGTAGACCATATGTTGAGACAAAAAGGAAGCAACAATAAAAGCAAAAACGTTAATATTATGCAGACTATATATACCGACCATAATGCAATAAAATAATATTAAAATTTATGCTGTGCACGGTGGCTCACACCTGTAATCCCTGCACTTTGGGAGGCTGAGGTGGGGGAATCACTTCAGGTCAGGAGTTCAAGACCAGCCCGGACAACATGGTGAGACCCTGTCACTACAAAAATACACACATACACACAAATTAGCCAGGCAAAGTAGTATGCTCCTGTAGTTCCAGCAACTTGGGAGGCTGAGGCAGGAGAATCACTTGAACCCAGGAGGCAGAGGTGGCAGTGAGCTGAGATTGCACCACTGCACTCCAGCCTCGGTGACAGAGAGAGACTCCATCTCAAAAAAAAAAAAAATTAGAAAATATTTATTAAAAATATTTAATTAGAAAATAAAAACAAAATAGGGCTTAAAATTTATACATTAGAAAAAACTAAATGGCATATTCCTAAAAAGGAAAATCACATAGGAAATTTAATGTTTTGATGTTGGTGATTATGAAAACGATATACGTTAAAATTAGGGGAATATGGCTAAAAAGAGTATGCATTTTTTTACCCTCAAAGAACCAATTTTCACTTTTTAAGGGTGATACCACCCCTGTTGAGAATGCATGTCCTAGATCTATCTCCCAATTTACAGGAATTGCAGGGCACAGAGAGACAAATTAAGCAACACCACAGGGATGCAATCAGCAAGACCAGAGAGTACTTATATGTTGTTTTTTTTAATGGAAGGATAAAATATGAACATTTTTTTAAATGGTTACCTATAAGGAAATACAACTAATAAGGTGGAATAAACAGTGATGGAAACCAAACTTATTTTAATATATCTCATTTTGTAAAACTGGCTTTGCAACTATTAGTTTTAATAATTATAACTAAAATTAAATTAAAAAACTAATTTTCCAAATGTAAAATCAAAAATAAAACAAATGAAAATATAAGACAAACTATAGGAAAAATTTAATTTTTCAACAAATATAAGAAAAAAATTGAGAAGGAATACATAGATCAAAAGAAACTTAAAAGATAAAACAAATTGCAATGTATAGAACATTTTTCAATACTGATTCCAACAAATGACCTATAAAAAATTTCTGAGATAACTAGGGAAAATTACTAGTAATATATCACTCAGTTATTAATATTGTAAGCGCAATAATGAGATTGTGGTTATTTTTCAAAAAAGAATCCCTATTTTTTGGAGATTCACATATAAATATTTGCAAATCAAATAATACACTGTGTGGGAAGGGGAGAAGTGGAACAGGGTACTCAGGAGACTATATTGTCCAGGACTAATTGTTAACACTGGATGCAGGGTAGATGGAGATTCTCTATTTTGTTCTCTTTCCTTTATATATACTTGAAATTTTCCATTGTAACAGGGTTTTAAGTACTAAGCATTCATCTCAAGAAGTTGAACAAAGAAAAACAGCAAATCCAAAAAAATAAGAATGAAGAAAATAATAAATGTGAGGGCAGAATAATAGCAAGCCCAAATGCTGTTTGTTTAAAAAGATTAATATAATAAGACAAGTATTCACATAGTAACATTAAGTAAGAGAGAAAGGAGAAAAGATGATCATAAGCCAAAGTAAATATGAAAAAGGGAAATGAGACAGCAGAGATTTAAAAATAAGGAGGAATTATATACAACTATGCACTAATAAATTTGAAAATATAAGTGAAATGGAAACATTTTTAAAATTGTATAAAATGCAAACTTGGTGCAAGAAAAAGAGGACTTTAACAGAGCAGTCATAAAGGAATTGAAATGGTAATCAAAGACTGCTCCTTCCAAAAAAAACTCACGGTATCTTAGTTTTACAGATAAATTCTATAAAATTTTCAAGAAAAAATTCTTTACTGTCTTTTTAAACATTATTTTATTAGGTTGGTGCAAAAGCAATTGTGGTTTTTGAAAACAATGGCAAAAGCTGCAATTACTTTTGCACCAACCTAATATTTAATGCTTACAATAGCTTCACAAGTAAGTTTGTATTAGTTTTATTTTGCATATGAAGAAATTGAGGTTTAGACAGTTTATGTGATTTGTCTACAGACACATGGATAGTAAGTGATGGAACTGTCATTCAAACCTGTCTAATTAAGATAAAGGCCATGTTCTTTCCTTTATACTTTACCCTTTCTTTTTTTTAACTTTTATTTTAAGTTCAAGGGTACATGTGCAGGTTTGTTATATAAGTAAACTCATGTCACAGGGGTTTGGTGTACAGATTCTTTTGTCACCCAGGTACTAAGCCTAGTAGACAGTAGTTATTTTTTTCTGATCCTCTCCCTTTTCCCACCTTCCACCCTCAAGTAGGCCCCAGAGTCTATTGTTCTCTTTGTGTACACGTATTCTCCCACTTCTAAGTGAGAACATGTGGTATTTGGTTTTCCGTTGGTGCATTTGTTTGCTAGGGATAATGGCCTCCAGCTCTATCCATGTGCCTGCAAAGGACATGAGCTCATTCTTTTTTATGGCTGCATAGTATTCCATGGTGTATATGTACCACATTTTATTTATCCAATCTGTCATTGATGGACATTTAGATTGATTCCATGTCTTTGCTATTGTGAATAATGCTGCAATGAACATATGCATGCATGTGTCTTTATGGTAAAATGATTTATATTACTTTGGGTATATCCAGTAATGGGATTGTTACGTCAAACGGTAGTTCTGCTTTTAGCTCTTCGAAAAATCATCACATTGCTTTCCACAATGGTTGAACAATTTACACTCCCACCAACAGAGTATAAGCATTCCCTTTTCTCTGCAACTTCACCATCAGCTGTTATTTTTTGACTTTTTAATAACAACCACTCTGACTGGTGTGGGATGGAATCTCATTGTGATTTTGTTTTGCATTTCTCTAATGATCAGTGTTGAGCTCTTTTTCATATGCTTGTTGGCTGCATGTATGCCTCCTTTTGAAAAGTGTCTGTTCATATCTTTTGCTCCCTTTTTTTATGGGGTTGTTTGTTTATTTTTCTGGTACATTTGTTTAAGTTCCTTATAGATGCTAGATATTAGACCTTTGTCAGATGCACAGTTTGCAAATATTTTCTCCTATTCCGTAGGTTGTCTTTTTACTCTGCTGATAGTTTCTCTTGCTGTGCAGAAGCTCTTTAGTTTAATTAGACCCCATTTGTCAACTTTTGCTTTTATTGCAATTGCTTTTGGCATCTTTGCCATGAAATCTTTGCCAGCTCTATGTCCTGAATGTTATTGCCTAGGTTGTCTTCCAGGGGTTTTTATAGTTTTGGGTTTTACATTTAAATGTTAGTCCATCTTGAGTTGATTTTTGTATATGGTGTAAGAAAGGGGTCCAGTTTTAATCTTCTGCATATGGCTAACCAGTTATATCAGCACCATTTATTGAATAGGGAGTCCTTTCCCCATCACTTGTTTTTGTCAGCTTTGTCGAAGATCAGATATTGTGGGTGTGCAGTCTTATTTCTGGGCTCTGCCTAGGTATTTTTATTAGGCTAGAGTAATCTTAATTTCAATGTCAGATATGGACACTACAAGAAAATAAAATTATAGTTTTGTTTCATTTATAAATGTACACAAAAGATACATAAAAATAATATTACCTTAATTAAATCCAAAAGTGCCCTCAAAAAATAGTAATATTGAGCTGAAGAGGGCTTGTGCAAGGAATGTAAGAATGAGTCACCTCAAAAACATTAGAGTAATTCCTCATGTCAATAGACTAGAGAATTACCTCCATTGATGCCACACAAAATAAGAGTTGGTTGGGCTTAACATGTGCTTATAATATTATATTTTAAAAGAAAGCTATAAATGGAAGAAATTCTTTTTATAGATAATAAATAAAATTATAAAAGTTAATCTTTGTCAAGTGGTTACTATGTCAGACACTATGCACTGGGCATCATATATCTCACTTAATCCTTACGGCAATGCTATGCATACTAAGGAGTACTCTTAGAGAGATTAATTTAATAGAGCTGAAAAGTGGCAAAGGATTGATTCAGAACCAGGTCTTTTCAATGACAAAGCCAAGTGGTGTTCCCATACTCCATACTGACTCTGTATGAGAACCAAGCCAACTTCATTGGTTTCCATCAAGATGTGCCATCAAGATGTGACTTTGTAGTGGGGTCATTTTACCCTGAGTAGGTGTCAGTGCTCCTGATTACCTTAAATACAGGTGTCTATGTTTTGGCTTAGAATAATTATAAAGAACCTCAGATGCAACTAGGTCTCAAGGAAAGAATAATTTAAAAGGCAACAGAGAAAACACTAAATCCGATCCCAGTGGTCTCAAATATGGTAAAGCAAATCAGAATTCACAGATAGAAATATCCACAAATCCAGTGTGATCAAGAGCATTCTGAGATGCAGTACACTGATTTCAGTAAGTGAAAGATAGATGTAGCTTTTCATGAACAGCCATAAAATCCTTTACAGTTTACAGAAAAGCAGCTATGTACTGATCACAATTTATTATTAGGAGCTTCAAACTCTGTCCAGTGCAGAGATGTAGGGGATGTGATTTTCCTCACCTTGATGTTAAATGGGGACAGATGACAGCCAAGATGAGAAAGTCAGAGTGAAAATCTATAGAAGAGTTCCAGGAACCCTTGTATATAACCTTCCCAGATCAGCTTGACAAAACTGGCAGAGCCAATCTAGAGAGCTAGAGAAAGGAAATGCTGGGGACAGGTACACCTGGAAAATTGGTCCTTGGAAAGTTACCTTTGATTTGCCCTCTGTATAAGCACTCAGGAATATGCTGAGTTTGTTACTAGTTATATACATCTTGTTGGCAAGCAGAAGAAGAGCTGGGAATCTACAGAATAGTCAAGAGAGGCAGGATTAAAAAAGCAAAAGTCTGAGAGAAAGGTAGAGGATACTACTCACGCAAAATTCCTGTCCCAACTGATAGTATCATTGTTAGCACCTTGGTGGGACCCTGAAGACCATTGACAGCTGCCCCTGTGGCTAGAATTGTGGCTGTCTCTACTGATCTGTGTAGCATCTGTATGTTCTTAGTTATATCCTTGACCTACATTAAAAGGAGTTGTTTTAGTTACCAGTATTTATTGGCATCTTTTTATTAATCATATCACAATTCTATTATGACAACAGCAGAAGAAGGTTCAAAGATCTCAAAGTCACACAACTTTTATTAGGTTTTGACAAACAGTACTCACTGATATTTAGCTTCTAGTGCTTCTTACTTGGCTATAATGCTGCCTTATGAAAATACTATACTAAGTGTATGAAAATACTAAGTGTATATTAAAATAAATAACTGTGATATAAAAGGAGGGATTCGGGACCATTTATTGGCCACCACCTATGCCAGATAATGCATATATGTTAACTCTTTATAGCAAACCATTTTATAAAGAACAAAACTTTTGCCATGGGTGTGATTGAAAGACTACATTTTTTAGACATAGTTAGGTGTCGACATATGACTATGTTCTAGTCAATGATAATATAAAGAAAGATTTTTAGAAAATTCTGGGAAGTGTTCTTTAAAGGTGGGATCATGCCATTCTTTGCTTTCTCCATTCTGTTAGTGCATGTGAGGCTGGAACTCCAGCAGCTATTTGGGATCTTTAAGGCAAAGACCACACCTTAGAGGATCAGAGCTGGTTTATGCCCAATCATAAGGATTCTGTACCATACTTCTTGTCTTCTCCTGTATGAGAGAGAAAGATGTTCTTAATATAATTTAGCCAGCATTGATTTAGGGTTTTCATTATATGCCACTGAACATAATTGTAACTGGTAGAAGAACATAACTAACATTCCAATTTCACAGACCTAGTAAACAATAAAGGCAGGATTCAAACCTATTCCAAGTCACATCTGAATGAGGCCAAAGTATTCTAGAAAATAATCCAGTGAAGATAAATATGTCTTTTGGATTTAGTTCTCCAGGAAACAGATTCTGAGATAGAAGTTGGAGATTTGAATAGAAGAAACTTAACTGGGAAATTCTATCAGGAACCACCTCCATAAGGACTGGACATAGAAAAAAATGAACTGTGAATTCAGTTGCAATTGAGGATTCAGTAAATCTCATGGGGAACTTCAAAGCTGGAAGACTCTTTAGAGATGTCTCAAATGTAGGGAGGAGAGCAGGTCATTTGAGCCCCACCTTAACCAGTCATTGAATGCCAGCTGTCCTCAGTGAAGGGTCATAGCCTTGGGTGAGGTGGCTCCTGGGAAGGGGCTCTGCTATGAGCCAGCACTAGAGCTAACACTCCAAACTAGAGAAACGAGTGCCTTTGTTCTGCAGTTGTCCCTAGGTGACACCAGAGCCTCCACTGTAATGTGTTCACAATTAATGAGATAATCAAAAGGACTTAAATCTGTTTCAAATATGATCTTAGAACATATGTTCACAGTCACTCACTCACTTCAGTGTGACACATACTTGAATATCCAATGTACGCAAGGTGTTATGCAAACTACGATGACAAATATAAGGATGATTTGGATATATGTTCAGTTCTCAAGAGAACAAAATGTAGATGATAATGATGTATCATGCAAGGCTGAAAATGACATTTGTAATAAAAGAAACAAACATATGACCTGAGAATTCAGAGGAGAAAGACATTATTTCCATCTGAGAAATTAGGAACATTTTTATGGAAATGCCAGCACTTCAGCTGGACCTTGTAAGTGGGTAAGATTGGAACATGTAAAGACAAGAGTGGGCTTATGAGAGGTATTTTAAGGTGAGGAAATAATGGCAACAGAGATGAGTAAGAAGAAAGTTTCGTTTGGTTTAAGTATAAAGTAATGAAGGGAGATAGAAAAACTTCCCATAACAGAAGAAGTTTAAGGTATATTTTGCCAAGAGTTGCAAATTATGGAATTAATTCCATAAGCATGAGGGGTCGCTTGAAGCACTTGGAGCTAGAGAATGACATACCAGAAGCTTTATTTCAGAAATATTAATCTGGATTAGAGAAAAATATATGCCCTTAAAATCATCATCATCTGCTCTTTAGAGAGGAAGAAATATCACAACTATTGTCTGTCAGGCAGTTACTTTATATGGTGTACCAAATAAGTAATGTCATGGTTTTTCATTAGCCAATTTTCTTCCCATTGTGTCAATATTTCAGTCCTGGATTTTAATCTTATCTCAAAAACACATTGTCTTTATTCAAACTGCTTTTTCCAGTAATTAGTCTGATTATACACTTTAACCACTAGGGAGAGCTCAGGGATCTCAGTCACTCATTCCAGCCCAAGATCTAATAAGGGCCAAGGTCAAAATAGAGACTTCAAGGACATCCAGTGGGGACAAAATTAGCAACACAGCACACCCAACCTTCCCAAAGAAAATAATTTACTCTTAGAGATAAGCTAGAAAAAAAAATCAACTGTTTGATAAATATGTCACCATTCTGTTATTTATGTAATAGGAAAAAATGAAAACATACCAAAACAAAACAAAAATGCACACTGTAGCCTAATTCAGTGATGATGATAGTTCTGTCTCTATGTGTAGAGGTTAGAAGTGCAGGCTCCAGAGTCAGATCCTGGCTCTGTCACTTACCACCTGTATTCCTTGTCCAAATTACTAGACAGCTCTACACCCAGTTTGTCATCTACAAAATTCGGTCACTAATTGTGTCTGCCTCAAGGGATTTATAAAGATTAAATGAGTTACTATATACTAGTCCCTTACAACAGTGTCTGGCACAAAGTAACCACCCAGTAAATGTCAATAATCATCATCATCATCATTATCATCATCATGTTGCTGATTCATGTCGCCTACTCACACAAATTTTTGTCATGTTGACATATTTGCATTGCTTTACATAGCTCTGTATATGCATTTCTTATTATCATTCAGATATTCAATATCAATGTTTAGTCAACTGTGTTTTCTTTCTTGACAACTCAGATTATTTTTAAACAATATTCAAATTAAACTACTTCTTTTTTAATCCTGAAAATCTCTCAGTAGCTGTAATTCTCTAGCAACATGTTTCCATCTGTTGCTTCCCCTCCACCCTTCCACCTTCCTTTTCCACATTTTGTTCAGAAATAACAGAACAGATTAGGCAGCAGTCATCAAGACCCCTGGGTCCTGAAAGAGCTGTGTCCTACTGCACGGTAATTGCTGAGGACCACAAACACACTGACTGACTCAAGCCAACACAAAGCCTTCCTCCAGACATTATTCATTCATGCTAGATCTGTGTCACCACCATTGGGGTAGAGTTGGGTAGAAGAAAGAAAGGTTAGAGCCTTCTTCCTCTATACTATTTTCTGTTTTCTCTTGCTCCCAGGTTAAGTTATGGTTGTGCTAAAAAGGCCAAGCAGGACCAGAAAGGCACCTGTAGGAAAGGTGTGAACACACCTTAAGTATTAACATCTTTAATAATTAAGAAGGAGGGAAGTCCTTCTTAAGTCATCCACAAGTTGTCCAGCCAAGTGCCGGCAGTCTAGAGATCACTTAGTAATATAGGAAGAAGGCTCTTGCCTTCCTCCATGGGTAAGACCAAGGGGACAGATCTCACACGTTCCCTGTTGTAGACCACCTTCCAGGTATGTGGGACTGCAAAATTCCCTCCCAACCAGCCCAGAACTGCTTCCAGAGTGTGCTCACTTCATTGGTCTTCACTAGGTCCAGAGCAACTATTTATACAAGATGGACAGAGCTTGGATGTGCTGACAATGTCATCCACCCATGTGAATGTAAAACCCTTTGTGATACATGACAGAGCCCAGGGTATGCAAAGAATGGAGCAGGCCGCAGGCCTCAGCCAGAGGGTAGGGGCCATACATCCAGTGCTGCCACATTCCAGCATAGAACCCAGAGGAACTAAGGATTCCTAAATTCAAACTTGGTCTTTCAGCCATTGTGAAGCTAGGAACAAGGTAGGAGGATAGAATGTAATTTACATAGCACTCTGTTAGTTTAGTTAATAACTCTTTTAATATTTACGTTGTAAGTCCCCATTTGTACTCATGTGCCACATCATATTAACATGAGCATTTGCCTGCATCATGCTGTACATTCACTATTCCTTAAGAACCAAGGGTGGCCTAAAAGATCAGAAACCTAAAAGCATTTGGGTCATGAACCAGGACAATTTATCCTAACTAATAGTACAGAAACCAGTAGAGATAAGCACTTTAAAATGCCTAGATGATTCAAATACCTTTGTAACTCAGCACCTAGCATAGTGACTTGTCAAATGAAAAATGAAGAAATGAATGAACTCTGACTTTCCCAAAGGCTCAGACAACTTGAGAAACTTGAATATAGCCTTCCATTTGGCAGCAGCATTGCTGGTAATATGTGCAAGTGTCTTTGTGCCTGAGGAGCAATGAAGCTGATAAACAATAACAATAGCTTTGAAATTTGCGTAAAATGCATATAGAAAGAACTATTTTCTGCTTTTTAACAACACATTGAGGTACTCACATGTGTAAACCAGGAATGCTACACTTAGAAATAAGTGTCACTTATGTTTAACTCCTTGATTACATATTCAAATAAATGTACAGTTTTATTTGAATGTGTAATCCTATGTGAATGGGAGCATTCAAACAAACTCATTTGGTTCATTTATTTAGATCTCTGATGGCTCATTCTAGTAAAATGTATGTACTTTCCCCATTTTTCTTTTCAAACCATTAACTCAAAGAAACATAATTTAAAACATTTTGTTAAAATGGCTTTAAGGATGGTGGGTTTTTTTTTTCTTTCTTTCTGGTGCTGCTCCATTGAACTGCAATGCATAGAAATGAATGCATTGCTACAAAAATGAATATACATTATGTACAACCTCAACAACATTCTACTGAGTAAAATGTCCTCATGTATAACAATGAATTGTTTTATGTATAAAGAAAAAATATTGGTTCCACCAGAACTAAAGAGAAAAGAAATGCTGCTCTGCCTCCCCGACCACTTCAACTATTGTGGATTGCAGGATTGGTTGGGGGGAGATGGAAAACAGGTCTTTATCATTATATAAATGTTTAGCAGGTGATGGGGGAAAAAACAGTTCCAGGAAATTAGAAGAATATTTTTGTGTGTGAGTTATGTGGGCTTTTCCAATCTTGTAAGTGTGCTCCACAGCCACTGATCTGGGGAG
Source organism: Homo sapiens (assembly GCF_000001405.40). Lineage (NCBI taxonomy): Eukaryota > Metazoa > Chordata > Mammalia > Primates > Hominidae > Homo > Homo sapiens. Next base: position 106,130,839 of record NC_000011.10, on the reverse strand, counting down.
TGATGGGATTGCAGCTGAATTTCCAAAAGGTTAATCTTGGAGCCGTGTGTAAAAGGGCAAAGGAGAAAGAATAACTGGGAGAAAGGGAAATAAATAACTCTTAGTCTCAATGGAGTAACAAGGGCCTGAAATAGTGTCATAGCAACTGCAAAGGGAGATGGGGATGTGGTCAGCAGGTACTGATGATGGAGAAAGGAATGCGGGATTTGCAATTAAAAGAGTATTACTGCCTGGGCTGGGCACAATGTTTCACACCTGTAATCCCAGCACTTTGGGAGGCCGAGGCAGGCAGATCACCTGACGTCAGGAGCTTGAGACCAGCCTGGCCAACATATAGGGAAACCCTGTCTCTACTAAGAATACAAAAATTAGCTGAGCGTGGTGGGCCATGCCTGTAGTCCCAGCTACTTGGGAAGCTGAGGCAGGAGAATCACTTGAACCTGGGAGGTGGAGATTGCAGTGACCCAAGATCGCACCACTGCACTTCAGCCTGGGCAACAGAGAGAGACTCCGTCTCTCAAAAAAAAAAAAAAAAATTACTGCCTGTCCTCTCTCCTGAACCACAGCCCTTCACTTTAAAGCTCTGATGGACTTAACACACAGGGGTATCTTTCGGAAACTCAGAATGCTCATGATCCAGACTGAATTTGCCTTCTTTTAGTTTTTATTTTTTTCCACACAGTTCAGGGATATGTTAAAATTTTCCCCATCCTAGGAAACATTCTTTAACACTTTCTCTGGTCAACTCTGAGTCTCTATCATCAAACTACCTTTGCCTCTTGTCTCACACGTGTCTAACCACAACTTTCCTTCCTGCCTCACTGTTCGAGAGGAGATAGCATTTGGACAAGGACAAAAATGGTAAAATGAGCCTTAGATGGCAAGGGTGAAGGGATGGGCAACAAGTGTCTGCCTACCTTTTAGGCTTCTCATCTGTCTCTCTGGTCAATTTCAGACAGTAAGATGAGGTGTAAAATGATTATCTGGGAGGAAGGTTTCCTTCAGGGTTTGAGAGGAGCCAGGGTGGGCGCAGAGGACCAACTTGAGCCAGCTTAAGCCCCAACCAGTTCATTAGAGTGAAAGAAAACAAAAATTCAAGCCAAGACCCCCACAAAAACAAAGTGTGCGTTTGGCTGCAGCAGCACTTTGTGTTTTTCTGAGCAAACGCAACCTGGCAAAAGCCAGGCCACTCTTCGAATCTGGCATAGTTGGAAGGAGAGGTTCCCAACAGCAGGAAAGCCTATTAATGCCTCTACCCAGTGGAATCTTGCTTCCATTCCCATTGCTATATAGAAACGACTCTAGGAAATGACCTTTTCACTTCCCATCTGTGCACCCTCTACCTCGTGCTTCCCGGCTCTCTGTGGTGGTCCCTGGGCACTCCTGCTTGTCTCCAGGTTATGTCTGGCTCCCTCCACCCTCTCCAACTGCTCATGTGCAGCCTGCACCTCAAGCTCTTCTTCCTCCTCCTCCTTCTTGCCCTTATCTCTCTTCTGGATTTTTTTCTCCACCAGAAATCTTAATTCATCATATGGCTTCAAAATCCACATCCACCAAGCTAACTCCTACATCTCTATCTCTAGCTCCAAAATCTCACCTAAGCTCCAGCTTCATATTTTCGAATGTCTGCCAGGAACCTTCTGATATTTTTCAGACTTCTCCAAATGAATGCATCCAAAATGAAGCTTACCAGCCTACTTTCCAAACCTGCTTTCTCTTCTAAAGTTCCCTATAACACAATGCTCCCCGACATTTGTACTCAAAGTCTAATTGTTATTCATTCATTCACTGAAAGAAAGCCCTAACTGAATATCTTAATGTCATTACATTACCTTAATGTCATGCTCCACACACAGTTAGCCTCTGGTTACACATTCCTGCCTCAGCACCTTTAACTCATTTTTTCGTTATTAGTCCATCTATTGCTAAATTCTAACAACTCTATCTTGGTAATATCTTTCAAATTCATTCTGTCTTATGGAGTCCTGCTTTTACTATTCAAATCCAGACCTTTGTGAGTTTTTAGGTGGATCATTGCTATGGCCTCCCACAGTATATTCCTCCTTTCTAATTCATTTGACAGTTCATCCCCAAATTAATCTTTCCAAGACACAATTTTCATGGATCAGAAGCCAACATAGAGAGTGGAAAGACAGCTGCATCCCAACAAGCTATGTGACCCTTTGCAAATCACTTACTACCTTTTCTTAGCTTGTTTCTTCTTTTGTAAAATGAGACTAATGATTCTTTCCTCATCAGGGATGTTGCCAAGATTAATGAAATGATAATACCATTATTCTAAGTACTTTCACATATTGCTTCATTAAATCCTTTCAACAATGTCAAGTATGTACTATTAGAATATCCATTTCATAGATAAGGAAACTGAGGCACAATGAGGGAAAGTATTAATAATTTGCCTTAACTCATACAGCTAAGTAGTACAAATTCAGGATTGGAACCTAGGCAGTCGGATTCTAGAGTATAGGCTCTTGCCTGACACATAGTAGGCAAAAAACAGGAACTAAAATGTTAGTTCCTGTCATCTTCCCAGATATATATGAGCTTATTTTTCTCCTTTTTGCACAAACTAGATAAAGTTACATTTCTAACACTTGCATCTGAGTCTTAATACATGTGCCAACCAGTTGACACATGCTATCAACTCTGCTATCAACTCTGGTGAATAGCAGGGAGCACAGGAGCATCTCCGGCGGCCAACAAATCAAACTCCACACAAAGCCTTGTAACTTATTAATAATCTGTTTCAAATACATACAAAACATTTTGTTAAAAGGAAGAATGCACAGAAAGCTCGACAAAAGCATATTTCTAAAGTAAATTCTCTAAACAAAATCTCAAATGTTTACTCAAAAGCACAGGTAACTTCCAACAATCATCTTTGTAGTTCAGAGTGTATAGTTTAGATGTCAAACTTCCTCTCTATACTGGTATTGTTAGTGTCTCACTTGAAATGAACCTGTTGATAAGCTAGTAAACTTTAACTTGGCATACAATCTGCATTTGTTCTTCCCTTTCACGTTATTTATTTACTCATTTAACCATCAGTCAAATATTGAAGCAAAGTTTTAGATTAATGTGTTAGATAGCATTGCCACCATAAAAAGGGTTGCTAATCGTGCGGATGTCTACTTTGCATTGACAAATAAATATTTCATTCAATAAGAGCTTTGTCTCTTAAACATCTTACCACCCTGAAGCCAAAACTCCACTTTTACTTCCCCAGTCTTTCCTTCCCCAGCTGTAAAATGGACTCAAGTCTTCAGCCCTGGGAGCGTTCTCAGCATGTATTCTCTGCAGCAGGACTTAGTAGGAGAGCCGTCATTTAGACTGCTCAGGTTTATCTTTATCTTTTTATCCTGAGGATGCACATTGCACACACAGAATTTCTTTTTAAATTATACAATTTAAGTTAAGTAGTTTCAGCTATGCTGGCATTGTGAGCAAAGAATATGGAACAGGAGTTTTGAATTGTTTCTCATAGAGTATCTGCATATAGAGATGACGAATGCTAGTCTAGCTTTACAATAATGTCGTATAAAAATCAACCAACTAAATGAGTTTAATACAAGTCTGACGAAATAACAATACACCTGGCTGTATGTCATTTACAGGATCTTAATAGTTTGTATTGAGTTTTCAATGCTCAAGTCTAAATAAATAAATAGCTTGAAGTTTGAGCACTAATGTATTACCAATATCTTTCTACATTCAAGTACAGAAGACATAAAGCTGAGCCAGCTGTATTGTCTGGGTTAGAATTAATCTTTAGGCAGGCAGATGGCTTTTTATTTTTAAACAATTTATGCGAATTTTTCTCATCTCTGAAGCAAGCCTCATTAAGATTTATGGGCTTTGCAAATAATTCTGAAAGTTTTTATGGAGCCACAAGGTTGTTCTTTAAAACATCCAATCTCATGTTTGAGGAAAATGATAAACAGGTGACTTGGTCACTTCTATGTGATTCTCTCAATGAGAGGATTGACTGTCAATAAATAAGCTCATCTTCTTTTTGAAACATCAAGTTTTTAAATTTACCTTACTTATCTGCAGATAACACGTACATAAGAAGGATGAAGCATCTGTACTAACAGTTCCACTAAATCTCCCTTTTTTGACTCATGAAATTCTAGCTTTATTAACCATCCGAGTAATCCATTACTTTAAATCTTCCCAATGGCTTCCCATCATGTATAGAATAAAATTCAAATCCCTTAGCCTAATAAATTGTTGATGACCACCACCCTACCTACCATTCACATCTCACTGTAGCCCTCCTTGCAGATAACTCACGAACCTTAGAAGCTAAGTCTTCCGCCTAACCCACCCACATCCAACACAGAGAGCCAATGTTCTTTTTCCTACCTCCGAGCCTTTGCTGCTGCTTCCCTTTGCCTAGAATCACTTCTCTCTCCTATTAGCCCATCAAATAACACTTTCAAGATCAGGTTAAATATAAACTCCTTCATGTAGCTCCCTCAGGACTCTATTCCCACCCAGCGAGAGTTGACCTGCTTCTTTGTTTTCAACCATACTGTGCATATGTTCTTATAATGACATCAGTAACACTTTATTAAACTTATTTACCTATATGTATATCACCATTAAGAGATTATGAACTCCTTGAGTACAGAGACCATTTTATTTATCTTTATACTCAGTGATTAAAACATAGCTCACATACATTAGATAATAAATGGTGAGTGGATAAACAAACACATAAATAAATAAACTTTGCTTCTACACTAAAATTGAAAACTGGAAGGAAAGTTGAGCTGGGCAAGTTAGCTCAAATTTCTTAATCATCCTTTAAAAGTTCTATCTGAGCAGACAACAAGACATGACTTAAAAGCGAAGGATTTTTTCTGTTGAGAACAAGAGGTCTGAAATACACGTGCAGGTCATTATGGCTACAAACCTAATGCCCTTAAAGTCTGAGGTGATGAAAACAACAAAGATTTTGTTACTCTTCTGGGAAAACCAACAGTTCACACAAACGACTGTTGTTTTACAGAGAAATAAGCACCTTATTTTTTTTTTAATTTGCCATTTAAGGGTATGCCTGTTTAAAATACCGATTCCTTGACCCCATGCCAGCCCCACTGAATGAATCTGAATCTCTGAGGATGCGGACTATGTGGCTGCATTTTTTGCAAGCTTCCCAAACGTTTCCTAAAGTTTGATAACCACTTCTCTACAGCTGGTAGACATTGATAAGCATCAGTTTATGCCAAATGTCCCAGGTACTGCAGAGGGCTGCGATTGTTTCTCCCCGTTTCCTGACAGTTCTTAGAACTGGAGCTTTTTATTTTTCTTCTCTAATGCAAAGCTAGCAGCCCAGTTATACATGACTTTCTGACCCCCAAATCGTATTATTGCAAGGCGCATTTTTTGAGGTTTGCTTTGAAAAGCACTTCAAAGTGACAGATAATTCAGATTTCTCTGATTTATCTAATTAAAACTCTAAGCCCTGCTGGGCACACCACACTTGTGCTCTGCTTTCTGCACTAGTAGCATCCAATTTGCTGTAGGGCACAGGTCTATGGGCTTGAATCTGATCAAGCATAACATTAGCTTCAGAATATATTAATTAATATAATTATGTAATTAATGCCAGTAGGTGAATTAATATAAGATTTTATGGGGGTAAATTATATGCAGTACATGTTAGAAATATGCTATAAAATATTTCCTATCAGCTAAAGTTACATTATTATGGTATTTTCAGCAAATTTACACAACTGTAGTAAGATGTAATTGTCCTCTTAATGTCTAATTTACCAGGATATTATTTTATTCGTTTAGCTCTGGGTCCTGAAAGCTCTCCAGGTCAGGCCACAGTTGTGTTATTATTTCATTGTTGATCTCACGAACTTTTCAACTTATCTATGAAGTAGAATTTGATCTGTTTGAACAATAGAGAGTATATGAGTTTTTTTTTATTATTATACTTTAAGTTTTAGGGTACATGTGCACAATGTGCAGGTTAGTTACATATGTATACATGTGCCATGCTGGTGTGCTGCACCCATTAACTCATCATTTAGCATTAGGTATATCTCCTAATGCTATCCCTCCCCACTCCCCACACCCCACAACTGTCCCCAGAGTGTGATGTTCCCCTTCCTGTGTCCATGTGTTCTCATTGTTCAATTCCCACCTATGAGTGAGAACATGCAGTGTTTGGTTTTTTGTCCTTGCAATAGTTTACTGAGAATGATGATTTCCAGTTTCATCCATGTCCCTACAAAGGACATGAATTCATCATTTTTTATGGCTGCATAGTATTCCATGGTGTATATGTGCCACATTTTCTTAATCCAGTCTATCATTGTTGGACATTTGGGTTGGTTCCAAATCTTCGCTATTGTGAATAGTGCCGCAATAAACATACATGTGCATGTGTCTTTATAGCAGCATGATTTATAATCCTTTGGGTATATACCCAGTAATGGGATGGCTGGGTCAAATGGTATTTCTAGTTCTAGATCCCTGAGGAATAGCCACACTGACTTCCACAATGGTTGAACTAGTTTACAGTCCCACCAACAGTGTAAAAGTGTTCCTATTTCTCCACATCCTCTCCAGCACCTGTTGTTTCCTGACTTTTTAATGATTGCCATTCTAACTGGTGTGAGATGGTATCTCATTGTGGTTTTGATTTGCATATCTCTGATGGCCAGTGATGATGAGCATTTTTTCATGTGTCTTTTGGCTGCATAAATGTCTTCTTTTGAGAAGTGTCTGTTCATATCCTTTGCCCACTTTTTGATGGGGTTGTTTGTTTTTTTCCTGTAAATTTGTTTGAGTTCATTGTAGATTCTGGATATTAGCCCTTTGTCAGATGAGTAGGTTGCGAAAATTTTCTCCCATTTTGTAGGTTGCGTGTTCACTCTGACGGTAGTTTCTTTTGCTGTACAGAAGCTCTTTAGTTTAATTAGATCCCATTTGTCAATTTTGGCTTTTGTTGCCATTGCTTTTGGTGTTTTAGACATGAAGTCCTTGCCCATGCCTATGTCCTGAATGGCAATGCCTAGGTTTTCTTCTAGGGTTTTTATGGTTTTAGATCTAACGTTTAAGTCTTTAATCCATCTTGAATTAATTTTTGTATAAGGTGTAAGGATGGGATCCAGTTTCAGCTTTCTACATATGGCTAGCCAGTTTTCCCAGCACCATTTATTAAATAGGGAACCCTTTCCCCATTGCTTGCTTTTCTCAGGTTTGTCAAAGATCAGATAGTTGTAGATATGCAGCATTATTTCTGAGGGCTCTGTTCTGTTCCATTGATCTATATCTCTGTTTTGGTACCAGTACCATGCTGTTTTGGTTACTGTAGCCTTGTAGTATAGTTTGAAGTCAGGTAGTGTGATGCCTCCAGCTTTGTTCTTTTGGCTTAGGATTGACTTGGCGATGTGGGCTCTTTTTTGGTTTCATATGAACTTTAAAGTAGTTTTTTCCAATTCTGTGAAGAAAGTCATTGGTAGCTTGATGGGGATGGCATTGAATCTATAAATTACCTTGGGCAGTATGGCCATTTTCACGATATTGATTCTTCCTACCCATGAGCATGGAATGTTCTTCCATTTGTTTGTATCCTCTTTTATTTCCTTGAGCAGTGGTTTGTAGTTCTCCTTGAAGAGGTCCTTCATGTCCCTTGTAAGTTGGATTCCTAGGTATTTTATTCTCTTTGAAGCAGTTGTGAATGGGAGTTCACTCATGATTTGGCTCTCTGTTTGTCTGTTATTGGTGTATAGGAATGCTTGTGATTTTTGTACATTGATTTTGTATCCTGAGACTTTGCTGAAGTTGCTTATCAGCTTAAGGAGATTTTGGGCTGAGACAATGGGGTTTTCTAGACATACAATCATGTCATCTGCAAACAGGGACAATTTGACTTCCTCTTTTCCTAATTGAATAACCTTTATTTCCTTCTCCTGCCTAATTGCCCTGGCCAGAACTTCCAACACTATGTTGAATAGGAGTGGTGAGAGAGGGCATCCCTGTCTTGTGCCAGTTTTCAAAGGGAATGCTTCCAGTTTTTGCCCATTCAGTATGATATTGGCTGTGGACCAGATGGATTCACAGCCGAATTCTACCAGAGGTACAAGGAGGAACTGGTACCATTCCTTCTGAAACTATTCCAATCAATAGAAAAAGAGGGAATCCTCCCTAACTCATTTTATGAGGCCAGCATCATCCTGATACCAAAGCCGGGCAGAGACAAAACCAAAAAAGAGAATTTTAGACCAATATCCTTGACGAACATTGATGCAAAAATCCTCAATAAAATTCTGGCAAACCGAATCCAGCAGCACATCAAAAACTTATCCACCATGATCAAGTGGGCTTCATCCCTGGGATGCAAGGCTGGTTCAATATATGCAAATCAATAAATGTAATCCAGCATGTAAACAGAACCAAAGACAAAAACCATATGATTATCTCAATAGATGCAGAAAAGACCTTTGACAAAATTCAACAACGCTTCATGCTAAAAACTCTCAATAAATTAGGTATTGATGGGACGTATCTCAAAATAATAAGAGAGTATGTGAGTTTTTGAATAATGAGTCAAATGTTCAAACAATAGTTTTTTTCTGAGGTTAGTGCCACAATTGCAAAATAAACCATTTCCAAGGAAGTCTAATGGCGATCATTCCTCAAATTCTTCTCTTCTTAGAAAAATGGGCTGTGCCTTGAGGTGGTTGCATGTTTTTATTTGCCTTTTCAGTGATTTCATTGAAGAGTAGATATAAAGTTTACTTCCACTTATAAATTCATGAAACTGTAGTATATATGAGCCAGTGGGACTTTTGAGGTTAACTTCTTTATTCAAGGTAAGGTCAGTGGCAAAAATGGGACTACAATCAGCTCTACTCTTTCTACGGTAACCAAATACCCCATTTTCCTAAAAATTATCTTCAACCTCTTTTCCTTTTCCCTGTTTGTTCACCTTTTACTTAGCTCTTCAGGAATGCAATTAAAACCTTTACCTTCACTCCACTAGGCACTTACTGCACTGCAAGTTTATCTACGTGTTTACTCAGAAGTTCCAGGGAGGAGTCTTTAAACAAACCAGGCACTTCCAGAGCTATCTCCCCTACTGCGAGATTGCCTCCAGACAAGTCCTAATTTACAGCCTACCTTTGCCTGTGATCGCACCACCCAGACCACCCAATGAATAAGACATTGAACAAGTCATGTAGACCTGGCACCTCCTTGCTCACTCCCCTGCATGCTATTCACACTAAGTTCCCCTTTAAAGACCCTGCTTTCTGCCCTGAAAGCTGAAGTGGTGCCCTCAAGGCAGGTGCCTATACTACCTCGCCTCAGCTAGCTCTGGAATAAGGTCACTTTGTGTCTACTAGACCTCGCTCTTGTTAATTGAACACTGCCAGTGGAAAGCAACTGGACTTGCATTTGGTTACACGACTAATGACGCTTTCTCCTGTTTTATAAATTCAACTTAATTGATTTAACATATGCAAATTACATGCCTACTTTGTATAAAGGAAACATCTTTTTAAACATATAAGGTTTTCTTTAGGTAGGGCATGGTGTTTTATGCCTATAATTGCCTGTAATCCCAGCACTGTGGGAAGCCCAAGCAAAAGAATTACTTGAGGCCATGAGTTTGAGACCAGTCTGGGCCACAAAGGAAACCCCGTGTCTACAAAAAAAATTTTTTTTATTTTTTTAGAAAGCGATCACTGGGGCGTGGTGGCTCATGACTGTAATCTCAGCACTTTGGGAGGCTGAGACAAGTAGATTGCTTGAGACCAGGAGTTCGAGCACAGACTGGGCAACATGGCAAAACCCTGTCTCTACAACAAATACAAAAATTAGCCAGGCATGGTGGTACATGTTGGTAGTCCCAGCTATTCAAGAGGCTGAGGTGGGACGATCACTTCAACCCAGGAGACAGAGGTTGCAGTGAGCCAAGATCATGCCACTGTACTCCAACCTAGGTGACAGAGTGAGACTCTGTTTCAAAAAATATAAAATAAAAGTGATTACCCCAAAATATCTGCGACAAAATCTCTCTTTTAATACAAGACACCATTTCTTTATAAAGTTTTTGTTAAAACTAAATGTATAACCGATAGTAATAACATTAATCTGACAAAAAAATTATTACATATCCATTCATGTATTTGTTCATTCATCCACTCAATTATCAAGCATTTATTTAGAGTCCCATCGTGTAAGGCACAGCCAGGTCTAAGGCTATGTAGATAACAAGAAAGGGTTTCTGCCCTTGAGGAATTTATGGTTTAGTGGGGAGAGACAGAGTGATCAATCAATAAATACAAACATACATATTTTGATCCAGGCAAGGAAATGTTGAAATAGTAGTTCAAAATACAACATGAAGAAGTCAACACGATAACATTTGTGATGGGTTTTGAAGTATTACCTGACCACCTGTTTTGAACATTAAAATGCAATTAATGGGTCCCTGGCAGTGTCATGCTTGGAGTTACCATCTATCAGGTATAAGAAATTCAGACTAACTTCACAACTCTCATTTTCTCCTCTTTTACACATCAAAGGGGGAGTAGGTACCAGTTTTGCCCTAACCCAGTTTGCTAACTAATTCATGGCAACTGAACCTTTAAAACTGACTTTGGCAGGCAGTGTTGGAAGCATGGGGTTTCGGTGGTTACTCCAGGGAATAAGGCAGCATCTTATCACAGTTGTAAAGACCCTTTGAGGGTGGAAGAACCCACTCCCCAGCATTATGCTCTGAGAAGAGACCTACTTTATACAAAGTAGGCATCTAATTTGTATATGTTAAATCAATTAACTTGAATTTATAAAACAGTAGAAAGCATCATTAGTAGTATAACCAAATGCAAACGGTCCTTGAAGATCAGTGCTCTCTCATCCTTTCACCTATTTATATTCACAGAACACAGAACACAGAACTGGCCCAGAGTGGTGAGGTTGCTCAGGTTGCAGAGGGCCTGTCATTTCAGAGGATGGTGACTGGGTAGCCAGCTGTGAGGCAAAGCCTTTCAGGAGCAAAGGCAAGACCTGAAGAAGGGAGTGTGGACGGCAGCACTTCTGTGGAGGAAGCTGGCTCTAAAGGCTATTTGAGGAAGGTATAGTGTTTGATTCAAATGACTTCCCACCCTAATGGGCCCAAAGTGTTTGAGACTTTTCTGAGCTGTTTTTTCAGTTCACCTGTCCAGTTGCTTCCTGGAGAGCAAAGTGGCTGGGTCAGAACTAGTTGCAGGATTTGCTGCATCATGGTAACAGAATCCAACTCTTTGCTCCTTCCCACAACTCAAAACTACTTCCAGTCCTGACTTTCACAATTGCAATAAAAATTGTCACCTTTCTCTGTCACTGAGCTTTGGTAAGGAACATCCTAGTCCACCAGAAAACCAAATCCCAACTCAGTTTCTTCTTCCTGGAATGTCCACATGCTTCTTATTTATCCAACCCTTTTCAAGAACACTCTGATTCCAATGCTAAGAGGCGCTGGCTTCCATAAATCAAAAGAAAATGTCTATATACCTCGTCCACAGAAGGGAGGGGTCCTTAAGACCTACTTAACAATGAACTTCTATCTCTAAGCAGTATAGCACTGTGGTTCAAAGTGAAGACTTTAGAGCCAGATTCCTTGCATTTGAGATATCCTGGCTCTACCACTTACTATCTGAATAATTTTAAACTTTCTGTGTCAACTCATTTGTAAAATAGACATTGTAATAGCCCCACTTCATGGGGTTGCTATACTACCTATAATTAAAACAGATAAAGCATTTAGATCAAAGTAAGTAAGCACAATATAAATGTTAGTGAGTACTATTATTTTACTAAAAGCAGCTGCAAGCTGCTTTCATAAGAAACAAAGATCTCTGTGGTAGAATGCTTTACTACAGAAGGAAGAATAAGAAATTGTTAAGGAGGATGGGCGCGGTGGATCACCACTGTAATCTCAGCACTTTGGGAGGTCGAGGTGGGTGGATCACCTGAGGTCAGGAGTTCGAGACCAGCCTGACCAATATGGTGAAACCCTGTCTCTACTAAAAATACAAGAATTAGGTGGCATGTGCCTGTAGTCTCAGCTCCTCGGGAGGCTGACACGGGAGAATTGCTTGAACTCGGGAGGCGGAGGTTGCAGTGAGACAAAAGCGTGCCACTCCACTCCAGCCTGGGTGACAGAGACTCTGTCTCAATAAAAAAAAAAAGAAATTTTTGAACAAACATTCAAAACATCCCAAAAGAAGAGAAAATATAAAAGTATGAAGGTTTTTAATTTTTCAACAAATATTTATTGAGGCTCTATTCAAAGCAAAAGGAATACAGCCATGAACAAAACGGACCACAATCTCTGCCCCCATGGAGTTAATATTTAATAGGGGTAGAAGGACAGATAAATACACAAGATACTTAGGTAAAATGACTAATATATCGGATCATGATGATAACTCTGAGAAAAAAAAATAAATGGAATGGGGGATAGAAATTAGAAAAAGAAGGTGCAATTGTAGTTAGGGTGGCCAGGGAAGGCTTTATTGACATGCTAATATTTTCACGCGGGCCAGAAGGAGGTAAGGATTCAATTCACTGGCAAACCAGGGGAAGATTTTCCAAGATTTTTGTAAAGTTTCACAAGTGGAAACTTGCATGGTGTGTGTGAATAACAGCAAGAAGGCCAGTACAGTTGGGGCAGAGTAAGGGAGGGAAGGATTGATAGAAGATAATGTCAAAGAGGTAGCAGGGAGCCAGATAATGTATGCTTTCTGTATTAGTCAAGGTTCTTTAGAGGGACAAGACTAATAGGATGGATGTATATATGAATGGGAGTTTATTAAGGAGTATTGACTCACATGATCACAAGGTTAAGTCCCACAACAGGCCATCTCCAAGCTGAGGAGCAAGGAAGCCAGTCCCAAAACCTCAAAAGTAGGGAAGCTGTCAGTGCAACCTTCAGTCTGTGGCTGAAGGCCCGAGAGTCCCTGGCAAACCACTGGTACAGGTCCAAGGGTCCAAAAGCTGAAGGACTTGGAGTCTGATGTTCGAGGGCAGGAAGCATCCAGCACTGGAGAAAGATGGAGACCAGAAGACTCAGCCATTCTAGTCCCTCCACGTTCCTCTGCCTGCTTTCGTCCTAGCCGCTACTAGCAGCTGACTAGATGGTGCCCACCCAGATTGAGGATCTGCCTCTCCCAGTTCACTGACTCAACTGTTAATCTCCTTTGGCAACACCCTCATAGACATACCCAGGAACTATACCTTGCATCCTTCCATCCAATCAAGTTGACTATAATAACCATTACAAGTCCTCCCCTTGTCAATTTGAACCCATACACGTGTCCTGAAATCATACATCATCTTCAAATAAAGACAATAATAAGGTCATAATTACACCTAATATAATACAGTTATTCTTTGTATAACCGAAAGTGCACCAATCCCCAACCCAAATACTATTACATAAAGTTAACATCACTTAAATGCTGATATAAAGTCAATAAAGCTTATGTCACATGATAAAGGAAAAAGAAAGGAAATAAGATGGAGATATTTTTAGTTCAAGTGTATACATGAACAAACATGTTCTTAACAAAAGGAGGAGGAAATATTCATGACAATTATGGTTCTCGTTTCTGCAACTGGTCATGTGGTTGTAGCTGGTATTGATGCCTAACCTCCTTCTACTACCCATTCTGTATTCCCTTTGCCTTTCGCAAGCACCTCAGCAGGTCATGGCTTTTTACCTGGTGGAGTGAACCAAACCTTCATTCCTGAAGGGTCTGGGGCCATTTGCAGTCCTGCCTGGATTGGGTTGTTGTTGTTTCCCATTGACCTTAATCACAGGTCATGGTAACACTAAGAGGTACCGTAAGGGATCTCCTGTATTCCACGCATACTCTTCTTCACCTCCATTGTGGAGTAGAAGACTGATATCATTTTGATAGTCTGGGTCAATCACCTCAGCCAACACTGTAACTCCCTTCTTAGCCTGTTGACAGAGGTAGAAGGAGCCCAAAGTGGCCAGGTGGCAATTTTAACTTCTAGCTTAATGGAATCAGTGTTGTGTCTCCTGGTGGCAGCGTTCCTCCCAATGCAACTAAGACCTCTAGGCCAGTAGAATGTGATGTTGTGGGAACAGGAAGCAAAAATTTTGCTAGTGGGTCACTAGAAGTGATGGTGAGCGGTGCCACTTCTGCTTCCACCCCTTGATTCCTGGACCTGTGAATCCTGGCTATAGGAGAAACAGTACTGTATATTGGATGCTGATTCAGAGCATACAAAGCCTTCTGGAGAACTTTGTCCCAGCCCTGCAAAATATTGTCACCTAGTTGGCGTTGTAATTTCAAAAGGCCATTCCACCATTCTATCATCCTGCTTCAGAATGATGGGGAATGGAGTAAGACCAGTGAATTCCATGAGCATGAGCTCACTGCTGTACTTCTTTAGCCATAAAGTGAGTGCCTTGGTCAGAGGCAATGCCATGTGAAACACCATGATGGTGGATAAGGCATTCCATGAGTCCATGAATGGTAGTCTTGGCAGAAGCATAGAATGCAGGATAGGCAAAGCTATATCTAGAGCAACTGTCTATTCCAGTTAGGACAAACCACTGTCCTTTCCATGATAGAAGAGGTCCAATATAATCATTTCATGTTGTTAACTTGCCACCAAGTAGCTGGCTGATCACCCTGAGGAATGGTGACACACTGAGGACTCAGCGTTGTTCTCTGCTGCTGGCAAATTGGGCACTCAGCAGTGGTTGTAGCCAGGTCAGCTTTGGTGAGTGGAAGTTCATGTTGCTGAGCCCATGTGTAACGTCCATCCCTGCCACCAAGGCCACTTTGTTCATGGGCCTATTGGGTGTTGACAGGGGTGGATGGGGAAAGAGGCTGAGTAGTGTCCATAGAATGAGTCATCCTATCCACTTTATTAAAATCCCCCTTTGCTGAGGTCACCCTTTGGTGAGCACCCACAGGAGACACAAATATCTTCACAGTTTTTGACCACTTAGAGAGGCCCATCCACATACCTCTTCCCCAAATTTCTTTGTCACCAATTTTCCAATCATGCTTCTTCCAAGTCCCTGACCATCCAGCCAAACCATTGGCTACAGTCCTTGAATCAGCATATCATCACACATCTGGCCGTTTCTCCTTCCATGCAAAGTGCACAATGAGGTTCGCTGCTCGAAGTTCTGCCCAATGGGAAGATTTCCCTTCACTGCTGTCCTTCAGGGATGTCCTAGAAAGGGGCTGTAGTGCTGCAGCTGTCCACTTCAGGTGGTGCCCGCATATCATGCAGAACCATCTGCGAACCAGGCCCTAGTCTTCTCTTCATCTGTCACCTCAGCATTGGGAACTCCCCATGAGGCCACTGGTGTAGGCTAGTGGGGAGAAGGCAGGGTGGCAGGATTGGGGACCATGGGCATTTGAGCCACTTCCTCATGTAACTTACTTGTGCCCTCAGGACCTGCTCAAGCCCAATCACGTACATGCCACTTTCATTTGATGATGGAATGCTACCATGCACATCCCGCTTTATGACCAGATGTGTCAGAAAGCACTCAGTTCATGATAGGCAGTTCAGGTTGCATGGTGACTTGATGACCCATAGTCAAACGTTCAGTTTCTACCAAAGCCCAGTAACAGGCCAAGAGCTGTCTCTCAAAAGGAGAGTAGTTACCTGCAGAAGATGATGGCAGGGCCTTGCTCCAGAATCCTAGAGGCCTCTGCTATGATTCACCTATGGGGGCCTGCCAAAGGCTACAAACAGCATCCCTATCTGCCACTGGCACCTCAAGCACCATTGGCTCTGCTATGTCATATAGCCCAAGTGGCAGAGCAGCTTGCACAGCAGCCTGGACCTGTTGCAGAGACTTCTCCTGTTCTAGACCCCACTCAAAACTGGCAGCTTTTTGGGTCATTCGATAAATGGGCTGGAGTAACACACCCAAATGAGGAATGTGTTGCCTCCAAAATCCAATTAGGCACACTAGGCTCATGGTAATGACCTTGGGTTGGGGCCTTTTTTTATTTTTCTGATGAGCAAGGGCATGATCTTGGTTTTTAATATAACAGAGTTGGAAGACCACGGAGCTTTTTAAGTGGAGGAATCAGATAATCAGACCTAAGTTAAAAAAGAAAAAAAAAGCATTCTGGTTTATGTATTAAAAAATAAAATAGTGAGTTAGAGAGGCAAAAATAAGGAAACAACTGACAAGGCTGTCGCAACATTCTAGATGAAGAATGATGGTGGCTTGGACCACAGTGGTAATTGTCGAGGTGATGAAAAGTGGTCTGATTTAGATATATTTCAAATAAAAGGCCAACAGTACTTGCTGACAGATTGGATGTGAGGGTGGGGTATGCAAGAAAGGGAAGAGTAAAGGAAACTCCAAGATTTTTAACTCAAGCATCTGAAAAAATAGAATTTATTTTTACCATGGAGACATAACTGTGGAATTAACAGATTTTAAGGAAATGAAGATTTCATTTTGGGACATAATGTATTTGAGATACTTTTTAGACGTCCAAGTGAAGATGTCAAATAGAGAGATATATGAGCCTAGAGTTCAGGGGAGAGCTCTGGACCAGAGACATAGATTTGGTGATAATCAATGTATAAATGTATTTAAAGAGAATGAGTGTAGAAAGAGTAGAGATCTGAGGACTGGATCTAGGACCTGCCAACATTTAGGGTTTGGGGAGATAAATGGAATTAGCAAAGGAGACTGAGAAAAACTGACCAATGAGAAAAAAAAAAACTTGAAGTAGTATCCTAAAAGTGAAGATGCTGTATCAAAAAAGAAAGCATTTACAGTGAGTTAAATGCTGCTGATAGGTCAAGTAAGATGAGGACTGAGAACTGCCCAAAGGACTTAGCAACATGGAAGTCTTTGGTGACTTTGAAAAAAGAAGTATCAGTGGTCAATGAGGCCTGATTTGAGTTGGTTTTAGAATTATTATAATAGATAAGAAGAACTGTAGATGATGAAGTCATCTCCAGTTTTTGCAGAAAAGGGAAACTGAAATATGGTACAGTATCCAAGAGGGAAGGATGGAGTGAAAGAGGATTCTTTCTTTCTTTTCTTTCTTTTCTCTTTTTCTTTCTTTCTTTCCTTTCTTTCTTTCTCTCTCTCTTTCTTTCTCTCTCTTTCTTTCTCTCTCTTTCTCTTTCTTCTTCTATCTCTCTCTTTTTCTTTCTCTCTCTCTTTCTCTCTTTCTTCTCTCTTTCTCTTTTTAAAAAAGCATCAGTTTGGTGAAAAAAGGAGAGGATTTCTTTTTAAGATGAGAAAAGTAACAACATGTTTATGTTTCTGGGAATGATGCCATAATTGACGGGAAATTGATGTGCCAAAGAGGTGAGATTTTCCAAAGTACCATCCGGAGTAGAGGGAATGAATCTAGTGTCCAAATCAAGGGGCTGGGCTTAGACAGGAGTGTGGACATTCCTCTCTAGTGGCAGGAGGGAAGGCACACTGCCTGGGCACAGATGTAGCAAGGTGGGTGGATGTGATGGAGGAAGCTTGGGGAAATTCTCTTCCGAGACATCTGCTTTTTCAGTGGAATAGGAAGCAAGGTAATCAGCAAAAAGCAAAGATGGAGAATGTATTAGAAATTGAAGAAGAGAAGGGAAAGTATGGAAAAGTTATCTGGGTGAGTGGACCAGGAATGATTGTGGGGCAGCACTACAAACCATTTAATATTGGGTCATGAATTGAAATGAGAGCAATCAGCTGGGAAGGACAAGTACAGAAAAGGCAGAGGGTAAATGGATTTAGGGGTCTGAAAGTCAATGAGGAGCAAGTATACCTAAGGAGTGGAATAGTGAAATAAAGTTGAGAAGTGAAGATTTGGAGGAGGTTTGTAACTGGAGTGTTGTAAGCCATATTAAGGACTTTATACTTGAACCTACAGGATAAGAGAGAGCTAAAACCCTGTTTTTCAGGGAAGACAATGGCACAATTTAATTTGGTTTGCAAGAAAGACAGTTCTGGAAAGTATGAACAGGACAGACTGAAAATTGTATTGGTGGATATACAGACCATGTGTTGGTACCTATAATGTCTTCTTAGAATCAGGACATATAGTTCACCCTGTAAAACGAAACTGGCAAATAAAAAGTTTCCTAAAGAAATGTTGAAAAATCTGAACCCATCATGAGTTCCCATTAAGCTTATCTAACTGGCTTTCTTAATTTTCCTAGGTACCTCACATAAATGAACTCTTGTGCTCTGAAAGAAAAGTTTGTTCTTGCCCTGCCTCAAGGTCAGCAGAAAGAAAATATTCTCTTACAACATGGCATGTAAGAAATAGAGAAAAGAGGAAAGAAAATCTATTTGAAATAAAGCAACCATTTCTCATGATGAAAAATCTGCACAATTACTTTGGACGCAATATATTGCACCTGTTTCTGGCTGATGCCTCCTAAATTAGGCTTTTAAGTGATCAAATACTGCACGTTTCACACATACCCTAAAAGTAGTATGAAATACAAGTGACTGGGATAAAACATAAGTAAACTAGGAATGAAAATGTCATTTTTTTCTATAAAATTGAAATAATTGCTTTGGGAACAGTTTTCTATTTGATAGCTACATGAGTATATCTATCTTGACCTGTCAACTTTTTTTGAGAAATACCATTTTTAATGATAATTCTAAATACAAATGTGGTTAAAGTCCAGGGAGAAGTAAGTATTTTTTCCCTTAGTAAATTAATCATGCCCAAAGTTGAAAGGATGTCAGTTTTGCAAAAGGCAATTTTGACAAATGATGTATTTGATATTTGAACACTGATTTCTGCAAATACAAATGCAGGAATGCTGTGTCCTTAACGCAAAATTACATGCCATTATTTTTTACAAATCTGGAAATTCTTTTCCACATGAATATTGTCCTCAAGGGATTGTATTTATTCATCTACACTTTTCTTTCTCAAATGACTACCTTTATTAAGATTCCAGGATAAGGCTTTTCTAGCCTATCTCAGCTTTAAAATGGCTTTAATTCATATGTTTCAAGATGCACAGCTTTATCTTGAATATTCAAATAAAAGAAAAATACCTCAAATTAAATTTTTTTTTTCTGAGAGTGTCTTGATATATTGTCCAGGTTGGCCTCTAACTCCTGGGCTCAAGGGATTCTCCTGCCTCAGTCTCCAGAGTAGCTGGGACTACAGATGTGCACCACTGAGCTTGGCTCATATTAATTCTTTGATTGTTAAATAAAATAGGTCTCCAACAATGATATAAACCGAATTTCATCAGATTATGCTTACCTCTTCCGTGTTACTAAGTGATTAATGTTTTCAGTCAACTTCATGACCAACTGCACTCATTTATATATGAGGGGTTCCTAGGAAAACAACAGGAATTTATACTTGAAAATTCAGAGTATTTCTTTGTTTCAATTATCATTCACTGCAAATGTTTCACTGTCTACAGGTCTATTTTAAATCCCTAAATTAATATCAGATTTCACAGGTATTGATTATTATCTAAGTCTTTAGCTCCTTCACAGTGTTCATATGCTCTGAAAAGATATTTATTTGGATAAAATGCTCTAACCTTTTATTTTTAGGAGCTTCATATACACAGAAATAAAAAACCAGTAACATTTTCCTTATACTTAAGAGTCAATGAAAGCACCATCTCTGCCCTTCCACCTCTTGACACCAATTTAAAAACTACCATTAAATGGCCACTAGATCATCATCCACAAACTCTGAGCAACAGTTTGTTTGGAAATGCAAAATAAAAACCAGAGTTCAACAGTTATAAGTAGTTGCACTATGACCTATAGTATTTCTATTTGTATATCAAAATTATGGACAGCTATTTTTTTATCAACTTAATGATTTCACAACTGGTATCCACTGGAATTAAGTTTTTCATTGCCAACATGATATATATTTTAAAGCAAAGCTCTTTCTAAAATATAAAATCAATAAAAAAATTTCTATTTTAAACAATCATCTACACCCAAAGAGACAATGATATTCACTTAATTATAAGTAACTGGCTTTCAAAGCCTACTACGGTTTTCACCAATAAAGCCCTGGCATTTTTATCAAGAACATATGTTACACTGTTTTAACAAAAGCAATGAAATAAACAAACAAACAAAAAACAAACAAACAAAAAAAACAAAAGCAATGGCTTTTTCCTTTACATTTTAGTATAAAATTATAGCCGTTGCTTCAACATTATTAATTCATTGTGTAATTCTGACACTTTCATAAGGAAACAACTTTTAATATTTTTTAATTGTTAAATTGTGCAGAATAAATTTAAATGATCATCAAGGACTATACAAATTGCAGTAGTAAAAAATATAAATATAACATCCAAATTCAATTTATGGGGATAATTATTCAGAATCTAAACTTAATCTCATTTCCTGAAACAGGAGACTTCCTTCAAGGGCAGCTTCACTCACAACATATAAGGCAGAAGTATGATTTTCACCATTCATCTTGATGACAATGTGGTATAGATATAAAAGAATGTGCTTTTGAGTCTGTGGAAACTAAATTAAAATCAGAATGACATCATTTATGAGTTAATATGACCTCTGAAAAATTGTCTAATTTCCTTGGGCCTCAGATTTTACATTCTTGAAATACAAGTAACGGTGCTTACTTTGTAGTGTGGCTATGATGTTTAAATTAAGAATATTAGTCAAGTGTTAACAGAATGCCTGGAACTTAAGAGTCCAAAGGTGGAAGGAAGACAGAGATTTTATACAAATAAATATAGAAATATATACAGTAATGTAGCAGATTATGACATTTTGGTCAATGATAGACCACATATACAATAGTGGCCTCATAAGATTATAATGGGGCTGAAACATTCCTATTGCCTAGTGGCATAATAGCTGTTGTAACTTCACAGCACCATGTATTATTCGCGTGTTTGTGGTGATGCTGGTGTAAACAAACCTGCAACACTGCCGGTTGTATGAAAGTCTAGTGCATACAAGTATGTTCAGTACAGAATACTTGATAATGATAACAAATGACTGTTACTGGGTTGTGTATTTACTATAGTATACATTTAATTGTTATTTTAAAATTTACTCCTTCTACTTCTGTGAAACAGCCTCAGGCAAGCCCTTTAGGAGATATTCCAGAAGGCATTGTTATCAGGAGATGACAGATCCTTGTATGTTATTGCCCCTGAAGACCTTCCAGTGGGACAAGATGTGGAGGTGGAAGACAGTGACATTGATGGTCCTGAATCTGTACAGGCCCAAACTAATGTGTGTGCATTGCGACTTAGATTTTAACAAAAAGTAAAAAAAAGTCCCAATTTCAAAAATAGAGAAAAGCTTATAGAATAAGGATACAAACAGAAAATATTTTTGTAGAGCATACGATGTGTGTGTTTTAAGTTTTGTTACAAAAGAGTAAAAATGTTTAAAACATAAAAGTCTATAAAGTTTAAAAGCTATACTAAGCTAAAGTTAATTTATTATTGAAGAAGGAAAAATATTTCTTTTTTTTTTTTTTTGAGACGGAGTCTCGCTCTGTCGCCCAGGCTGGAGCGCAGTGGCGGGACCTCGGCTCACTGCAAGCTCCGCCTCCCGGGTTCACGCCATTCTCCTGCCTCAGCCTCCCAAGTAGCTGGGACTACAGGTGCCCGCCACCACGCCCGGCTATTTTTTGTATTTTTTAGTAGAGACGGGGTTTCACCGTTTTAGCCGGGATGGTCTCGATCTCCTGACCTCGTGATCCGCCCGCCTCGGCCTCCCAAAGTGCTGGGATTACAGGCGTGAGCCACCGCGCCCGGCCGGAAAAATATTTCTTATAGTGTTAGTGTAGCCGAGGTGTATAGTGTTGATAACATCTGCAGTAGTGGATAGTAAGGTCCTAGGACTCCACATTGACTCACTACTCTCTCACTGATGCACCCAGGGCAACTTCCAGCCCTGTAATCTCTATTCATGGTAATTGCCCTATACAATGTGTACCATTAAAAATGGCATACCACTTTTAGTCTTTTATACCATATTTTAACTGTACTTTTTCTACGTATAGATATGTTTATATACATAAATACTTACCATTATGTTATAATTGCCTACAGTATTCAGTACAGTAATATGTTGTTCAGATTTGTAGCCTGGGAGCAATAGCCTCTACCATATAGCCTAGGTGTGTAGTAGGCTGTACCATCTAGGTTCGTGTAAGTATATTCTATAATGTTCACACAATAATGAAATCACCTAATGGACACATTTCTCATAATATAGCCCTATCATTAAGCAACGCATGACTGTACTTGAAAATTGGAATATTGGCAAAGAAAGAAAGAGATTAGCATTATGTGAGCAAATAGAGAGAATGGGGAAATAAATAATCCATCTGAGAAAGTGAATAATTATGTCATAGGGGTAGAGACATGTTGTGGGATGAATTTTGTCACCCCAAATTCATATGTTGAAGTCCTAATCCCTAGTATCTCAGAATGTGCCAGTATTTGGACATAAGATAATTAAGGGGTAATTAGGGTTAAATGATGTCATTAGGGTGGGCACTAATCTAATATGACTGGTGTCCTCGTAAGAAGAGATGAAGACACAGATCAACATAAAGACCATGCAGAAACACAGGGAGAGGGGGAGAGGAGGGTCATCTACAAACCAAGGAGAGAGGTCTCAGAAGAAACCGACCCTACTGACACCCTAATCTCAGACTTCTAGCCCTTCGGGACTGTGAGGAGATAAATTTCTGTTTAAGCCACATAGTCTGTGGTACTTTGTTATGGTAGCCCTAGACAACTAAAACAAAACCACAGCATTCATTCATTCAACAAATAGTTATTGAGCCTTTATATGAGCTAGGCACTGTTATAAGACCATGGGGAAATAGGAGTAAACAAAACTAGTTTAAATCCCTGTCTTCCTTGGATCTTATAGTCTGGCAAGGACTGGAGCTGAGACATACAATAATGAAGACACTAAAATGTATGGTGCGTTTGATTGTGGTTAAGCCCCACAGGGAAAATAAAGCAGAGAACCTAGATCTGGAGTGTTGGGGATGGGAAACAGAATGATGTACAATTTTAGAGTGTCCGGGGGTAGTCACTAAGGAGATGACTGTCAAATAAAGATCTGATGGAAGTAAGGGGTGAACAATGCGAGTATCTGGGAGAAGAACATTCCAGACAAAGGGACAGCAAATGTAGAGACCTGAAGTAGGACTGTGCCTAGTATATTCAAGGAACAGGGAGGATTCCAGTGTGGTTGCAGTAAAGTGAAGATAGGGAGAATAGTATTAGTTGAGTGCAAAAGTAATTGTGGTTTTTGCGCTGTTGATATTGGAATATATTCTTAAATAAATGTAGTTATGTTATATATCATTTTAACGGGCATTTCTCGCTTTTTTTTTTGCTAATGACTTATTACTTGCTGTTTATTTATGTTTATTTTAGACTGTGGAAACGATGTTAGACAAAGAGCAAATTCGAGCGTTTTCTTATTCGAGTTCAAAATGGGTTGTAAAGCAGCAAAGACAACTCGCAATATCAGCAACACATATGGCCCAGGAACTGCTAATGAATGTACAGTGCAGTGGTGGTTCAAGAAGTTTTGCAAAGGAGACGAGAGCCTTGAAGATGAGGAGTGTACCGGCCAGCCATTGGAAGTTGACAACGACCAATTGAGAGCAACCATCGAACCCTCTTAAAACTCCACAAGAAGTTGCCGAAGAACTCAACGTCGACCATGCTACAGTCATTCAGCATTTGAAGAAAATTGGAAAGGTGAAAAATCTCAGTAAGTGGGTGCCTCATGAGCTAACTGAAAATAAAAAGTTTTTAAAAGTGTCTTCTCTTATTTTACGCAAAAACAACAAACCGTTTCTTGATCGGATTGTGATGTGAGACGAAAAGTGGATTTTATATGTTAACTGGTGATGACCAGCTCAGTGGCTGGATCAACAAGAAGCTCCAAAACACTTCCCAAAGCCAAACTTGCAAAACAAAAAGGTCCCGGTCACTGTTTGGTGGTCTCTTGCCCATCTGATCCACTACAACTTTCTGAATCCTGCAGAACCATTACATCTGAGAATTATGCCCAGCAAATCGATGAGATGCATCGAAAACTGCAACTCCTGCAGCCAGCATCGGCCCACAGAAAAGGCTCAATTCTTCTTCACAACAACGCCTGACTGCCCATCGCATAACCAATGCTTCAAAAGTTGAACAAATTGGGCTATGAAATTTTGCCTCATCTGCCATATTCACCTGAGCTCTTGCCAACCAACCACCACTTTTTGCAGGGAAAACGCTCCCAGAACCAGCAGGATGCAGAAAATTCTTTCCAAGAGTTTGTCAAATCCTGAAGCATGGATTTTTATGCTACAGGAATAAACTTATTTCTCACTGGCAAAACTGTGTTGATTGTAATGGTTCCTACTTTGATTAATAAAGATGTGTCTGAGCTTAGTTATAATGATTTAAAATTCACGGTCTGAAACTGCAATTGCTTTTGCACCGACCTAATAGGAAGTGAGAATAAGAGTAGGAAATGAGAATGAGAAAGAGAATAGTACAGTAGGGAGCAACAGAGGCCAGATCATGTAGGCTACTATGCTTGTTAGAAAGACTCTGGCTTTTACTGTGAGGGAGATGGCTGCAATGCGGAGAATATACTGAAGGGGGAAAGACTGGAAGTAGGGAGTCCATTGGGGAGACCGTGGCAATCACCCAGGTGAGGCAGTGGTGGCCTGGACCAGGTGAGGAGCGGCGGAGATGGTGAAGAGTGGTCCAACTCTGGGTGTGGTTTGAAGGTTGAACTGACAGTTTTGCTCAAGTATTGTGTGTTGAAAGAAGTACTCAAGTACTGTGTATAAGAAAGAAGCATATGTGTGGAGTAGGAGAGAAAAGAGGATGATTCCATGGATTTGAGTCCAAGTGGCTGGAAGGATGAAGATCCCATATACTGAGATGGAGGAAGACAGAAGGACAGAGGGACAAATGATCCCAGGGATGGTAGAGGTTTGGGTAAGAAGGGGTGGGGAATGCCTAGTAAGAACTTACTTTCAAACGTATTATGTGCAAGCTACCAGTGGATATCAAGAGGACATGTGTAGGCATCTGGAAATCTGAGACTGGAGGCAGGTAAGAGGTCTTGAGAGGTGTGGACAGACATTAAATATTTGGGAGGCATCAGCATATGGATAGTACTTGAAGCTTGAGAATGAATGAGATCACCAAGGGAATAAGTATTAATAGAAAAGTGATGAGCTATGAGGACCAAGATTTGGAATGTTCAATGATTTGAGAGGATGAGGAAGAACTAACATAAAGGTAAGCAGTGGTCAGAGGTAAAATTACCTGTTACATTTGTAGTGCCTCCATTGGCCTGACAGAATTTTCACAGATACATGGCTCCCCTCCAAACAGGCAGCCTTAGGAGCTACCAGGTAAGTGGATTATAGCAACAGATCAGACATAGTTATTTTGCCTTCAAAAATTCATAGAAGCTCATCAAGCATTATGCTGCTCTATTTATTGTGTTTGGTGCAAAACGATGCAACCCCTTTCATTTTAGAGGGAATATTCCTTTATTCCCTATGTCAAGCCTCTGAACTTTTACAGCATTTATCTCCTATCTTCTGGCATGCATGTGTCTTACCACCAAGGTCACCAGAAAACAGAATGCTATCAGTGTAATGGATCAAGGCCCCTCTTGACTACATTGTGATAGAGAACCCGAGAGCTACAAAACAGTGACTGCTGTCTCTGTCATATGAAGATATATTGCTTTTGAGTTTCTTTGCTGATAGGAATTAAAAAGAAAGCATTTGCTAAGTGAACAATTTCATTTGAGGTCCCATGGGTTGTGTTGACTTGTTCCAGTAACAACACCCAAAATTGACATCACTATCTGATTAAATTTCAATAATCTACAGTCATTTCCCAAGACTAATATTTTGCCTTAGCCAAACAGGTAAGCTCAATGGGGATGTGGGCAAGTAACACTGGATGAAGAGATGACTGCACTAAGAGATGGTGGGTGGCATAGATTGATGATGTGAGGAAGGAAGGAGAATTGTCTGACAGTGTACCTAAGGAACAAGAACAGCATCCATGCCACTCCCAGGCCAGGGAAAATTAGGAAGTTTGGAGTGAAAACATCCACATCACCCCTCTACATCTTTCAAGTGTCTGATTGTGGCACTAATCTCTGCAGTTCCTTTAGGGATGCAGTATTACTTGGCTTACTGCCTTAGCTGGAGGCAGGGATGAGCGGTTCTAGGGGCTTCCACTTGGTCCTTGCTACCACAATTTTCACCTCGCAGGGAAAGGAACCAATGTGGGGCACCTGCAAATTAGTAAGTACAGTTGGCCCTCTCTATCTGTAGGGGTCGCAACTGTGGATTCAGCCAACAACTGTTCAAAATTTAAAACACAATACAACAATAAAAATAATATACATTAGGAAAACAATAGAGTACAACAATAATTACGTATTGTAAGTGATCTAGAGAGGATTTCAAGTAGCTGAGAGGATGGGCTTAGGATGTGCAAATACTATGCCATTATATAAGGGTCTTAAGCACCCATGGATTTTGTATCTGAGGGGGGTCCTGCAACCAACCCCCACAGATACTGAGAGACAACCGTGTATTTATTCCACTATTCAAGTGAAACTGGGGAAATAACCACATTATGAGATGGACTCAGGCCAAGACTGCATTTTCCCTGATGTCTATAGCTTCCACTTTGACAAGGCAACACAGACGCAGTTTGGGCTCACTATTATCAATTCAGAACCAGTATCTAACAGGCCCCAGAAGTTCTTCGTATTTCTCTTTCCCCGGTGAAAAATCACCATGGTAAATGGACACAGGTGTCCCTAGAAAAGATTGGGAGAAGATTTCTCTTGTATACTTGTGACTGCATTGCAGGATTCTTTGTCAAAAGGATCTAGCTACCCCCTTCATTAAGAGATCCTAAGTCTATAAAATGGCTAAGTTCTTTAAAAAATTAAAGCAGCAGTGGATCATCCTCACAGTGATTTCAGTCAAGTGTCTGTCCACCAGACCTAGAAATTTTCTGTTAATGTGTCAAACAGATCCTTGCAGGCTGCCCATTTAATCTACTCCTAGAGACCCTGTGATCAATGAACCATCACCAGAAACCCCTGTGGCACAAGACCCTTTGATTATTACTCTCAAGTACCATCTCATGATCTCAACAATTCTGGAATCGCATTATTCCCATTGAAAACAAGTAACCTAAATTCACTGCAGCATCTTTGATCTACAGAGATGATACCACAAGGCTTTTCAAGGTACTCCTTTACTAATGGATTTAAAAAAACATCCTTGGTGAAGTGATGGTCTTCTAAGCCCATCCCTCAGAGGATGAATGAGCAGATTAGCAAAGAACAGATCCGCATTCCTGTCTTCCTAAGACTCTGGACTCTTTCAGTCAGGAAAGTTCTAACATTTCAACACAGTTGACTGTAGGCCACCACTGAGTTTAGGTTTTAGTTAACCAATGTGACAGACTTATCACCATTCCCAGATTCTCAGGCCAACACATTAACTCACATTTTCTGTGAGTATGCCTGCCTTATCTGATGTAACCCCTTTTGGTCAAATACCCTTAGAATCCACTCCTATTCTGTCCTCCAAATCCCTACAATGCAAAGTGGCAATATTCTGCAACTCTTCTGAATAGGCCCTTCCTCCGGACCTGATCTTATACTTCTCTGTTTAGGGTATTTGTTATTTTCCAAAAAGTAAAGATGGATAGTGGATGTAAATCCTGAGGTTAACTGATACCTGCTTATGAGAGAACCATCTCAGGTGAATTCATTGATACACTGTTTTTCCTTTGCAGGGCAAGTGGAGATGCGTACTGGGCTATTCTTGTGTTGTTATAAAGAAACACTTGAGACTGCGCAATTTATAAAGAAAAAAGTTTAATTGGCTTATGGTTCTGCAGGCTTTACACGGAGCATGATGCTGGCATCTGCCTAGCTTCTAGGGAGGCCTCAGGAAGCTTACACTCATGGAGGAAAGTGAAGGGGGAGTAGGCAGAAAGCAGAAGCAAGTGAGAGAGTGAGGGGGAGGTGCCACCTGCTTTACAACAACCAGGTCTCACGAGAACTCACTATCACAAAGACAGCACCAAGATGATGGTGATAAACCATTCATTAGAAATCTGCCCCCATGATTCAGTCACCTCCCACCAGGCCCCACTTCCAACATTGGGGATTAGAATTCAACATGACATCTGAAACTGTATCAGGAGGTAAGACTTCCCCCTCAGACAAATGGGGCTGCCTCTGCCAGTAGGAAAGTTTCAGGGAAATGTAAAAGGCTTAAGCTTCTCAGCCTTTCCTGTGGCGATCCAAATGTTCCCATCTCATTTCTGAAGGCCCCACTTCTTCCATACCAATGCCCTTACCTTAGCATGTGAGACCCAGTACTGGCCAGTAATTGGTATTACAACTCAGCAGCCCTTACAATAAAAGCTCTAGGTTTGAGTCTTAGCTATATCTACAAAATACAAGATATTCCCCTAGAGTTGCCATAGATTTTGTGATGCTTTGTTTTTTTCCCAATTTTTCCCTTTGCTTTCAATTTGTCCTTTCCCCTGTGTATATGCTCTAGACATTCAAAAGAGCCAGTCCTCCTAACGATCTCTGTAATCTCTACCATGACCATAGTGACTATGTGCCACAGCCCCTTGATCTTCCAACACTGTACTCCACTTGTATTCCATGACTCCATGACATTACTAGTAATGATGTAAGCAATTGTGACATCACCACTTGCCACCAATGATAAGCATCCATTTTCCCTGACAAGGAAGTTATTTGTATATACATCAAATATGTGAGCAATCCAATTCCAGAATTCCACTTTCCCAGGACTACTCATGGTACAAATTACTGTATTAGTCAGGGTTGTAGCAGGAAACAGATGGCACAACCAAAAGTAATGATCAAAGAGGGTGTAGGCAAGAATAACAAAAATCTATGGAGATGGTGCAGCAGCTTAGGCTAAGCAAGAGCAAGATCTTTCTACTTCTAAAATGAAAAGGCAGGGAAAAGTTGTTCCTGAACCCATGAGATGTATATATGGAGAAGGCTATGTCAGAAGCTGTGATGCTGAGGAACACAGCTATTTCCAAGCCACTGCAGGGCAGGAAGGCAAGTGGATAATCATCCTATTTCCCTTTCTACCTAGTCCTCTGCTAATACCCTCCCCCACCTCTATTTGCAAAACCCGATCAAGGAAAAGACAGCCTGGCCAACAAGGTACATAGAAGTCAGCTTCCTGCGGTAGTGAAGGGTGAAAGATAGTGGATTTAGAGGGGAAAAGAACAACTAGTTTAGCAGGCTTCTTGCTCATGCAACACTGGAAAAAGCATGAAGAGCTTTAAAGGGTGCTAAGTAACAACCGAAAACACTCATGGAACTATCAGGAGCATCAAATTTATGGGATTTCACTTGCCTATTGCTGAAGGCTTCTAGGATAGTAAAAAAGTGGTCTTACACCTGCAACACGGTCAGTCCCCTAAAGGTGACCTGCAGAGGGGTATACCACACCAAGATTTGGGCTCTACTGCTTAAGTACTCAACAAATGTTACTTTTTTCCCCTTCTAATGCTGGCTCCTTTCCAATGTTTTTTCATTCAAAATGAAAAACATTCAAAATGAAATTCGTTTTCATTCAAAAATGACCCTAAAAGAACAGCAACTATGTACTCGTGGGCAGGAAAATTCCTCTGAAGCCCCACACCTTTTTACTTAAAATACAGGCAAATTTGCATGCTACTTACAATGTCTGTAATACTTTTATTATGAAAAGATTCTTTCCAAAATTTCAGATAAAACGAATGCCTCTAGATGACCAATTGCTATCTTTTGATGAGTTACTACCACACACCAGTGCCTACTCCTAAGTATGTATACTCCTTGAGAAGTGTGGGCTTAAGTGAGCTCAATTATTCTGACACTGTTGTTACTTCTAAGTAGCACACAAAGAGATTCCATCCTAATGTTTCAATCCTAATAGGGAAATGTAAGATTTAATCACAAAACACTATACATACAAATAGTAAACGCATAACAGCATAAAATTACAAATATTGGAGATTATCCCTGGAAAGGGAAAGATGAAGGGGTGGTAACTAGGGGGTAGGAAGTCTTTAGCTGCATTTGTTTTATTCCTGAAATGAGAGGAAAAAAGATCTGAAGCGAATATGACAAAATGCCAACATGTGCTAAACCTAGGTGTTGGTTACACGTCATTATTTCATGGAATAAGCAAAAGCTACATATAAAGGTCTCTTCTTCCCTGCCCCAGGATTGCTGGTTGTTAAATATTTACCAGCACACCACTAAGTATAGTGGTTGACTGAGGTTTTGGATCTAAAGATCTGAGCCTAACTCTGATCAAATAACAAGCTTCAGTATTCAATGAATATATAACCTTTAGTAAGTTGTTCAAGAACTCAGTAACTTACTTTCCCCATCAATACAACTCCATAGAGTTATAAGAATTAAATAGCCTGATATGTGAGTGCTTAAGATGCAAAATAGCTTCTAATATAAATACCATAAGACATATACAGCAGTTACCTGACATTAACTGATAAACTGGGAATACATCCAAAGACCTTTGCCAATCCCAAATTCACAAATACTATGAAGGTATATTTATTTCCCCCATAAAAATGAAATCCATCATTCATTAGCTCTCTTCATATCCTCTTTAAACGTACTGATACTTGGAGTTGTTTTCAGGAATATTTTTGACCAAAGATATATTTGCATATGTGTATTTATAAATCTATTTGGTCCTCAAGTTCAGATGGTAATAGTTCCACTAGTGAGGAGCTGTTGAGTTACTCAAACCTAACTGGTTTTTGAGTTTCAGATTCTGAATAGGTAACAATTCTAATTTTGATAGTGAAAAATTTAACTGAAAATTTATCCAAATCTTTTCAATTTCTGAGTCTGAAATGGAAGAGACACAAATATACAGATTCATTTTAAAAATAAATTTATGAGAGTTCCTATGCAGGAAACACATTAACAGAGACCAATAAAGCCATACATTGGTCAGTATGTTATAACTGGACCCAGCAGACATGAGTATGAAGCAGCATGTGCCAGCCCAGCACAAAACTCAGCAAAATGCAGCCATCAAATACTTGGAAAAAGTGGATATGAATACAGCGTTAACAAAGAGCTTCATGTGGAGGGGGATAGGATAATGGGTTTAAGAAACAACTAGATCCCTATACCACTCTGCATAGGACTGTCCCTTCCTCTTAGAAGTCTCAAAAAATGTAACTCCTATGCCCACTTTGTTCTCAAAAAGCTATTTCACATGAATGGAGTAAATCTAAGATGTGAGAGATAGCAAATGGGGAACAGGGAATCCAACACAGGAGAGACAATCCCCAGGATCATGGTAAAGGAGATCCCAGGATTACAGCTGTACACCAGCCATAGAAGGCACAAAGTCCAACTTGGACAAAGCAGATTGCTCTAGGAGTGATTTTTTAAAAGATGAAAGAAACTGATGGAATCATTGTTACGTTTGAACATATAGAGAAGATATTCATACATATGGTAGAAATCTATGCAGTCAATTAACTAAAGGAAATAAGAAATTAGTATATGGTAAGGATAATACATCACTCAGCTGTATACAGCAGTTACATAATCTCAATAATGTACACATATCCTTAGTGTAATCACAGTCAACAATGTAAACATTGAATTGTTATGTTGGGAGGAGAAAAGGGGATAAAAAGGGAATGTGTAATGCTGGGAAGCAGAAGAGGGAAGCTTTATTTTGAAAATCAAAGAAACAATGCCTAAAATTAAAAAATCAAGTAAAAGCAATATAAGCATGTCATTTGGAGACATGGTAATAAATAACAAAAAAAATAACATCTAAAAGAGTTGAAAGGGCTTGCCCTGGAGACAGGAAATGGAAGAAGTCAGAGTAATGGCCTTTTTCCTTAGGAAAAAAATCTTACAGATCTATCCAATTTTTTAAAGCTGTGTACACATGAAACTTTGATTAAAAGTAATAGAAAAACTAAAAACTAAAAAACACAAATCCAACACAGTGTCAGGCTCATAGAAATTCCATAATAAATGTTCATTTTTTTATTATTATAATGACAAGACAAAGTTTTTCATATCACCATTACACTCATGCTAGGGATAACAATACTTCCTCTATTATAAATGCTACTTGACCTTTATTTACTATGCTTGGCATAACTGGGCATGCTTAATAAAATAAAAAAAAAAAACATTCAAATTTTTTTCTTTTACTAATCGAAGTACCTAATTTTATACAATTTGCACACTTTTAATGTTAGTAACAGAAACAATGAAATTATTTTACTTCTTGATACTTAAGAGTTTAACTCCAAGACATGCACTACAACCACATAATAGATTTTTGTCATCAATATGATGGTCCTGGCATCTTATATATTAAGTTCACACTTTAAATTAAGTACTACTTGCTAAAACGAAAACAGGTAAAAACAATGAACAGACGGTTCACGTTAAGAGGAATACGAAAAGCCAATAACAATACTGACATAACAATCTTATTTGTAATGAAAGAAATACAAATTTTAAAAATGACATACCATTTTTTAATTACATTGGCAAAAATTAAACCAAAAAGAATACCTACAATTGACCAAGGAGTATTCTGGCAGGGGGAGGGAAGTCACATACATATAGTACTAATTAGAGGGGTAAATTGTATAATTAAAGCCCTATGAACCAGTCAAACCAATCATTCCACTTTTAGAAACTTTCTCAAGGACATAATTAAGCATGTAACTCAAAATGTACAAGGACATTCACTCTGCCACTGCTTGTAGTAATAAACTGCAGATAATCAAAATGTCTAACACAGAAAAAAGTGAGTAAATTATGGTAAACCTTTCTTATGGGAAGGCAGTGGGCTTCCAATTCCATTCTTCACACCTAGCTTAGCTTCTTTCTTTTCAACAGAGTCTACTTCTAACAGAGACCAAAAATGTCAGACATTGCCTTTCTCTGTAACCTGATCTAAGTCAATGGAAACTGAGGGGAAATCTTCTGGAGGCTTTTGTTAAAAATCTTCCTCATGGATAAAACAAATGAGAGACGAAATGGCCTTTTCTGCCTTTGAGATACAATTTTACAAAGATGTAAAACTGGAAGTTATAGCAGCAGCTCTTGTGATCGAGAGGTGGAATAGCCTAAGGCAAAACAAACCAACTGAGGTCAAGGCAAAAAAAGTGTGTCTTTAATGACACCCCTGAACCCTGTGTTATGTCAAACAATTTCCTAGGTTACTTAGGCCAATTATATTTGGACACTGTTACCTCTGGCCAAAAGCATCCTAACTTGTATTAGCTATACAACAGAGTACATTAGAACCACAAAAAGTTATGTTACAGAGGTATATTTATGAACAGTAGATGTGCAGTTAAAAAGAATTTACAAAACAGTACGTTTCCATGTTTTTAAAAAAATCAAATATGTCAATATGGATTCATTTGCCAAGAAAAAGGTCTGAAAAGATACTCAAGGTTTTAAGAGTAGTTATCTTTGAAAGATAGCATTTAAATGTTTCCTTTTGCTTATGTGCATTTTCTATTTTTTTCTACAGTTAGCATGTATCACTTTAAGATTCCGCCATCCTTCCTATCAATTCAATGCAATTTAGGAAAGAAAGAGGTAAACATGTATTCCAGTGAGCTATCTTGAACCAGAAGTCTGCTTTTTTTTTTTAATTGGAAAAGTTTCTGTTCTTTAAAAAAACTTTCGTGAAATAAAATTTGATACTAAACAAGCATTTATTTTTCAGTGAATACGGAAGATCACAAACAGTTTTCATTTCCCTTTGTTACTCAGGGAATCATCATGACTTTGTACCATTTCGTATTGGAATTTCTTCTGTGAAGCAAAAACAGTCCCAAAATGAAGGATCTTCAGGTGTCATGGGAACGGCAGATGACATTAAATCATTAAAGTTGAGAATAGTAAATTGCCTCTGGGTTGGTTTGGAATCATCCTGAGATGGAACCTAAAAGACAAAAGCAGATTACCTTATTGTTATATTGCATGTTAATCTTATGATCAATTTCATAATCATGAAAATAAGTAAGACCAACTTACATTTCAGTAGTATTAAATGACAACATAGGATTCCTAGAACATTGTTTGTATTTCTTATATTAGTGTTGCCAATACAACAAATCAAAAAAAAATGAAATAGAAAACCTGATTCTTGAACTTTTTTATATAACAAAAACCTGTGGTATTTTACATGTAGATTTACTGGGCCCCACATCCAAAAAGTGTGATTTACTACATATCAGTTAGAAGGGATATCAAAATCTGTAATTTTAACGAGCAGTCAGGTTATTTTGATAGAGGTGAGTGAGAAAGTGAACTTTTGTGAAATACTACTCTAAAAGGTGGGTCTGATAAAACTGCCATAACTATACAGAGATGTATACTTCTTTAGGAAATTATTTATTCAATATTAAATTTAAACTGTATCTTACTCTCTGAGATAGAGCCCTTGTTCACAATTGAACCCAGTGCAGACCCTCTTTAATATTCTACACATCTAGTATAAATAGTACTTGGGTTTTGTATAGCGCTTTAACAAGTCAAGGTCCAGTACTTATATGACTGGTCTCATAGCTATGTTGTGATACGGTTATCTTAATTTTATGGATGGGGAATCTGAGGCTCAGGAAGAGCAAACAATTCAAACAATTTGTCCAAGCTCAAAACATAGGTTAAATGGTAGATGTGGGCCTAGAACCCAATTTTGTGAATTGTACTCTAGTCTTCCCAACATGCCACTGTTGCCTAAACAGGCTCTGTCCAGGGAAATGAAAAGTACTGAATATGCAAATGTTTCAACAATTATAAAGCTCTATGAAAACAAAAGGTATTTTTGCAGGGAGTGTGAAGCTGAGATTTAAAAACAGAAGGACGAGTAACCTGGGTCAGAACATCTTCAGATAACAGGTGTCAATTTTAACATGCCATCCCTTTTTAAGGAAGATAATCTATGGAGAACTCGTAATCCTTTGATTAATCTATCAAAGGTTTGGTGTGTTGCCTGAGCTACTTTTGTGGAAGTAACGATGCATATATATTGATCATGCTACATTCTTTCATGTTGATTTACTAAAAATAATGGAATGCATGTAGTTTTCATTAAAACATACGTTTTCCTTAAATAAATACTTCTGCAGAATCACAATTATATGAAATCTAAGAGTCTTTGACCCTAAGTTCTTCCCCCACTTGCTTACCAGGTAATAGGATAAGAAAGTATAAAAACATTGTGGCTGAATAATTGAAACTGATGTTATGCCACAATATGACACAAGGTCTCTTACATGTTTGACACTGTAACTTTGGGAATAATTCAGGATATTACTTTAAAAGGAGGAGTGGATTCAATTTGCAAGGTAATTCCATTACTCATCAACCTTCAACGTGGTACTCTTACATTCAACACAACCCCAATTCACCAAGAAATAAACTACTGTTAAGATGACTAAGATAATCTTGAATGTCTATTGGAAATATGAGTAGCATGATAGTACTACCATATTTTTTTTTGTTGTAATACTTAAGCGTATACGAATGTGAAGAAGCGGGTAACATTTCTTTTTTTTGAGACGGAGTTTCGCTTGTTTCCCAGGCTGGAGTGCAATGGTGCGATCTTGGTGCACTGCAACCTCCACCTCCCAGGTTCAAGCGATTCTCCTGTCTCAGACCTCCTGAGTAGCTGGGATTACAGGCGCCCGCCACCACACCTGGCTAATTTTGTATTTTTAGTAGAGATGGGGTTTCTCCATGTTGGTCAGGCTGGTCTGGAACTCCTGACCTCAGGTGATCCGCCTGCCTCAGCCTCCCAAGGTGCTGGGATTACAGGTGTGAGCCACCATGCCCAGCTGCTTTTTAAAAATGTTTCTACAAAATCCCTAGTGATCTTAATATTTGCTAATAAAGAGTACTACTATATCTATAATCTTAAAAAAATCTCTCTAAACTGATATAAGGCAAATGACTATTTCCATCAATAAAGAGCAAACTTAACATTGATTCATGCTATTTAGAAAAAAGAGAAATCCTAAAATCTTACATCCTGATGTCTAGATCCATCGGGTTTCCTAAGAGCAACTGCAACAAAATGGTGCTCATCTATTTTGCTTTCCTGAAAGATAAAAGGTAAATAAATATAGATTATAAAATATGTAAACCTAGATGTAACTTTGTTTACATTTTCTAAATCTCATTCTCTCTCTCTCTATATATATATACATATACGTACACTCACACGCGTGCATATATATATTTCCCCACCTCCGCTAAACTACTTTAGAAGTTACATATGTGCTGGCCCTTTACTCTTAAATACTTCAACATGTATTTCCTAGTAGGCACATTCTCTTACATAACCACAGCAGTTAATAACGTCAGTAAGTTTAACATTGAAACAATACTTTATTAGCTGTATTCCAAATTCTGTGAATTAATCCAATAGCATCCTTTGTGGCATATCCCTCCTCCAGAACAGGAGCCCAGTAATGGGCAAGTAGGGACAAGTATTGCATTCAGTTGTCATGTCTTGTTAGCCTTTCTTTTGTTTTTTATGACATTAACGTTTTAAAGTACAAATTCCCTAAATCTGCTTTTTATTAATAAAATATTGCTCATTTGGGGTTTGTTTGATATTTAATGAGTGGATTAGGTTATGCATTCTCAACCAGAATACTACACAGGTGATGTGCCCTATCTAGAGGTACTTGACAGCTATCTGTCCTTCACTGGTGATGTTAGTATGTATAATAAAGTACAAGGTTAAAAAAAAAAAATCAAGTTGCAACATTGGTATGTAAGCATTTAGTAAACTACATACTATCACGTATGAAAAATCATGGTGGAAATTTATAGGTAAAACATAACCAATATGCAATTTTCTACTTTCCTCTACATATGAGACAAAGGGGAAGGGGACTTTAAAATGTAATATATATTGAAGCAGTTACCAGAAAAAATTGTAAACACTTAAAAGCTGAACAAACTTTTCACTGAAAAACCACTTTACTAAAGCATTCTTCCATAAAACGTCAGAAGAAACTACAATTAGAAATAGTACTTAGGGAGCTTTTTCATTTTTTATCTTCTTCTTCCTATCTTCATACCTTCAGGTACCCAAGTCAGCATAAAGTGAAATTCAGTAAGGATAAATTTAAGATATGTTTAAAGAGGAAAAATATAAGACTAAGTATCAGAAGATTTACTATGTCAAAGTTATCGCAAAGTAAGTCTGCTATGTAGCCCTGTTCTGTTTTCTCTTTAAACAAACAAGAAAAAAGTAACTGGAATGTACAAATTTAAAAATATCTAAAATAATTTTTCAGAAATTTAGCATATAAGATATAGTTCTTATATGTATTGAATATTTCAATAAATAAGAATCATGCTTAATGTATAATGAGAGGTGTATGTACACTAACAATTGATAGTTGGACACTAAAGAATGTTAACTAATGGATATACTGTTTTGAAACTTTCATTTTTTAAATTTTTTGTAGAGGCAGTGTCTTGGCCTCCCAAAGTGTTGGGATAACAAGCATGAACCACCACATCTAGTCCTTAGCAGTTATTGACCCAGCTCTCTTCTTCAAAATGCTTTCTGTCCTTGGATACCAACACTACTCTCTTATACCATTTTGGTCATTCTTTATCAGTCCCCTCCACAAATTCACCTTTGAATATTAGTATAGATGCTCCACGACTCACGATGATGTTATATCCCAATAAACTCACTGTAAGAAAATATGGTTACATGGAAAATGCACTTAATACACCTAACCTACCAAACATCATAGCATAGCATAGCCTACCTTAAATGTGCTCAGAATACTTATATCAGCCTACAGTGGGCGAAATCATCTAACACAAAGCCTCATTTATAATAAAATGCTGAATAGCTCATGTAATTTATTGAATATTGTATTGAAAATGAAAAAAGGAATGGTTGCGTGGGTTCTGCAAATATGAATTCTACTGAATGCATTATCACTTTCATACTGTCATAAAGTCAAAAAAAGTTAAACCATCATAAACTGGGGACCATATATATTCTCAGGGCTCTATTCTAGGCCTTACTTCTAACTTCTTGTGGTTTCAATTTCCACTTCTCTCTTCATAGATTCAATATATAGCTGTTCCTTAGGTAATCTCACAGTTTCAACTTCAAATCCATGGTTTCAACTACCATTGACATAATGGTTATACTTATAACCATTATGATTATAATTTTTTTCCTCTAGCCCAGCCCTCCATTCCATTCACCTATCTGACATCTTCACTTAGATGTTTGGTATCTCAAACTTAACATCTCATTTATTTTCTAGTATTCAGTATCTCAACAGATGATCTTGTAAGTCAGAGAACTGCTCTATAGCCCGTTTGCTGGACACAAGCAGGACCAATCACAGTATAATGACTGGTCTGGAGATAAACAACTAGCCCAAGCTAGGCCAGGGCATCCCTTCTCTAGGATTTTTGGGCTTGGAACAGAAAGTGAGTTTACCAGTTTGTTTAGGTTTTTAAACTGTAAATTGTTTATAAACTGTTACATGCAACAGTATGTTACATGCAAGAGCCATGTTTTCTGTCATGCAGACCAGAGAGGCTGAGAAAGCTGGTGTACAGAATGAGAAACATGGGTGGGAGAAAACTGAAGCCAAAATGTAGAGAAAGGCAAAACTAGGAGACAAAAAGAGCTCTAAATATTTCATCCCCTAATTCTAGCTAATACTGGGGACAGTTACTGAATCACTCTAGTAACCTATAATACTGTTTTGGGGGGTTTTTTGGCTGTGTGTGTTGGCTTCTCTCACTAGCAACCAGGAACTGCCAGTGACAGAAACAAAATACAGTAAGAAACCAAAATATTTAACTTGATCAATACCTTGTAGGATCTACCAGCCTGATCTGGAATCTCTCTTAAATACCCTCATTATGGCCCAGCCAAAGTGGCTGCGTTTGGCTGTTCATACATGCAAAGCTCCTTGTCAGAGCCTCTTTTCCTTTCCCGTACTGAACTCACAATGACTCATCTTTCAACTTCTTTCAAGTATTAGTATAAATGTTACATGCTCTCATAGTAGCCCTGATTTCACTTTCAGAGCAGCAGGACTGGATTCAGTTGCGTCCAAATTCAGTGACTAGCTTACCCAAATTAATCACACATACATGCATAAAAAATAGAAATTCTTAGTTTTAACAATTCTAACAAATTTCTTACCTCAAATGCCCATTCTTTTTCTTCCTCTCCATCCAGGAATAAACGTGTTTCTTTATAAACTTGGCCTATATCCAAGTTTAATGGAGATAGATCAAATTCAAGCCGCTGCAATTCAAATCCTAGTCCAACACCAATGGCTTTTATGAAGCTTTCCTTAAGTGCCTAAGATACAGAAAGACATTTTCTCTTAGAATTTGGTGGACAAAAATTTTTCATAGAATCTACAGGTCCAAAAGATAGGGAGTTTCAATGCTATACTACATTATGGCTATATAGCTATAACCTTTTTAAAAAAAAACCCTTACAGCATGAAAACAAACCATCCATATGATCTTAGGGCAAATCATTTAAGCTCTCCGTGCCTGTATCCCCTCGTATGTAACCTGCGATGATGATAACAATACCTTCCTCATAGGGATGTTATGTACATTAAATTAACTAACTTAGAGCTTGAAGTAATGTCTTCTGGCATGTAGTATATATTATCAGTGTTTGTTATATAGGACCTCATGTGTATTAGTTCCTTTATGACAGAAAATATTATTTATCAATGGTAATGATTTGTTTTAGCTTTAAGTAAGTACTTTCTAACTGAGCATTACATATAGGTTAAATTTTCTTAAAATGAAATGTCATTATAATGTAATACCATATGCATAAAAACCATAAAATTCTCAAGCAATCACCCATTTACTTCAAGCACTGTTTGGACACTACTGGGTAACCAAGGACTCTGATTTTAAGTGAAGATAATGGAATCATTATAGACTTTTGCTTTCAAAATTAGAAAGAATTATACCCAATTCCTATAAAACATATCCAGCTGAGTCCACTCATCCTTAAAGCTTCTGATTGTTTCCCATTCTTTGTTGGTAAACTTTCTTTTCATAATATGAAAGAATTCTGGAATTGAACCACGACCTGCCAATTAAGAAATAAAAAATTAAATAGCAGTTCTATTAAAAAATAAAAAGTTGCTCTATTACTAAAACTGTTCAAGACAGCACCCCCCAAAGATCTAAAGGGCAACCATACTTTTGAATACATTTAAAATAATCCTAAACAAAATCTCGGCAAGTCAAAGCAAGTTGAAAATTAAAAGAGTAAACACACTATGACAAGCAGTGGTTAGCCCAGAAATATAAGAGTAGTTTAACAGGAATTGGTGATATTCTGTAAATTATTAAGTAAGCAGGAAAACCATATGGTTGTATCAATATATGTCCCAAAAAGTTTTGATAAAATTTAGCAGCCAAAGCTGTTATAAATTTTAAATAACAGGAAATTTCTTATATAAAAGGATACTTATCAGAAGCCCAATTAAAATACTCCTAAAGTAGAGCCATATTATTCTAAAGTTTTATTTTGTTATGTAACAGAGAAAAAAAGGGAATAATTCTTTTATTACAATTTTTGGAAAATTAGCAGAAAGCTGAAAACTGTTCTTTTATTCTACATTATTGCCACGGCTAAAAAATTAATACCTTCTTCAAAATGTTTTCCAACTTGTTTTCTAATATGACTTATTCAAATAAAAAGATTTTCATTACTCTTTCGTGGTTGCAGTTGCAAAATAAGCTCATTTTTAAAAACTTGAAATATATCTTTAGTGCCACTATTTCATAGATAACAAAATATTACATAGCATTCTAAAAATAAATGACAAAAGATACAACTCAAAGGATCTGATTCCCAGAACCAAGGGGTAAGATACATGTTAAAATTCATGGTAGGCCTCTGGTACTGAATTTTCCAAAACATTAAAATTATGTGTTTGTGTGTCTTTACCACCAAGCACAAACTTTCTACCATCATTCATTTTATATAAATATGCATAATATGTATAAATATTTACACAAATACATATTCAACTAATATTAAAAGTAAATTGATCACTGTTCTTGCCTTTTATACTTACAGCCTAATGGGCCTATCAGAGAGCCTGTTCCAAGGTAAGTGAACCACAAACATTTACTAAGTGTATACATGAATGTTAACTATTATATGGTAAATTATTTCCTAAATATTCTTCTGCCCTGTATCCTTAGTTCATTATTACATTATTTTCCAGAAAACCTTTTGAAGGTAATCCCTTTGTGGATTCTGTTAATATGGGCTTACTCCAATTCCCACTTCTAAAATAACCAACTCCAAAATTTGACATTCTCAAATGATTAACACAATTCTTATGATAGCTGATACCACACACTCTATGGGCATTTCTTATGTAAATAAATATGTGGAGAAAAAAGATGTTGAAGATGTTGAACATCCCCTTAATACTTCACTGGCATTTAATCACTAATTCTCTCTATGAGAATTCAACAATTAGAATTCCATTATGATCACTCACTAAAAGCATACAAGTGCTAGGTACCACGAACCGCATGATGAGCAAAACAGACATGGTCCTTATCTTCACAGAGAGTTTACAGTTTCTCCTGCAGTAACCAAATACCTTTCCCACAATCATCTCAAGGGTAGAGTATATTAAAAATCGGTTCTGTCATGAAATAGTTATGATTCTCCCAGTACTCCCGCTTCAAGAGTCAAAATAGTCTCCTCTTAGTTCATCAGGAAGTATTTCTGCCGATCCTGTTGCTGATATGTGGTACTATGGATCAAAATAAGAATCCTCATTCATTTTTAGGCACCGAAATATTAAATTGTGATCTTAAGAGTTCAATGGCAAGAAATTCTTACCCCTTTTGGGGCCATGGATCCCTTTGTTGTCTGGTGTTTACTCCTCAACACCTTCCTGAGACTAACATTAATAGAAGCCCCTCAATAAAAACTTTTTTGTTCAATGCATCAATAGTACATACTGGCTTGATAAGTAACATCTTAAAGAACACTTCAAAGAAAGTAAAGACAGAAAGCTTCTGAAGTAACAAAAGTAAATCTGGAAATTTTAAACATTGGGAACACTATATCTACAAAAATCAAAAACTGTTTCTTGTTGAATGGATTTTGGCACAAACAGCATATGTAACAATAATGGGAGGAATAAACTATTTTTGGTTTGGAAGCCTGCATTATATATTTTGAGTGAAACTGTAGTTTTAACAGATTAATGTCCAAAAAATCTGCATTTAAAAAGATACGCATTTTGTCATCTATAGTGTCATTCTGCTTGCTGCTTTCTTCAAATTTTATTTTTATAACCTCCAAGAAGCCTTCTGATTTTTAACTAAATAAGATGGGGCAATCAAGGAAAAAAATTTAAATAAGCATGCTATTAAAAAACTGATTAACATAAAAGGCAATCAATCTGGCACAATCACTAGAAAGCAATCACATAACTCATTATGTACAGCCAAAAAATATCCGATACGAGTGCGTTTTCATATACTTTAGAGCATCTTATTTAGTCCACAAAATAAAAAATTTGACAGCAATAGGAAAAGGTGATTTCGTAAATATTCGGCCAAAGCACAGCAGCGCCACACTGTGGCATTATGGTGGATATACAGTGGGCAAATATTGTGTTAAGTATTAAGTGCAGTTTACCTAGGAAACTGGAATAAAGAAAAATCGGTAGGAAGAACAGTGAATTTGTCCCTTAAACTATTTGAAGACAGCACAATTACT
Organism: Homo sapiens; assembly: GCF_000001405.40. Lineage (NCBI taxonomy): Eukaryota > Metazoa > Chordata > Mammalia > Primates > Hominidae > Homo > Homo sapiens. Next base: position 106,087,886 of record NC_000011.10, on the reverse strand, counting down.
GCACATACGTTGGCAAGTTCTAATAATACCATTACATACACAGAGAATCATCAGTCAAATTTAGAAAAACCTGATCTTCCATCTTATAGCTTGATCATTAGGGAGAGCAGTGTTAGATATTGTATTCTGGAATGATTAACTAATCAAGACCACCCAGCAACTAATGTTTTATTTTAAACACAGTAGTAACATACAACAAAATCATTTAGATCCAATGCCTTGAGCAACTATTTCAGGCCTACGGAAAAAAATCCAGAACCTCAGGGCCTACGACATTAATCCCTCTCCAAAACAAGGTCACCAATATGTATACACAAATATATACATATAACTACCTCAGCCTTTAGGAAAATGGGCTGGTCATTTTTGAGGGAAGTGGAAGGGAGTTAAGCAATGCCCATCTACGTGCTTGCTTCAAAGTACCAAAATTTAGCCTTAGATAATAAATCATATTAGAAATTGTAATAGTTTCACTTTCTAAGTACTAAACTGTATATAATAGAATTATATATAATTTTGCTTCTATGAGAAGTGACAGTCTTCTAAGATATGAGTTAGTATGTACACCGTAATGCTTATCAGCTCATTTGTCCAGGAACTTATCCAGACAAAAACCTAGAATAACACAAAAATATCTGAGCTGCCAATATAGGTTTCACAAACTACATGCACAAAGCTTCTTGCATGTTACTATCAAAGGATGTATTTAAGCCCTCAATTTGTGGAGTACAGCAGAAAAAGCACTAGATTGAAATAACGTCAACCTAGGTTTGAAACTCACCATTTAGGCAGTCCTAAACTTCAGTTGCTCTTACATTGTTTACCAACACATATAGGTATTAACACACAGAGGCAAGAAACAGGCTGATAGAGCTAGAACTACTGGGCTGCGAATGTTATCCTTTCAGGAAGAACTCCAGAGAATGAAGAAGAGGACCAAGAGGACAGAGCATGAAGCCTTTTATTTTCAGGCTTTGAAACCTAATGAATTTACTCTGCTGGGTTTGGAACATGTTTGAGAACAATGACCCCTTTTTACTTCGAACTTCTTTTTGGAATGGGAATGTCTATCCTATGCCTCTCCTACCACTGATTTTTAGAAGACTTGTTTTCTGCTTTCACAAGTCCACAGATGAGAGGAATTTTGCCCCAAGAAGGATCATACTCCAGTTTCACACATAGCTGATTTAGATGATTGAGATGAGATCTGCCACTTTTTGGGTTGATGATATTAACACTTACATGAGATTTAGAGTTAATGCTGGAATGGGCTGAGAATTGCTAATGCTGGGATGGGGTGAATTTACTTTGTATGTTAGATGGATATAAATTTTGCAGGGGGCCAGAGAATGGACTCTACTGGGTTGAAGGGTGTCTCCTGAAATTCATGTCCACCCAGAACCTTAGAATGTGACCTTATTTGGAAATAGAGTCTTTATAGATGTAATCAAGTTAAGATCAGGTCATACCTAATTAAAGTGAGCCCTGAATCCAATGCCTGGTTTCCTTACAAGGAGAGACAGACACACAGAGAGGAGACAGAAAAGGTCATTTGAAGGTGAAGGCAAAAATTGGAGTGATGCAACTGCAAGCCAAGGACTGCTAGGAATGAGCAGAAACTAGGAAGAAGCAAGGAAGGATTCTTTCTTAGAACCTTCAGAGAGACCATGGCCCTGCTGACACCTTAACTTCCAGCCTTCCAGAACTTACAGAAGAGCTTTCGGTCACTTTAAGACACCATGTTTGAGGTACTTTGTTAAGCAGCCTGAAGAAACTAATATACACATGGATACAATTTAAATTATACATAAGCACACACATTCGCGTACCCTTCGGAGTTTTAATTCTATGTCCCTGCAGTCAAATGTTCAAATGCTGGTCCATCACTTCTTAGCTAGAGATTGAGGATCCCTAATCTGAAAACCTGAAATCCAAAATGCTATAAAACTCAAAGCTTTTTGAGCATCAAAATTATACTCAAAGGAAAAACTCAGTGGAGCACTGTGGATTTCCCACTAGGGATACTCAACCTGTGGGTTATTTATTTAACATTTACTTAACATCTCTATGGCTGTTTCTCAAACTGTAAAATTGGGACAAAGAATTGGGCAGATTAAGAATAAACATGTAAAATGCCTGGAACTATCAAGTACTTAATAAATATTAGCTCTGAGGTTGTTGTCAAAGTCATGGTTAAATGTGTATCTTCTTTTGTCAACTGTTTTTATAAAGTCCTTCCTATATTCATCAAGTAAGGCTTAAGTGGTTTTCCCATCGATATTTAGAGGGGCATTTCATATCTTAACAACATTAACCTTTGTCTGTCAAATTTGCCACCAATATATTCTCTGGTTTGTGAAAGATGATTTAATATGAAATCATATCTGTTGACTTAGTGGTTTATTATTTTAAGCTTCAAAAGCCATCTTTCAGAAGTTTGCTCAAATATACAATTACATTGTGTTCTAGTAAGTGTTAATAAAACTGGCCAGGCGCAGTGGCTCACGCCTGTAATCCCAGCACTTTGGGAGGCCGAGGCGGGTAGATCACGAGGTCAGGAGATCAAGACCACCCTGGCTAACACAGTGAAACCCCATCTCTACTAAAAATACAAAAAATTAGCCGGGCGTCGTGGCAAGTGCCTGTAGTCCCAGCTACTCTGGAGGCTGAGGCAGGAGAATGGTGTGAACCCAGGAGGCGGAGCTTGCAGTAAGCCAAGATCACGCCACTGCACTCCAGCCTGGGCAACAGAGCAAGACTGTCTCAAAAAAAAACAAACAAACCAAAAGTGTTAATAAAACTTTAATTTTGTTATAGTGTGAGGCAATGACTTTCTGATAATATCACTCATAAAAAATGGTAAATGGGCTACAATTTTTCTTTTTGTTAGTTCTGTAAATTACATCCAATACAGAATTTCCCAAACATTAATATGTCTATCAGCTGGGAATATTGTTTAAATATGGAAACCCGGCCAGGTGTGATGGCTCACGCCTGTAATCCCAGCACTTTGGGAGGCCAAGGCGGGCAGTTCACCTGAGGTCAGAAGTTCGAGACCAGCCTGGCCAACGTGGTGAAACTCCGTCTCTACTAAAAATACCAGGTGGCGGGTGCCTGGAATCCCAGCTACACTGGAGGCTGAGGCAAAAGAATTGCTTGAACCCAGGAGGCAGAGCTTGCAGTGAGCCAAGCACCAATGTACTCCAGCCTGGGCGACAGAGCCAGACTCTGTCTCAAAAAAAAAAAAGATTCTGCTATATATATTTTTCTATGATGTGATATTGGCTGGGCACAGTGGCTCACACCTCACGCCTGTAATCCTAGCACTTGGGAGGCTGAGGCAGGCAGATCACTTGAGCCCAGGAGTTCAATACTAGCCTAGGCAACATGGAGAAACCCTGTCTCTATTATAATATTAAATATATATATATTCTAAGTCCCTTCAGGTTCATATAGACCTAACTAATTCTTTTATTACAGCTAATAATTATCTGCAGAATGCATCCACCATTAATTTATTTAACCAATTTCTATTAGCAGCATTCAGGTTTTGTTGTTATTCATAAATATTTTGGATAGAGTACTATAAACAAGATCGCTAAATCAAAGACTATGTGTATTTTCAATTTTAACATTATTTTCCAAAAAGCCTGTAGCAATTTCTAGTGTTTCCATCTATATGATTGTTCTTTTCCGACATTTTCACAAGCTCTAAGTGTTTTTTTTCCAATTTTCTGCAAATCTGATGGGCACCTCACTGTTACTTTAATTTGCATTACTCTAATCATTAAGGTAATAGCTTACTGACTGCTTGAATTTGTTCTTCTGTAACGTGCCTATTAATATTTTCTAATCACTTCATAGAAGCTCTTTATATATTATGGATATTGACACCTTACCAAATTTGTTATAAGAATTTTCCTTATTCTATTATTTATCTTTTGTATTTGGTTATATTTTTGGAATATAATTTTTTTAAATTTAAATATCCATTCTTTGATAAATTCTGAACTCTGTCTCGTTTGAAAAGAATTCATAAAAAGATTTACTGCAACTCGACATCATAGTCAACTATATTTTGTCCTAAAATTTTAAACTTTTTTATTTTTAAATTTCTAATTCCTCCAAATTGGTGTATATAGTATGTGTTACATCCACATGACTAACCAATTCTACCAGCACCATTTAATAAATAATCTTTTATCCACTGAATTGAAATATGTATATATCCTGGGCTCTAAGATTAACTCTTCCAGTTGTCTATTCTTTCGCTAGTACCATACTCTTTTTAGTTTACAATGACTAACACAAGTTTTTGAAACTGGTAAGGCAAGACCCTTACTATATTTTTCATATTCCTAGTCATTAGTTCTTCCATAACAACTTTAAATGTATGTAACCCAGTTTCACAGAATTTTTCATATTTTGGTATCTGCAAATTCTTTTAATAGGAATCAATAAAATCTCATACTGAGAGGCCATATACTGTAGAGAGCAGTGGTTAAATATATGAAGTTTTACTTTTTAGCTAAGTCAACTTGGACAAATGTCTTAACCTTTTATATAAAATAACAGTAGTACTTACGCACTAGTCTTACAAAGATGAAATAATACCTATTAGGCATCTAATATAGTGTCACACACTTGTAGGAATTGCTCAATAAATACTAGTTACACAATCAAATCCTACTGACAAAGGAAAAAGACCGACCTGTAACTGGGAAGGAGGAAAACTCCTTGAGGGTGGAGACTTGGTTTTCCAGTAAGGAATTCAGAGTACAAAGTGATGTGTGAGTTTCTAAAACTACTTACAGGTTTTAAATCCCAAGTGCATTTAAAAAAAAAAGTCCAGCAAAGTTTATTTTAAAAATGTAAAGACGAACATGTAAAACCATAGGGGGAAAATTCTGGTCCTTTCCCAAATTTCAATCATAATTTTTATGTATTTTGTCTATTTTATTTTGCCTTACTTTGTAAATATGGTCACAAAACTAAACAATTCAAAAGTTACCCTTTATGCTTATCACTTCAAACACTTTTAATGGTAGAAAAAATTAGAAAACAAAGGGAAAACCAACCAAAATTTTCCAAAAGAGGGTAATAAATTAAGATGAAGACCAGGAAAACACCATTCTTCCTAAGAGTAAGAATGTACCGTCCTGGCATATGGTAGGCTATATACTAGGTATGTTCTCTCCTGCACGTCCACAGCAACAGTTGGGAGAACAGGTAGAGGGAGGGAAATGAGCTGCACTCAGCAGAAATGGTTAATGCACCATGAAAGAAAAAGACTCTCTGAGTTCCTAGTGGATTCTTACCTATAGGACAAGACAGAGTAATGGAATTGACTCTTTCAATGCACTAATGATAACCCCCAAAAGCCAACTCTGTCTTTAGAGTTGGCAATCTAGTAACAATGCCTAGTACAAAACAGAGTACTTTCCTTGCTGCTCTCCTAAGTTTTGCCTAGCATCATTTAGCAAGACTCTTAGGAAAAATCCCTTGCTCAATCTCCTCACTTACTACAATAAGTAGAGCAATTCAAAGAATCTCCAATGAAGCAAATCAGTGTCTACTTCCCATCTTCATTAAGAAATCATGCTGTGTCCATTGATGCTTCAGGAATCAGTAGCATGGTAACAACACTAGTGACAATTGGAAAATCTCTCTTCCTTTCTGTGTTACTGGACATAGCAACAGCTTTTTCACAACAAAATAAAGAAAAGGAAAAGGCCTAGACATTGTGATTAGTCAAGTAAGATCAACTAAAAAAAACTGGTGGGGGGAGGTCTAATAACACAATTAACAGGAAAACTAAATCTTAAATTTTTGCTCAATTGTCTTTCCATCATTTATTTTTCTTTTTTATTATTATTATTATTATACTTTAAGTTCTAGGGTACATGTGCACAATGTGCAGGTTAGTTACATATGTATACATGTGCCATGCTGGTGTGCTGCACCCATTAACTCATCATTTAGCATTAGGTGTATCTCCTAATGCTATCCCTCCCCCCTTCCCCCACCCACAACAGTCCCCAGAGTGTGATGTTCCCCTTCCTGTGTCCATGTGTTCTCATTGTTCAATTCCCATCTATGAGTGAGAACACCATCATTTATTAAAAGCTTCAGTTATTAATTACTTGTTTATCTAGCATTGACCATAGCCAACACTGCCCATCAAGTTAACTGGTAACAAAATCTGTTTCTCAGAAGTATCATTTCCAAGCAGATACCAACCCACTGGGCCAATTATTACCAGGTAGTTGTGCTGACTGCATTCTAAAAAACAATGGCCTTTCCATTTCTGATTTTAGAAAAAGTTCCTGTAATGACAGCAGAAAGCTACAAGAATATATGGGCTAATTCCCATGCTAAGAATCCTCTATAGCAGCAATTTTTTTAGAGTAAGCCACCTATGTCCCTGTTGAATACCAGATCCTTTCCCAAGAAAAATGCACATGTGCATATCATACAAAATGTAGCATACAGTTTCAGGAGGTAAACAAAATTCCTGGAATCTTATCCAGGGAATCAGATCAACAATCTGTTATAAGGTTTCCAAAATCACTAGTAGGGCCTTGTTCTGAACAAACCTGAGAATAGAGTTGTACTGGAAAGGTTTATTAGCAGGTAAGAGAAAGAGTAGCTAGTAGGAAAATGCAAGGTAAGGACAATAAAAGCAAAAGGGAGAAGAGATTCACAACCACACTGAAGCCTATACTCTAACAGCACAGTGTTTATTCATTCATTTGACAAATATTTTACTATTACATGCTAGGCAAGGTACTAAGAGATGTGATAGTGATCAAACTCTGATGTGGCTAACATGGTTCTTGCTCTCACACAGCTTTTAAGTATCAGGAAAAGATAATCAATCATCCTGATGAATAATCAACTGAGATACATTACTGGAATAAGGAAAATATATTTTATGAGAACCTACAACAAAAGAACCTAGCTTAGATTGAAGGCTCACAAAGCTTCCCTAAAGTAAGGTTAAGGTGAAATCTAACAAGTAAATAGGAGTTCTCTATGCAGAAATGGGAGTGAGAGATAAAATTAATACAAGCCTTACAGACTGAGAGAGCCACATATTCAAACCACATATGGTGCAGGCAGTATGGAGATTAGATAGTTTTACTATGAAATTAGGAAGATGTGGGTTCTTTTATTAATAGCTTTCTTCTTAGCCTGTTACTTATTTTCTTTAAAAATAGCAGTATATGCATCATAGGGTAGTTGAGAGAATTAAATCACAGAATATGTCTAAAGCACTATGTAAAATGCCATGACACGTGGTTAAGTGTTCATTAAATGTTAGTGATGATGACAAATATACAGCAGTTAAGAGAACCTGTATTTAGTATGTATTAAATTGCCTGGGTACATTCAACTTCACCACAAATGTTAGTGGTCCTTAAAGCCACCACTAACAAATTTCTAAGGCAATATATAAGCAACTTAAATATTTTAATAATGCTTGCTCCTCATTTTTACTTACATAAATGGGCTAAAAAGAGATGTATTTAGATGCAGAACAAAGAGTCGCCCGTTGGTATCCACTGGGGACTGGTTCCAGGACCCTCCTCAGATACCAAAATCTGCGCATGCGGCCCTATGGAACCTGCATATATGAAGTCAGCCCTCCACATCCTCAGGTTTCATATCCTGCAAATACTGAATCTTGATACACGTTTGATTGTGGATGCAGAATCTATGGGGACAGAGGGCCAACTACTGAAAAAAATTCACATGAGTAGACCCATGCAGTTCAAACTTGTGTTGTTCATGTGTCAACTGTATACGTTATCTCTACATAAGGACTACAATGTACTTTACTATTCAGATTCTTTTTTAAAAAACAAACAATTAACTGAAAAATTGTGGTTAATGTTTAAGTGAAATAAATTGAAGTATAATTCAAAAAAAATTTCACTTAATATTTCACTTTACCTCTAGGCAAAGTTATGGATCCCCAGTAACGGATAATCTATTATTTATGTGTAAGTCTGTAAATATTCATGGAAATATACCCTTTTCAGATTTATGCTCTCCATTACCTTTGTGTACTAAGCACATTTTCCCTAAACTGAAATATCTCTAATACATCTCCTGGCCTGAGATTACTCAATAGCAATAGAACTGAGGCATCGAGACACTTAACTGCCATACTAGAAAAATGCAACGTTACCTGGAAAACTAGTCTTCATTATATCAATTCCAACTTGCAGCTCAGGTTCAGCAGCAAGCACTGCATAGTCTCCTTGATGAGAGATGTTAAAGTTGAAATTCGGGTAAGGATTCGATGAGTCCTTTGCAAGAACTGGTTTTCCTTTTGCAGTTCTTTGCAAACGAATATGATTCCAAGGGATATTCAATTTCTCTGCAACTAATTTCCTTATCATCAGACGACCAGCCTGTTAAGTACATAAAACATTTGGTATGTACTGATGTCTACTAAAGATACAAGCACACTGTATGCAATAGTACTTTTTTTTGGTTTCTAAAATTTTCATTTTTAAAACTTTTCAAAATACTTAAGTATTAAACACACGTTAATTAAGACTTAAGCAATGCTTAAGTAGATAAAAAGTTAAAGCCCGCCTTAGCAATTCCCTCTCCTTTGCTAGTGACCAAAGTTAACAGCTGGCATCCTGTCAGTCTTTTCTGTATTTAAATATATGTGCATTTACATGTTTTTGCTAACTCTACATATAAACACAAACATGAGATTATACTTATGCAGTATTCTACCACATATAAGCTTTAAATTTATAAGTATTGGGAAGTATTTTATGTCTGTACACACACGTCTGGTCCATGCAGTTTTAACTGTAGCATATTTCATAATATTATTTCCCCTTTATTGGACATTTTAGGCTGGCTCTAGACTTGCTGTCAAAAACAACTCTGCAGTGAGCAACCCTACTGTACCTACATCTGTGCATATGTATTTCTAGATCCCATATATTGATCACCCAGCTTCAACAATTAGCAAGGCATGACCTATCTTGTTCTGCTCTCTCCCACCTCCAATTATTATTTTTTAAATAATTACTAAAAACACACACACAAAAAAACAAGAATATAAGATGACAAAGTATATATTTTTAAAAATATCTTTCAGGTTTTTTTCTTCTTCAATTCTAACACTGACTTTTAAAAACTGCAGGCTTTTAAATGTAGCTTATTTTACAATTCCTTACAAATGAGTAAAAAATTTTCACCAATGTGCCTTAAAAATTATCAACTAGTCTACATTTCAAACAGAAAGTGTTTCAATATGGGACATTTTTAAGAAAGGACTGTCTTTTAAATGATGGTAATTCACGGTTGTTTCAAATTGCACCATATTGTACAGATTACTTGTTTTGAAATCCAGTTTTCCATTTGTTGCTTCAAAATACATAGCTAAAATAAATAAATCTACGTAAAATACTGTTTCCCATGGCATCTAGTGAGGAAGGTATCCTCTCTGGCTTCAATTTCATTGGCTTCAATCCCGGGGAGCGCAGGGCTACAAACTAAATCATACTGTCAATAATTTCTAGGGCCTACCACGTGCAGGGAGTCCTTGGAGAATGATGGGATATTTAACAGGCAGAATAAGCATAGGCTATGAACGCACACAAACAAAAAAAAATAACATTTAAAGATAAAGACATAAAAACATTCATTACAGAAAAACCCAATTTTGTCGGCCTTCCCTACACTTATTTCATGGTTTAGGAGGGTCTCCATTTGAAATAACAAGGGGAAAGAGATAATGTTTACAGCCATCGCGGCCTCCAAGGCGGTTACAAAGGCCGTGGAAACCAGGCCGTGCGTCGCCCACAACTCCGCAGCGCCGGCTGCTGTCGCCCGGGCCGGCCACAGGCTCCACAGCGAGAGGGTCGCGGCCAGCGCGGGAGTGTCGGGTCTCCACAGCCCGGCCCGCCTCCCCCAAGATCTGCTTCCTAGGCTCTAAATACCAAAAAAGACCTGTAGTACCATGGCTGCCTTAGCGTCCCGGGCAAAGACGAACTGGCCAATGCGCTCCTTCTCCTCGGGCTGAATCGATCGCACTGCCAGCAGCCATTCGGCTCGGCTCGGCAGCCAAGTGCCGCAGGAAAAGGCCCAGCGCACGCCCTCCATGGATGGCACCAAGCAGAACCGTTTGGCAGGGAAAACCATACACTGAAAGCGGACCTCGCCGCTATCTCGGGCCTGATGGCGCGGACGCAAACGTGGCCCCACCCCCTTCTTCCCGGCGTCCGTGCGCAGGGGACGGGCCGTCGCTACGCAGACTGGCCCACCGACAGCCCTCCCAGCCCGCCCCCGACTCAGCCACCTCCTCTCGGAGAAAGCAGCTGGGGGCGGAGACGGAGATCAGCCCTGCGCTTTGCGGCATTGTATGACGTCAAGTAGGCGAGGCTTCGGAGGCGAGCGAAGGGCGGGACCAAGGCCAAGAGCCCGACAGTTACGCCACTCACACTTGCGGAAGAGTTAACGGGACAGCGGTGCAGGCCAATCGCAACCAGTCCTCTGGAGGCAGGGAGACTGGGGTGGAGACTTCGGAGACTGCAGTTGCAGGTGGGTGAGCTCCGGGGTCTGAGGGAGGAGTGGGATGGTAGCCCTTATTCTCAGGGTCTGAGTTGGCCCCTGTGACCCACAGAGAAGAGAATGTCCTTGGCTTCAGCTGCTTCGTGTACGGGGCACGAGAGGTTTCCATCTCTAGGAGGGGGTCTGCAGTGGTGCCCCCTGCAGTTGTGCAACGCATCAGCCCTGAGTTCCTTCTTTCCCTGCCCCCATCCGCATCAGCCTAAGACCCACCCTCACACAGTACGCTCCCGACCCTTAGCAGCAGCCTACCTGAAACCCTCCCTCCGAAGGCCGAGCAGAGGCACTATCCCCAGTGCGCAACACTGACCCCGCCTGGATCCGAGGCTGCCAGCGAGCAGCTGAGCTAATGCTGGCTGTTTATTTGGGGCGATGAAGCGACCCAGGTGCTGTTTTGCTATTGCCAAGCCTGGGCTAGAGCACTAGCGAGAAAACAGGATTCCATTGTTGAGGTATCAGTGTTTCCATCATGACAGAGGTCCTTGCTCTAACAGCAACAGAAACAAGTAAATAACTTTGCTCAGTTATTTTCTCAGACTTTGCGAAGGGTCATATTGATGTATGTCTGTTTCCTTAGTTGTTCCGTGTAGGCTGTTGTTGACTCTCGTATGAAAGCCCACGCGATCCAAGTGCCCTGCAGGTTTTGGTCCAGGGAAAAGTTGGTCTCTGCAGATGACTGTAAATGACTACCTGGAGGTCGATTAAAGTGCGGTACTGCGGGATTCAGCCGATTTCCTTCTTCCTCTGACTGCCCGGAAATATCAGCCAAAGGCCAGCGGTAGTAATTAACACAATTACCTGCCTATGATTTCTGTCCTATTTAAGATGGGTTCTATTATGTTTTTATCTATACTTGTCTTCATTAACTTTTCGTGATATCATAAGCCCCCCGAATCCCTCGAAAGTAGATGGGATTCTGAGCACACACACACACAAATTCAGATCCCCAAAGGACAGTAAAACGAATTATTGGCTTAATATATCATCTTAGCTAACCAAAAGCCTGTGTCAGCTGCCATGTTGAAAATCTGCTTACCAGCTGCAGGGAGCTTACAATCTGGTAAGGCAAATAAATCATACGCATAAAAAGTACAATAAGAGACAGTGTAAAGATACGTAAGTGATACTAATACCCATATCAGCAATGATCATAACTCACTTCTCCATTTTTAACTAAGAATCATATAACCTTTCCTTCTTGTCGTTTTAAACTGATTTTTATAACTTTGATACATTACGTTTCTGTTTCCAAAACACTTCTGTGTACGTTATTGCACATGTTCTGTGCACTAGTTATTACTGATGGAGACAATGAGCTCAGAAAGAGAATTTGTTTAAATTCAGGAATTCATATCCCATTATTTTACCATCGAGCAAGATCTCTGTGTATTAGATCTATGGAGCCTAATACACAGACAGTAACGTAGGGATTATTTGTACTTGGTCTAGAATCTAGAATATTCTCCCCTTCTCCCATTATCACATTCCTTGTTTCCTCTGTATCATTCAGGCCCAAATCTCATACCAAACAGAATGTCTCTGTTCACCTAGTCTAAAATAGCTTACTCTCTCCACTTCCAAACCTCAGCCCCAAACCTATCACCCTGTGAACATATTTTATAGGTTTGTTTAATCCCCTTCCCTGTGTGGTTTTACAAATTCTCCAGAGCTTAGCTTAAACCTTCTCTTAGGGCCTACTTCAGAGTACCTTTTTCCAAAACAGTATTGTTTATGTAATTCATTTGGCAGTTATTCTAGTATTGCCTTATGACGTCTCTCCTATTGTCCTGAATTATTTTCATGTGTGTTATCTTGCAAAATAGAATGTACAGTACTTGAGAGGGAATGTCATGTATACCTTTTACAAATAGTATACATGAGTAAATGTTATTAATGACTCCACAATAGATTTATTACTGTCAAGGGTAACACTGCTTTTTATATTCTATCTGCCTTTACTTCCCTCACTTTTATTAAGGAAATATAAATATGCAGTTCATAACTTGCTTAACTATATTAAATGAACCCAACAATTTTATTAAAATATTTTTTACTGCATTGGTCAGGGGAAGAAGAGGACTAAAGTAATAGGGGCTCACTCAGTCTGTAATGATCATCTTGCTTGGTGCTGATCTGTGGCTTCTTAGCAGGATTCTGAGGGACTCGTATTCTATTTCCAGCTCTACCACCAATTGTCTGTGTGACATTGGTCACACAGGATCCTATGTGTGACATAACCTCTTCCATGTATTAATTTCAATGGAAAGGCATCGGATGAGATCATCTCTAAGTCTAGGTGTTTTTTAGATATACTCACTAACTTTTTATTGGGTCACAAACTTTATTCTACCTCAAACCCTTCTTTTTTCCCCCAAGACTTATTTGAATAGCTCCATAATTCTACCAGTTTCTCAAGGAAGAAACCATGATGCTGCTCTTCTTTGACTCCCTATATCCAATCCATCTCCAAGTGTTTTTGGCTCTATTTCTAAAATACAGAAAAATCCATTTATTTCTCTTTATTCCCACTGTTAACAATCTAGTATAACCCACCATCATTTTTCATCTGAAATACTAATCAGTTTTCTAGCCTGCCTGAGAAAGGGGAGCACTCTCTTCCAATGTCTTCTATGCCATAAGCACAACTTGCTTTCAGAGCTAAATCTAGAAATCTATGCCCTTAATTCTTATGTTACATTGCCCTCTAATTAGACTGAGAAGGAGAGGCCAGCAAGGTAGGAAACCTGAAGAATGTTGTGGCACAGAAACTAAAAGACGAGTGTTTCAAGGACTAGTTAACAGTGTGAATTATCCTAAGAGGTGAAATAAGATGAGGAGAGAGAAGTGAGAATTTACCTTCAAGATGGTAGTGTGGTGACATTGACAAGGGCAGTTTTAATGGAGTAAAAGAAAGGAATTTTATTGTAGTGGGTTGAGACGATAACTGGAGGTGATGCTACCACAGAGTGTCCTTTAAAGAAGTTTTTCTGGATTTAGGAAGTAGAAAAATGGAATGGTAGCTAGAGGGAATAAAAGGTCAAAGGACAGATTTTTGTTTGATGTTTGTTTAAAGATGGAAGATACTAGAATTTGCATGCTAATGGAAAATGTCTAGTAGGGTGGGAGAAGCTCTTAATGTATGAGAAGGAAGGGGTATGTGTGTGGGGGGGGGTGTTCGGCATTCTAAAGTAGACTCCAGGGTAGAGGACCTTGTCTATGTTGTTTTTCGCTGTATTTCTAGTATCTAGAATAGTACCTGCCACAATATTTGTTACTCCATAAACTGTCTAATATTTGTTGAATAAATGAATGACTTGGACCCTACTTCTCTTACCTCCTTTCAATTCATTCTTGACATATTAGCTAGAAAAATATTTTTTAAAAAAATGATGTCATGTCACTGTCCAATTTAAAGTAATCAGTCGTTCCTATTTCACTTAGAATAAAATCCCAGCTCCTGTGACCCATAGCATCCTGACTGAGGTAGCAACTGCCTTCTGCAGCCCTATCTCCTAACCCTCTTCCTTTCATTAACTACTCCAGCCACACTGGCCGCCTTTAATTTCCTAAAACTGAAGGACTCCTTTACCCCTGTAGGGCTTTATATGTGATTTCTTCCACCAACCCCTTACCTTCTTATCATTCAATTCTCAAATGACACTTCAGAAAGGCTTTCCCTAATATTGTAGTGGCTGAAAGCAAGGGCTCTTGAGCCAAACTGAGTTCACATACCAACTCCCTGCTTACTTGCTATATGATCTTAGCCAAATTACTTAAATTATCAAAGCCTGTTTTCTCTGTTTGTAAAATGAAGATAAGTATCTCCTTTATCCAGTTTTTTTTTTGAAGATTAAAAGAGTATGTGTAAAACATATAGCATGGGACCAGGCATGGTGGCTCATGCCTGTAGTCAACAGCACTTTGGGAGGCTGAGGCATGAGGATCACTTAAGGCCAGGAGTTTGAGACCAACTTGGGTAACATAGTGAGATCCCATCTCTAAATTAAAAAAAAAAAAAAAAAAAAAGCTGAGTGTGCTAATGCACGCCTGTAAATCCCAGCTACTCAGGAGGATGAAGTGGGAGGACTGCTTGAGCCCAGGAGGTTGAGGCTTCAGTGAGCTGTGATCTTGCCACTGCAGTCCATCCTGGGTGACACAGCAAGACCCTGTCTCAAAAAAACAAACAAAAAATATAGTACAAAGCATGGCACATTATAAGCACTGTATAAGTGTTCCCTGTTACCCCTTTTGTTATTGTCTGAAATTGAATGCCCCATTGTTCATTTTTATTTCCACTTCCTACTTGTGTCTTCACAGTACTTATAAAAATGTATAATTATTTATTTGCCTACTTTATTTATTATGTCATTTTCACCAGATACTGGACAAGGAAAAAGCAGGGACCATGTCTGTCTTTTATTCTCTTTATATCTCTAGTGCCTAATTCGGTGCTTGTCATATACTTAGCATCTATAATAAATATTTACTAAAATAGGCCAGAAATCATGCTGTATATTGAAACATCAGTGACGAAACTAAGATCACTGTAGGACCCAGTGAAATCAAAGCCCAGATCAGGCAGAGCACAGCTTTAGTTTAACGTTCTGCTTTTATCAAGTGGCATATGATTTTTGTCATTACTTTTTATCAAAGGCTTGGTTCTTAGGCTTGACTCTTCTACCTTTATTCATTCAATTCTTTAAATCAAATTTTAATGGAAGGCTTTTAAAAAAAAGAATAACAATCATTTTAAAAATTGAGTCAGTGTTTTGGGCAGGAAGGTGTTTCATTGAAGCTGGGGTGTAATCTTAAAAGTACACTATTTTATATACTACTAAGAAAAAAAATGCCAACTATGGCACAACTCTTTATCACTAAGAATTTTTTCTACTCATGCAAAGAGCCCCCTTTTAAAAAAATCATATAACACCCTTGCACCTACATACAAAGAACAATATGAGCAAAATTCATTGGCTGAGGCATTCCTAAAACTTCTTAACATTCAAAGTGTCTTTTCATTGATTTTCAACTCAGAGTCTCTGTGTCCATGTTTTATTTTCATAATATCATTCTCTGTTTAGAGCATTAGTGATATATCATTTCTTAAATCAATGTCCATTATTATCTCCAAGGTTTTCTTCCAACACACTGATATCCATTCTTCAAATTTAATACACATGTAATGACAAATATGTCATGACTACTACCCAACCAGAGTGATTTTAAGATGCCTGTCAGTTTCAGATAAGTGTGAAAAAATTTGTGTCTTAAAATCAATGAAATAGCATAATTGAATTTGAAGAATATTTGAAGAAAAATAATTGCCTTATAAATCTTTTGCCAAGAATTGAGAATTGTTTAACTGTTAATAATGTTATTGATTTTAATCATTAATATTTACATATAATTTGACGATATTAACTTAATATTCATTGTATCATTTAAGTCTCACAACAGTCCAGTGTCATAGGTGTGTCCACTTTGCAGATGAGGAAGCCAAAGCCTCAGAGAGCCTAAGTAGGAGTCACTAATAAGTGATGAACCATTTAGGACTATTTCTCTAGTTGCAAATGTCATATTCTTTGTTATTTGCAAAATACACTTATACAAGTAGGATTTACTCAAATGAAATTTAAGAAATAGAAATTTTCAGCTCCTTAGATTTGTCATTCTGTATAGAATATACATGGCAGACTTTTTTTAAAAACAGTGTTATAAAAGTGAATAGCTATCTGTGATTCTTTATATTATTTTAGGATAGTTGAAATTTTCAAGTAAAACTTGTTTTTGTTACTATTTATAGAAATAAAAATAACTTTGTGTTTACATCATGTGGTCCACTTATTCATGAACCATGAGGCTCAATAATTGACTTAATCCAACACAAGATCTAAATTACATACATGATTTTCATGACAGTAAAGTTAATTAAAAAGTGTTTGTGGTTAGAGTTTTAAAAATTGATATTCTCAGGACCTATGCCACTATGCAGAAATACAGTTTTTATTCTTTTGGAAGTATCTCCTTTAGTCACCTTTTTACTGTTTTATTTCCGACTTATTTTACAATACAGAGGAATGATTTTATACCAATTAAATAATTATGTTTTATTTGCATTTTCTATGTTTTGAGCAAGAAGAAAGCTGGAACATCAAAATAGTTTCTGAATTGATTGATCTTTTGTTATCTTTTAATATCTTAAAATAATTACACAAGAAGTTGTAAAGATAGAGTTTCCATGTACCCTTCACCCTGTTTCCCCATATGGGTGCATACATAATTCTAGTAAAAGATCAAAACCAGGAATTTGACATTAGTACAATGTGTGTGTGTAGTTTCTTGTAATTTTCTCACGTGTAGATTCCTGTAACCTATCTAAATTATGTGTATCAACACTTCATCCATTTTTAATGGCGAGTAGTATTCCACGGTATGGATGTACCATGATTTGTTTACTCTTTCACCTATTGTGCAACATTTTGGTTGTCCTCAGCTTTTGGCTATACAAATGAAGCATTATGAAACATGTAGAGGCTATTGCACACACACAAGCTTTTATTTCTAATGGTCAGCAGCATGATTCTTGGGTAATATGGTATGTGTATGTTTAGTTTTTTTAAGAAACTGCCAAACTATTTCCACCAGCAATGTATGGGTGATCCAGTGTCTCTGCAAGCCCTCAAGCATTTGGTGTTGTCATTATATTTTATTTTAGCTATTTTGATAGATGGTTAGGGATATTTATTGCAGTCTTAATTTCCATTTCCATAATGACTAATGATGTTGAACATCTTTTCATGTGCTTATTTGCCATCTGTATATTCTCTTTGGTGAAATATCTCTTTGTGCCTTTTGCGCATTTTTTAAATTGAATTGTCTGGTGTTTTTACTGGTAAGTTTTCAGATTTCTTTATAGATTATTTCTTTATTAGATTCAGTTTGCAAATATTTTTTTCCTGGCTCATAGCTTGTCTTTTCATCCTCTTAAATAAAGGGACTTTCACAGAGGAAAAATATAATTTTGATATAAAATCCAATCTATTAATTTTTTTCATTTATGTGTTATGCTTTTGATGTCTAAGAGCTCATTAATGAGACCCTGGTTGCAAGGATTTTCTTCTGTATTTGCCTCTAAAAGTTTTATATTTTACATTTAAATCTATGACCGTTTTGAGTTAATTTTTACATAAAGTATGAAGTATAGGTCAAGGTTCATTTTTTTGTTGCCTGTGGATATCCATTTTCTTCAGCATTTTTTGTTAAAAAAGATTCTTTTTCTTCCATTGAATTGCATTTGTACCTTTGTCAAAAGTCACTTGGCTGTACTGTATGGGGCTACTTCTCAATTGTGTATTGCATTCCACTGATCTATGTGTCTCTCCTTTCACTAATATTACACAGTATTGATTACCATAGCTATAGTAAGTCTTGAAATCAGGTAGACTGATACTTCCCTCATTATTATTCTTTTTGGTTGTATTAGATATTCTATTTTCTTTATCATTACATATAAATTTTACAGTAATCTCATCTGTATATACAAAAAATTGTGCCAGGATTTTGATAAAAAATGTGTTAAACCTTTATATCAGTTTGGAGGAAATTAAGGGGACATCTTTATTAAGTTGACTTTTCCAATTTGCAGACATGGCATGTCTTTCCATTTTAGTCTTCTTTTATTTTTTTTTTTAGCATTTTATATTTTTCAGCATACAAGTCCTGTGCATGTTTTGTTAGATTTATACGTAAGTATTTCTTTCACTTCTTTTTTTTTTGAACTATTATACTTTTAATTTTTGTTTTTGTTTTAATTTTTGTTTCTATGTGTTTATTGCTGGTATATAGAAATATGATTGATTTTCGTGTGATGCTCTTGTGTCCTGTGGCATTGCTGAACTTGCTGATTCGTTCTATGAGGTTTTTTTCTGGTAGATTCCTTTGGAGTTTCTACATGGACTATCTTGGAATTTGCAAATAGAGGCAGTTTTGTTTCTTCCTTTCCGATGTATATGCCTTTTATTGAATTTTCTTGTTTTAGTGTGCTTGCTAGAGCTTACATGCACTTGGAAACTGAATAATATACTTCTAAATAAGTGTGAACTATGATGAATAGCAGTGGTAAGGGTGGACATCCTTGCTGTTTTCCTCATCTTAGGGGGAAGGCATTCCATAATTTAGCATAATGTTATCTATAGGTTTTTTGTAGATTTTTCTCTACCAAGTTGAGAAGGGGGAACTTTTCCCCTCTCTTTCTCTTTTCCTAAGAGTTTTCCCCATAACTGGGTGTTGTATTTTTTCAAATGCTTTTTATGCATCAGTTGATATGGTCTTGTGTTTTTTCTTCTTTAGCTGCCTAATAGGATAAATTACACTAATCGGTATTCAAATATTGAAACAGCCTTACATCCTTAGATAAACTTACTTAGCCATAGTGTATAATTCCTTTTATATATTGCTGATTTTTTGCTAATATTTTTTAAACAATTTTTGCATCTATATTTGTGAGGTATATTGGTCCATAGTGTGGGATTTTGGTTTTTGTTTGTTTGTTTTGGGTACCGTCTTTGTCTGGAGTACCACAGTAATACTCACTTCATAAAATTAGTTGGGAGTCTTCCTTCTGCTTCTGTTTTCTTGAAGAAGTTGTGTAGAACTGGTATTAATTCTTCTTTAAACTTTTGGTAAATTTAATCTCCTTAATGGTTACAGGGCTGTTCAAATTATATATTTCATATTGGGTGAGTTGTAGTAATGTAAGCACTTAATGCTAAAAATTTTCCTCTCACACTATTTTAGCTGCATCATACACATTTTGATATATTGTATTTTAGATTTTCTTCAGTTCAATGTATGTTTTAAATTACACTTGAAACTTTCTCTTTGATCCATGGATTATTTAGAAGTGTGTTATTATGTTTCCAAGTGTGTGGAGATGTTTATGTTATCTTTTTGTTATTGATTTTTAGTTTGATTTCATCGTGGTGAAAGAATATGTAGTCTGCTGTTGTTAGGTGGAGTTTTCTATAAATGTTGATTAGATTCTGTTGATTGATGGTGTTGTTGAGCTCTATATGCTTACTGACTTCTTGTCTAGTTCTATTAATTTTAGAGAGAAGAGTGTTGAAGTCTCCAGCTATAATAGTGGATTTGTCTATTTTTTTTTCAGTTTTATCAGTTTTTGCTTCACATATTTTACAGCTCTATCATTTGGTGCATATATATTTTTGACTGCTAGTCTTCTCGGTGGTGGATGGGCATTACATAATATTCCTTTCCCTTCCTCAAGTCTACTTTATCTTGTAATTATATTGCCATGCCTGCTTTATTTTAATTAATGCTTGCATAGTATATCTTTTCCTATCCTTTTACTTTCAACCTACTTATTATATTTGAAGTGAATTTACTTGTAGGAAGCATAAAGTTGGGTCACTTTTTAATCTTCTCTGGTAATCTATCTTTTAATTGGTATATGTAGACCACTTACATTTAGTGCAATTATTGCAACGTCAGTATTGAAGTCTGTAATTTATTTTCTGTTTTCTGTTTATTCTGTTTTTATTTCTGTTTTTTCTGTCTGTCTCCTGTGGCTTACTTGAACTTTTTTTAGAATTTAATTTTGATTTAGCTATAGTGACTTATGAACGTTATCTCTTTGAATAGACCTTTTTTTTTTTTGACGGAGTTTTGCTCTTGTCTCCCAGGCTGTAGTGCAGTGGCACGATCTCGGCTCACTGCAACCTCTGCCTCCCGGGTTCAAGCAATTCTTCTGCCTCAGCCTCCTGAGTAGCTGGGAGCCTACCACTCCAGGTGCCTGCCACCACACCCAGCTAATTTTTGTATTTTTAGTAGAGAGGTGTTTCACCATGTTGGCCAAGATGGTCTTGAACTCCTGACCTCAGGTAATCTGCCCTCCTCGGCCTCCCCAAGTGTTGGGATTACACGTGTGAGCCACCATGCCTGGCCTGCATAGATGTTTTAGTGATTATTTAGCCTTCTCCAATATCATTCTAGTAGGAGGAGAACGATAGAAGCACCTCATTATAGCCTGTCATTAGTGAAATTCTAGGCTCTCCGTTGTACCTTTGCAGGCTTGGGTGGGTATAGAGCCAGAATTTTTTTGTGTGGTCTTCTGCTCTGGTGGAGTGGTTATTTCCTTAAAACTTTTGTCTTGTTAGGTTGCTCCTTTTCTGGTTCTGTGATTAAAGAGGGCAGTTTGGAGGCTGTTTATGTGTGTGCCCACTGGTGTATCAGGGTTGCAGCTTTTGTAGGATCTAGAACATACTAGGCAAAAGGAAAACCCAGGGAACTCACCAGTATGTTGTTCCTCAGATCACTAGTCAGTCTGATTTCATCTTTCCACTTTTCATCATCTTCATTTATTTGTCTTCATATGTATGTATATATATGTTTATTTATATTTATATATACCTCCAGGGTTTTTCGTTATTGTTGTTGTTGTTGTTTTTGTTTTTTTTGTACTTAGCAGGAGAAATAGGGAAAGATACATCTAAACCTTACTGGAAGCAGAGTCTTTTTGTTTTTTTTTTTTTTAATAGGGATTATATTTTTAAGAATCAAATCAAATACTATGTGAACTCTGTGGCACAGCTTACTGGCTCACCAAATATTAGCTGGTATTATCATGTATGTCATCCTTATTAAGAATGATCTTAAATTGCTGTGGTAACTTTTGACAAGTACATTTATAGTTGGATCTAAAGAGCACTAAAATTGCTTTCTGAGCTTTCATTTGATATTAAAATCCAGGGTCAGAATGATTCATTTTGGAAATAACATGGACATTTAGTGGAATAAGCATGTTTCTACTAGTTTTATGTTTTTAGGCATGTTATTTAATCTCTGAGCCTCAATTTGCTGTTTGAAAAAGTAATTATTAATACCAATCTTAAAGGATTATTATGAGTGTTGGATGAAATAACTGTATAAATTATTTTTGATAAATCCCGGTACCTTCATTCTTATTATATCACTAAACAACTAAACAACAAATAAATGGCTAGAAACGGAACCATTTGTTTGCCTATCAGTGTTTACCTGTCAACAGAAATAGAAGTTTTGCTGTATAGTATTGTTCTCCAATTTATTGGTTTAAAGGTCCAAAACATTTTGCTGTATGATGTGGATGTAGATATTGAATTTAGATTGTTGTGATCATTGTCAAAATTTCCCTCCATATATGCCCTTTGTTTTCAGTTTATTAACATGCACAAGTTTCTCCCATCTATACCAAAGCAAAACAAAATTTCCTGGTATCTACATGCTCCTCTAGGCCCCACCTGATGATTTTTTTTTTTTTTTTTTTTTTGAGACAGTCTTGCTCTGTCATCCAGGCTGGAGTGCAGTGGTGTGATCTCAGCTTACTGCAACCTCTGCCTCCTGGGTTCAAGCGATTCTCCTGCCTGAGCCTCCTGAGTAGCTGGGATTATAGGTGCCCACTACCATGCCTGGCTAATTTTTGTATTTTTAGTAGAGACGGGGTTTTACCGTGTTGGCCAGGCTGGTCTTGAACTCCTGATCTCTGGTGATCCACCTGCCTCAGCCCCCCAAAGTGCTGGGATTACAGGCATGAGCCACCGCGCCCAGCCTTGATGAACTTTTTAAAAGAATAATGTCTATAAATTGTGCCCATTATTTCCACTTAACTCCACTCTAATCCGTTCTCTCCCTATTTTACCCCAAATTATCAGTGACTTTTTTCCCATCACCTTTTGATGATATAGGTGACAACTTCATACTTGAAATTCTCTTCCCTTAGTTTCTACTGCCTCTCCTGGTTTTCCTCCATTTCTCTCACTGTTCCATGTGAATTCTTCCTCAACCATATACCTTGCTCACTTTGTGTCATTCACAAATTCTATTTTCCACTATATTTTCAATCCATCTAGACCAGCACTGGGTATGTAGCAAGTGCTCCACAGATAACATGTGTACATATCGATCATGTATAGAACAAAAACAGGCCGGGCGCGGTGGCTCACGCCTGTAGTCCCAGCACTTTGGGAGGCCAAGGTGGGCGGATCACGAGGTCAAGAGATCAAGACCATCTTGGCCAACATGGTGAAACCCCGTCTCTACTAAAAATACGAAAATTATTATGTATTTTTGAACAAAACCATTGTGAAAAAAATATTCAGTATCTACCCCACATCCTTTTCCCCATGTCTCCCCTACTGGATAGCCTGGAGGATGGGGTAGTAATTACTGCTTTAGAATGTTCCATGTTGATCAAATATCCTTGCCAACATCTATTATTCTAATCTTCCAGAGAACTTTTAGAAATCCAGTGGAATATAAGGTTGTAGGAGATAACCTATCTTTTGATCCTCAGTGTCTAACTTCTTCTATCACATTAGAGGGATTTAAATACATATCTTTTAGTGGATGAAAATATAGAGCGATTCCAAGGGGCATCCAGGCAATCTGGACTGAGTCACCCGATTCTGTAGTTATTTTAGACAGGCCATAGAGATTCCCTATAATACTATTATAGGTTATGGATGCCCGAGCTCATCACTAGACTGGAGAATGAGACCAGGAGTAACATCTTGGCTACACTGTGACACTGAGAAGACACCTTGATCCTTTGCACAGCTTTAACACATTTCTGTCAAACTAGTATAGACTGTTTTCAATCATATTGTCTGTTTATCTGCTTTGCGTGCCCTTTTGCATAGTATAAATACTTCCTGGCTATTCCTTTTATATTTATTTATTTATTTAGAAACAGAGCCTCACTCTGTCACCCAGGCTGGAGTGCAATGGCATGATCTTGGCCCACTGCAACCTCTGCCTCCCAGGCTCAAGCGATCCTCTCGGTGAGCCTCTCGAGTAGCTGGGATTACAGGCAGCTGCCATCATGCCCGGCTAATTTTTGTATTTTCATAGAGACGGGGTTTCACCATTTTGGCCAGGCTAGTCTTGAACTCCTGACCTGAGGTGATCCACCCGCCTCGGCCTCCTAAAGTGCTGGGATTACAGGGGTGAGCCACCACTCCCGGTCCCTGGCTATTTCTTTTAAACATTTGTTTTCATCATCTTGGAGTTAGGGAGGCTGGCACAAATCTCCCACCAATTCTTTATTATTTCCTTTGATTCTGACACTCCAGATTAAACACCTTTGCAATGATAGCGCTTGTGTTCAACTTCGCTCTTATGCCCTAGGAATTATTAGAGAGCTGCTTCTCTTGTCCCTTCCTCCACCATTTTATAAGTGTAAACTTATTGATTAATGTCAATGAAATGATTTGCTTGTCTTTTCTGTTAAGTTTCTTAGAAAATAAGCCTTAACTTCCACTTATTTTACACACATTATATGCTAAATTACGTTTCTTTTTGAGACAGAGTCTCTCTCTGTCACCAGGCTGGAGTGCAGTGTTAGGATCTCGGCTTACTGCAACCTCCACCTCCCGGGTTCAAGCGATTCTCCTGCCTTAGCCTCCCGAGTAGCTGGGACTACAGGCATGCGCCACCACACCCAGCTAAATTTTGCATTTTTATTAGAGAAGGGGTTTCACCATGTTGGCCAGGATGGTGTCGATCTCTTGACCATGTGATCTGCCCATCTCAGCCTTCCAAAGTGCTGGGATTACAGGCATAAGCCACTGCACCCGGCCAATTATGTATTTTTTAAAATATTCTCAACAACACAACTAGATAGATATAGTTTATCTGCAGTTTACAAATGATGAAAATAATAAAAAATTAGAAGTTATTTACCTCAAATATGTCACAAGTAAATGCTGAACCAGCACTGGAACTCAAGCCTGATTCTAATGCCCTACTTTTTCTTTCATTTCGCATTGTTAAAATAAAAGCTTTAGATAAATAAAATTTAACGGAGTTTGAGCAAAGAACAATTCATGAATCAGGTAGCATTCAAAACTGAAGGAGGTTCAGAGAGCTCCACTCCAGCAGTGTGACCAGCAAGCTTTTATAGGTTGAACATGGAAACAAAGTAGAGAAATTACCTGATTGACTATGGCTAGGCATTTGCCTTATTTGGATATTGTCTGATGGAAGTTCCCTATTTGTAACCAGCAGGTTGGTTGGCTGTTTGTGATTGGCTAAGGCTTGTTTTTGGTTTTTGGTTTTTAAGTCAGTTACAATAAATGTTTCCAAGTTAAGTTTCAGTTCTCTTACATAAGAGGGCTGGCTACAGAGGGTAACCTCAGGCTAATAGCCATCTTATTTAACAACATTATATCACACTCTTGGGAAGATGTATGATTTTTATACAAACTAATATTTCATATCTGTGTATTTTATAAATATTAGAAAAGAAGAGAAAACATGCATAATTTTAAAAACAGTCTTACAAGTGACTTATGAAGATGCCTTGTGAGGTAAAGAATTAGTTCTGGGACATTAGCCATATATAATTGTCTTTATGCCTCACTGTAATTTGAAATACTCTTTTTCTGTCCTAGGTCATATGTTATCAACATTGTTAAGTCAAGATTTGAACTGTTGTGACAGTTAATTTCATTTATAAGCTTGCCTGGGCCATCTGGTGCCCAGACATTTGGTCAGACATTCTGAATGTGTCTGTAAGGATATTTCTGGATGAGATTAACATGTGAATCAGGAGACCAAGTAAAGCAGATTCTCCTGTGTGGTGGGCCTTATCCAATCAAATGAAGAATTGAATAGAATAAAAGACTGAGTAATAGGAAATTTATCCTGCCTATTTGAGTTGGGACATACATCAGTCTTTTCCTGCCATTGGACTCAAATTGAAAAACTGACTCCTCTTGGGTCTTATGCTTGCCAGCTTTTGGATTGAAACTTACACCATTGGCTGTTGTGGTTCTCAGGCCTTTGCACTTGTACTGAAACTGTACTGTCAGCTCTCCTGGGTATCCAGCTAACTAGTTGTAGATCTTGGGACTTCTTAGCCTCTATTATCACATGAGCTTATAATAAATCAATCTTTCACTGTCTCTCTCTCTTGCTCTCTCTCTCTGCCCTCATCTTCATCCATCACATTGGTTTTGTTTTCTCTAGTTCCTTTTCCTCAGAAATAACCTCCAAGCCTTTCATTATCTCTCTTCCTCCATGATACCCACTCTCATTTTTAATATGTCTCCCTATTCATAGTTACTCAGAACACTACACACAAAATGATTTCTACAAGTCACTTAGATTTCCAGCAGTACTGCCAGTTACAACCTATTACTTTCTCCTGCACACACAGGCACATACACACCTCCACAGCCACACACACATTCACACAGGCACGCTATTTTTCCACACAGTGTAATGGCTATCCAGTGGAACTTTCTGTGATGATGAGAATGTTTTATATTTGCTTTGTATAATATAGTAGTCACTAGGCAGATGTATTAATCTGACTTATTCAGAAAAACAGAACTAAAGGGATATATATATACACACACACATATATGTATATGTATTTGTACTATACATATGTATAGGTATTTTTACTATATACTTGTATATGTGTTTGTAATATATATATATGGAGAGAGACAGACAGAAAAACTATAAGGAATTAGCTCATGTGATTATGGAGGCTGAGAAGACCCAAGATTTGTAGTCAGCAAGCAGGAGACTTAGGAGAGCTGATGGTATAGTTCCAGTTTGAGTTCCAGCTTGAAGTCAGGCAGAAAGAAAGAGTTCTTTCTTATTCAGCCTTTTGTTCTATTCAGACCTTCAACAGACAGGCTGAGGCACATCTACAGTGGGGAGGACAATCTGCTTTACTCAGTGTACCAATTCAAATGTTAATCTCATCTAGAACACTCTCACAGACATACCCAGAAGTAATGTTTAACCAAAAATGTGGGCACTCTGTGTCCCAAACAAATTGTCACTCATCACACCACATATGACTGACCACTTAAATGTGGCTAGAGCAATGAGGGACCTGAATTTTTAGTTTTGTTTACTTACAAGTAATTTAAATAGCTACACATGGCTCATGGTTACTGTATTGCATAGCACAACAGTAGATTGTCTTGGTCCTGGAATGGAGCCTTAATTGATGCTGTAGGACAATTTGGACTACTTCTCCAGTATCTAGCTTCCACCTAGGCCTCTTGGAACACCCGCTCTGGGAGAACCAAGCTTCATGCAAGAAGCCCAGCCACTCTGAGACTGTCATGCTGTGAAGAAGCACCAGCTAGCCACTTGGAGAGGGTGCATTAAGAAAGAGAAAACCCTAATGATCAGTGAGGATGAGATTTTTTTCATATATTTGTTGGCCACATAACTGTCTTCTTTTGAGAAGTGTCATATCCTTCTTTTGAGAGGTGTCATATTCTTTGCCCACTTTTTGATGGGGTTGTTTGTTTTTTTCTTGCAAATTTGTTTAAGTTCCTTGTAGATTCTGGATATTAGACCTTTTTCAGATGGGTAGATTGCAAAAATTTTCTCCCATTCTGTAGGTTGCCTGTTCACTCTGATGCTAGTTTCTTTTGCTATGCAGAAGCTCTTTAGTTTAATTAGATCCCATTTGTCAATTTTGGCTTTCGTTGCAATTGCTTTTGGTGTTTTAGTCATGAAGTCTTTGCCCATGCCTATGTCCTGAATGGTATTGCCTAGGTTTTCTTCCAGGTCTCTTATGGTTTGGGGTTTTACACTTAAGTCTCTAATCCATCTTGAGTTAATTTTTGTATAAGGTGTAAGGAAGGGGTCCAGTTTCAGTTTTCTGCATACAGCTAGCCAGTTTTCCCAGGGCCATTTATTATATAGGGAATCCTTTCCCCATTGCTTGTTTTTGTCAGGTTTGTCAAAGATCAGATGGTTGTAAATGTGTGCCCACATGGTATACAGCTTCACAAAAGATTGAATAAAGAAGCAGATATGAGAATCTAGTTGTCTTCCATTAAGCCAGATGTTAAAGAGATTTGCAAAAATATAAAACAATGTAACCCTTCTCAAGAAACTTTTTTTTTGTTTTGGAAAATAGTTATTTTACAGTTATCCATTTATATATTTTTGTAGTTATATATAGTTATATACATAGGTATGTATATAAAATGGATATATATGAATATGTGTATTAAATAGATATATCGAATATAGTTATATCAAATTTTTTCTTTTTAAATGAATCAATAAATATTTAAGTGTTCTCAGAAAAAAAAAACAAAAAAAGGAAGAAAGATCCCCTCTCTTCTAGCCGTCCCAGCTGAATCATAAGAAACGTGAATGAGGAAACCATACTGGACATGTAACCCAGTCAGACCTTCAGATGGCTTCAGCCACAGCTGCCATTTGCCTGTAGTTGTATGAAAGCTCCCAAGCAAGAATCATCACCTAAACTCACAGGACCATTAGAGATTATAAATTGTTGTCTTAAGCCACTAATTTTAGGGTGATAACTGGAACAGAAATGTCGAATCAAGGTTTTCTATTTTTCTGGTTCTCCAAGTTCCCAATCCTCTTTTCCTTTCTGTTTCCCACTTCCTTGCTTTTGATGATGCAACTTTTATGTTTAGAGCTGAATTTGCAGTTCATGATATTCACAATTATCTGATCTTTACCTATCTTGGATTTCTGACCTCATGTTTAAAAAATCTTTCTTAATTAAGATATATGTGATTTTCCTTTCTACTTTTAAATAGCCCAACTTGGAAAAGTGCTTGCCTTTTTCTTCTTCACTAAAGCCATAACTAATTAATGCAATCTAACACTGATCTTTTTCAACCAATTATCTTGTAAAAGTCTAACCTCAGAAGGCATATAGTCTATGGTCCAAGATCAGCATTTTAACAGCTACTTTGTTACCAGAAGAGAATGGATTGGAAAGGAGGGGGATTGTGTTGGGCATATACTCAAAACTATGTTAGAAATAATACCTCTTATGTATAGTAATAATATTAATCATGTAGTGAAATCCTATATAAGCTATTTATACAACTTGTACATTTTGCTATTTAACACAATTATATAGCCTTCAATGTTAGCCCTTATGAAAAATATACTTTTATTCCAATGAGCTCAACATTTATGAAAATTCAAAAGGAATTTAATATTAAATGTCAGGAAAACAAATGTTTAAAACAAGTTTTACTGTCTTATTATTTTTCTTAGTGGTTATTTTTGTGTATTTGCCATCAAGAGGGCGAATTTTGGAGTCTGAAACTTGCATTAGGTCTCTACTACATCGGTGATTTTGTTTTTATTCTAGTTCTAAGGACATATGGAATTGGCTATGGATAATTCATATGCTTTCAATCAACGAAGCACATGTAATGGAATTCCATCTGAGAAGAAAAACAACTTCCTTGTATCAGAAGATCATGGACAAAAAATCTTAAGTGTACTACAGAATTTTAGAGAACAAAATGTCTTTTATGATTTCAAAATAATTATGAAAGATGAAATAATCCCGTGTCATCGTTGTGTGTTAGCAGCATGCAGTGACTTTTTCAGGTACTTTACCTTGTCTATGCCTCAGATTTTATGATTTGGATAATTAAGTTCTATTTTATACTGCACTCAAGTTTTTCCCCACAAGAACATGCAACAGTAATTTTTAATTCTAAAAAAAAAAACAAAAACAAAACCTAATTAGGCTGGGCACGGTGGCTCACGCCTGTAATCCCAACACCCTAAGAGGCCAAGGCGGGCGGATCACCTGAGGTCAGGACTTCAAGACCAGCCTGGCCAACATGGTGAAACTCCGTCTCTACTAAAAATACAAAAATTAGCCGGTCGCAATGGCGTGCGCCTGTAATCCCAGCTATACAGGAGGCTGAGGCACAAGAATCGCTTGAACCCAGGAGGCTGAGGTTGGGTGAGCTGAGATCGCGCCACCGCACTCCAGCCTGGGCAATGGAGCGAGACTCCATCTCAAAAAAACAAAAACAAAAAACCTAATTAGAACCAAGATTAACTAATGATTTTTTTTTTTTTTTAGAGGGAGTCTCGCTCTGTCGCCCAGGCTGGAGTGCAGTGGTGCGATCTCGGCTCACTGCAAGCTCCGCCTCCCGGCTTCCAGCCATTCTCCTGCCTCAGCCTCCCAAGTAGCTGGGACTAGTGCCCGCCACCACACCCGGCTAATTTTTTGTATTTTTAGTAGAGACGGGGTTTCACCGTGTTAGCCAGGATGGTCTCAATCTCCTGACCTCGTGATCCGCCCACTTCGGCCTCCCAAAGTGCTGGGATTACAGGTGTGAGCCACTGCGCTGGGCCGTGATTTTTTAGTAGGAGAGAATTTAAGACTACCTTTTTTTAACGTATAGGTCTTCCCAGGTCAGCATTTCCCAAAGTTCTCTGGAACATTAATCCCTTGAACTACGCTGGGACAGAAGAAATTTTTTTGATGGTGTCAGCTTTGTTTGGGGGATCCCTGTGTTGTATTATTTTAGAAAAAGAAGACGACAGGTTGAACAAAAATGGAAGCAAAATTTGAAGAAAATAACTCTGCGAGAAAAGAAAATTTCCGTCCTGTGTTGTATTCATGTATTACGGGGAGAGGAGGGTCTAACCGATTTAAAAATTTATCCTCTCCTTAGCAAATTCATCCTCTCCTTATATTAGGGAAAAGTACTTCTTAGCTATAAGGCATTTCTTGAAAGCTCTCAGCTTGTTCTAATTCTAAGCAACCTTCTGAATATAATTTGGTTTCCCATGTAGATCACCCTAAAGAGAATGTCCTATTCATAACACTGCAGTAATCACTATGATGACAGCAGATTTCCATTTCTGCGAAGTTAAGGGTCAGACACATGACCTTGCAATTACTGTGTTAATTGTATCAAGGTAGTACTATCCTGTGAGGCTTCTTGGTCAATAGACAAGCCCCTTTTGGTGAAACCCTGATCTTCAGCCTTCCTAGTTATACTACAATAAACTTAAATCCTAATTGCAATATTTTGCATTATGTTCATTTGTGGAAGCAATTTTAATTTGAATTAAGCAGGGTTTAAATCTCCAATAAACTTGATTAAAAAATAAGGTTTAAGATATAGAAATACTAAGATGCATATTTTATATGCAAGTTAATTTATACTGTTTTGAATCCTCAATTTAACCCTTAATTTTTTTTTACCACCATCTAATTAGATCTCATCCTTATTGCCTTTAGAGTAAATCTTACAAGCTAGATTTCATTCAACAAACATTTACTGATACATACTTCCTGCTAAACACCTGTTCCTGTAGGGGCTCTTGCTTTGAAATTGGGAGCAATGGCTTAGTACTGCAGCACAGTTTACTGGGGCCATGGAGGCTACAACGGTCTTGAACTAGCTGTTTGCCTAATTTGACTATATGTCTTCATCTATTCTTTTTATTTCTTCTCTCAGTTAATCAAAGTTGTTCTTTGAACTTCCCTGGGGCCCTTACTGTCTTATACTCTGCCATTCTTATTTCTACCAGTGTCTTCCCTCCTCTCTTATAACCTAAGTTTTCTTCCATGTAACTCTTTTCTGCCCCCATATCCTTCAGGTCCCCTCTTCATCACAGGAAGCTGTGTGGTACAGTGGTTAAGTAGTGGGCCTCTTAATACATATGCCCTAAATCTAAATCCAAGCTCTACCATTTACTAGACATGTTTTATTAGGCAAGTTACTTAACTCCTTCAGGCCTCAGTTTCCTTATTTGTAAAAAAGTAGGATTATAAAAATGGGACTTAACTCATAGAATTATTATATTGCTTAAATGAAATAACATATAAGTGATAATTAGCACCGTACCTACTACATTCAGTTAATATTAGCTGCTATGATTATTATTTCTAAACCTAGCAAAAATATAAATAATCTGGTGTGAACACACAGCTTGATTTCCCTGTGATGTTTTCATGCTAATAAAATACTCTTATGTAGGCATTTCAATTTATGGACCTGCACTCTTCTTGATGCTATTTTTTATTCAATTTACATATAATTTTTGCACATATTTCTTTGTTCAGCTTACTGCTAGTTTTTTATAGGTCTGCTTTTAGTTTTTAAAATTACTGTTAGAACAATGTATTTTTAAAGTTTTCTACCTGGTTTAAATAACAAAAATATCAGATCCTTTATTACATATAGTACTTTATTAAATGAGTACATAATTCACATTAAAATATGTACATATGTAATAGACATTTGACAATTTACACTCTCCTATAATGCTGCTAATTCACAATATGATCAAACTCACTCAATGGAATACTGAAAATGTAAAATAAAAATGTCAGAAAAGTGCACAATGCATGAAAATATCCCTCTTACAGTGTTTTTGGAAAACAAAAATTATTACTGAGATGGAATGTCATTGGAGACAAGAAATTGAAAAGGAATCACACATGTTTTATACATACTTTATGATAAGATGGTAAATTGGAGATAGATGTTAACTGGATACTCTAAGATTAATAGAATGAAATATAGAAATATAATCTTACACGTGTCTTCTCAAAGAAAATGTGGAAGCCGATAGTAAATTATAAATACATCAAATCTGATAGAAAACATTTTTTAAAATAATGATACCAATAAAAGCTAATACTTTGCATCAGTTAACCCATTTATTCTTCTCAGCACCCAATGACATAGATACTACCAGTACCTGCATTTTCAGATGAAGAATTTGAAGCACAATAAAGTTAAGTCACCTCCCCAAGGCCACACAGCTAATAAGTGGCAGTGGCTACATACACTGGCAGCTGGGCCCTATGGACCATATAGCCAGCTGGGCTACATGGACTCTTAATATTATCCTAAACTGCTGTAGGTGTCTTAATAATCCATATAATTATTATCACAGGTTAATATTTCTATTGATATACATTACTAAAAATCCCTGCGTAATGTGTAACATTTTGCAAGTCCCCTCATATTTTTCAGTTGGATGTTGTACTTTTTAAATAGATTTCATTACCTTCTTGAGTAGACTCTGATAAGTAAATTGGTTTTCCCCTAGTATACTTTGGGCAACTAGGAACACTGCTCAGAAAGACATCCTGGACAATACTGGCACAAATACAAATCATTATTAAACCAGAAGCAATAGTAAAATACATTTTGTTCCATGCCCATACATTTCCAAATAATTTATGTTTTTACCTAAACTGAGCCAAAGAAATTCTCAGTTCCTTAGATTCTGTCAACTTTACCATGTAGCAATAAAACAAAACTTATTATGAAGAACTTTCAAGCTGGTCTAATTATTCAAATTTGAGGGCCTATCTCTATCTCTCAGTGCCTATTACCAAACTTTTCTTTTTTTCACCTTTTTGCTTGATGTGGTACACTGTTATTGTTTAGTTTTAGGAAATCACATTCCCCTTCTCCTAAAGAACTATATAAAATATCTTTTTAGACATGTATCTTATTTGGTGAATTTTCCCCACCCAATAGAGTCATTGGAGACATCAGGTATCTTACTGTACTCTTTTCTGTTTCATTAATGTGAAATCAAAGATGAATTTGAAAGACACTTTTAAATCCTAAGCCCTAAATAATTATATTTTAAGTAATTTTAGTTATCACCAGCACAGCTGTTACTAATTAATCCATAAATAAAGAAATTTGGCCATCAGCAAGATTTTGCCCCAATAGTATTAATAATAAACAAGTATACAAAATTTGAATCTTTTTATAGTCTTTTTTTATTAGTTGCTATAGCTCAGCTGTAATGTACATTTTTGTAATATAGGCATTTTGTAATATGTTTGTTGGCAGATAAATAATATATTATATAATTATTCTAGATATTAATTAGGAGGCAATTAAAATATGCTTTTATAAATATATTTAAGTCAAGAGTAAGGAAACCTCTTTAAGGTAATATTGAAAATAATTATGGAATAAAATATTCTTGCTGTTTTTCTGTGTTCTTTATTTTTGCAGGGCTATGTTTGAAGTAAACATGAAAGAAAGAGATGATGGAAGTGTTACCATTACTAATTTGTCCTCCAAGGCAGTAAAAGCATTTCTCGATTATGCCTATACTGGAAAAACAAAAATAACAGATGATAATGTGGAAATGTTCTTCCAGTTGTCATCATTTCTTCAAGTTTCCTTCCTATCCAAAGCTTGCAGTGACTTTTTAATAAAAAGTATTAATCTTGTCAATTGTTTACAGTTATTATCTATATCAGATAGCTATGGCTCCACCAGTTTGTTTGATCATGCATTACACTTTGTACAACATCACTTTTCTTTATTATTTAAATCCAGTGATTTCTTAGAGATGAATTTTGGAGTACTACAGAAATGTCTGGAATCAGATGAATTAAATGTTCCTGAAGAAGAAATGGTACTGAAAGTTGTCCTTAGTTGGACTAAACATAACTTAGAATCAAGGCAAAAGTATCTGCCTCATTTGATTGAAAAAGTGAGATTACATCAGTTATCTGAGGAGACACTTCAGGACTGTCTGTTCAATGAAGAGAGTTTACTCAAAAGCACAAACTGTTTTGACATAATCATGGATGCAATTAAGTGTGTGCAAGGTTCTGGTGGACTCTTCCCTGATGCTCGACCATCCACAACTGAGAAATACATATTCATTCACAAAACTGAGGAAAATGGAGAAAATCAATATACATTTTGCTATAACATTAAATCTGATTCATGGAAAATACTGCCGCAATCACACCTGATTGATTTGCCAGGATCTAGTCTTTCGAGTTACGGAGAGAAAATATTCTTGACAGGTGGTTGCAAAGGGAAATGTTGTCGAACGGTTCGACTGCATATTGCCGAGTCATATCATGATGCCACTGATCAAACCTGGTGCTACTGTCCAGTGAAAAATGATTTCTTCTTGGTATCAACTATGAAAACACCAAGAACCATGCATACATCAGTTATGGCTCTCGATAGATTATTTGTCATAGGTGGAAAAACTAGAGGATCCCGGGACATTAAAAGTCTCTTAGATGTTGAATCTTACAATCCTCTTTCCAAAGAATGGATATCTGTTAGCCCATTACCCAGAGGCATATACTATCCAGAAGCAAGCACATGCCAAAATGTAATTTATGTTCTTGGATCAGAGGTAGAGATTACAGATGCTTTTAACCCATCACTTGATTGCTTTTTTAAATACAATGCTACAACTGATCAGTGGTCTGAACTAGTAGCAGAGTTTGGGCAATTTTTTCATGCAACATTAATTAAAGCTGTACCAGTAAACTGTACACTGTATATATGTGACCTTTCCACCTATAAGGTTTATAGTTTTTGTCCAGACACTTGTGTTTGGAAAGGCGAAGGATCTTTTGAGTGTGCAGGCTTTAATGCAGGTGCAATTGGAATTGAAGATAAAATTTATATATTAGGTGGTGATTATGCACCAGATGAAATCACAGATGAAGTGCAGGTCTACCACAGCAACAGGTCTGAATGGGAAGAAGTTTCACCAATGCCTAGAGCCTTAACAGAATTTTACTGCCAGGTGATTCAGTTTAATAAATACAGAGACCCATGGTTTTCTAATCTATGTGCTTGAACATTCTAAAACGAGTCCAGTTCTAGTAACCTAAAGTAAATTTGTTAACCAAAATGATAGGTAAAAAGATCTATACATCTTAATGAAATAAAACATTCCTGCTTTTAGTTATTATGTATGTACACCATATATGAATAAACAGTTTCCAAAAACTTAAAATACAAAATATATTTTACCAAAAATTATACTGAATATAATTTAACCTTGGGGAATCCAGAATACTTAGTATTTTCACATGAAACTACAAATCATAGACTCTGACACTTTGATTTTTAAAGTACTCTGTCCATAAAAGATTTGTACTGTTTAGATGGGAGAAACCTCTAGAGAGAGTAAAAATGAATTACACTGTATCTTATATGAAGTAAAAAATAAATCAGAGGTGAGAATATTGTTACTGCGGGTATGAGTTGTTGAATTCCTATCATTTGTGATGATTGGTTAACTTCTTTTAGGTACCCTTTTTACCCTTTTTTAGTTCAGAAATAATTCTCCCAGCTTTATAAATAGTACACTAAACATAGTTTAACTTTTTTTAATGACTCATTTTTTCATTAAAAGCATAATGTACCATGTTATAATGCCATTAGCAGTTACTTAAATGCTTTAAAAATTGCTGATTAGTTTTCAATGTCAGTTGGTTTCAATTTCTAGCTCTCTCTCTCTCTCTCCTCCCCCCCTCTCATTTTCTGGTTCAATCTTAGTAAATTAACATTCTGGATTTAATTAGTAGTTCTAAGTTACACCTGGCCTGAGTTTATGTTAACATGTAACCCTCAATTGGAAATTTTTGGATTCTGGGATGGCAGTACTAAAATACTTTTTATGTATCATTGCTAGGTTCCAGCCTAATTAAGGACATAGAAAATTGACCTCTAATTAAGTGGATCATTATTATGGCATTTCTTAAGCTTTATCCAAATTTCAGCTACATAAAACATTTCAGGATTTAAATTAGTACCATATCAATTTTCTGTGATGATGTATACCAACTATAAAGCACTATGTTGGTTTACTACTTCAGTAAATTATTCTTAGTGAATTATTTTCTAAATTAAAAAAAATGACTTGGCTTTTGGTATTGATAATAGTATTCACAACCTGCATCTGTTAAGATGTTTGATCTTTAACCCACACAATGTAAGGGTACTGTTGTCATTGTTCTCAGGTAGGTGATTCTGCCTTCCAAGAGTATATGTTTCTTTAATCAGTTTAAAAGATAAAGGCATTTTGGGTTTTAAGACCCCTGCTTTACATCTCAGGTAATGTGTAGATTGTACTTCTCTGGAACCAAATGTAGTTTTCTACACTCAGTTGTAAATGTTAATCTTTCTCAAATGTGCACATTCTTTAAAAGTGTGTTCCTAAGTAGAAATACACCTAAATGAAGATTCTCTTATTTTATCATATAAATTTATGCAACGATAAGTTCCAAATGTATTTTTCAAAACAGAATGGAATATCAGAGTACATTTTCATGAAGTTTAAAAATCAAGGACTGTTCCTGATTAGATGACGTATTTATTGGTGGCCTTCTTATCTAAGCACATGAGTAGTTGGCTCTGAACTTTGTGTATTTGAAAAAGGAAAATTCAGTGGAGGCTTTTGTTTGTGTGTGTGTGGCTTTGAAAACAAATTATTTGAGAAAGACCATAACACAGTGAGTAGCCTATATGTGCATTTACTGAATTGTTAATTTAAGGATATATATTAATAGAGTATGTTTAAAATAAATATTGTTTTCATCACTGACTTTAGGAATTGTTCATCTATTTCAGAAAGGAGAAACCCAAAATCAAATCCCTTTTTGATATTACTTCATTGTTGTATCATCTTCTTGATTTCCACTACTGTTCTGATTGGCCTTTGCTTTATGCTAATGTTTCCAGAAACATTCTTGTTATCAAAGCCTAGGTGGCTTCCTCTGCATTTGATTTAATACATTTTCTAATGCAGAAGGTTTTCTGCCCTAGTTTTTTCTTTTTAAATAATTACCGTGGGTTACTTTTTAATCATTTTCAGTGATTGCCATCCCTTTACTTCTGTACCTTTGTTCTCTCCACCAATTATCACTGCAAGGAAAATACTCTGTCTAATCAAAAACCTCCTACTCTTTATTTACTGTTTTTTTTTTCCTGATCACCATAGCAATCTATGCTAGACTCTGCTCCGCTAACTCCTCTCCTTTCATATTTGGCCTCTCCTTATAAAGATAGCACTTTCATTTGATCCATCTGCCTTATGGGAAAATGGTTTTGTGTCTTCAAAGCCCTCAAGGAACTCAACCACACAGGAGCAATGACTAAAGTCTGGTTATATCCTCTGGTCTTGTTAATGACTGTGGCTTCACTGTCTAAGAACCATATATATTATTCTGGCCTCACCCTCCTTTCTGGATTTCTGACCTGCAAATCTCAGTGATCCCTCAAGTCTATTCTCAGTACCTCCAGAAGGAGCTGTTTTTTCTGTCTGTGAGGTTAGGTAAGAGAAAATAACATCCTTTTATGGGCTCTTCCCTTAGTGTTTTTAAAAGTCTGTTTTCCTTTCATTATATCCGTCAGCCAATGCTACAGTGCAAGAGACAAAATAATTACGCTTATTATTCAGATTGCTATCATTCCTGTGGAAAAATTCTATTTAACGTTTCTAAATCCATTATCTTTGTCATGCTCCACTACATTTGCATTATGCATGCCAAAAATATTTTAATATTGTAATGTCTTCTAAAATTTAAAGTAGGTATACAGCATTATTAAATACAAAAAAGAGTATGTTTAAAACATGAGATCAATTCAAAGTTAATGGACATTCCTAAAATGTGGAGCAACTTTTGTTCATCTACACCCTTTGAAACTAAGTAGTATGAGGAATATTTGCATAATCAAAGCTAACTACTTTCCCATAATCAGCTCTGGTCTGGGGAGTGGAGGAGGTCATTATCACAGCAATATTCATTACGTGCTACCCTTGAAAGCTAGATTAATATTCAAGAGCGACCACATGCTGCAATATGATTCTGTATTTCTCAGATACCAAGAAGAGCAATTGAATATATGTTCAATGTGCTTATTAGCTCAAGGTATACCATTTGAAAATCAGAATTAAGCACAGAGGGATATATCTGTTTACATTTTGAGATTTGAATGCAATAAATATTATAATGTAATGATTAAGTAGTTGAATATATAATGTTACTTTAAGATCATCATGCTCAGTTTAATTGGATCTAGTGTTGTGGAAATTCTTATTTAGAATTGAAAGTATAAATCTCAAAAATGTTCTCTGAGGGGGCAGCTCTGAATGGCAACCTAAACACAAAGGCTGAAAATTATAGGGAGCTTATTTCTGTCCAGTGTAAGAAACAACTTTATAAAGTCAGACTTTAGAATGAGACCAGTTACCCAAAACTGTGGCATATGGAAGATCACTAGCTCAATAATTTCCTATATGAAAGAGCATGACCGAAGATTTCTACATTCTATTTACATATCTCAATCTCCATCATTTCTGATATATGTTTTCTCCTCCAACTTATTTAGCATTTTAGGCATTGCGAATAACTTGATTCAGTGGTTCTTGATACTCAAGATTTTTCAATAGAAACTGAGTCTTAAAACTACACCATTTTTGGAACTATGTATTTATTCAAGATAATTTTTTTTAACTAGGAAAAGTTTGTAAATGGTGCTGACATTTAAAGTGAGCTGCTAGTTGGGATTTTTCCTTTGATTTGCCATAGAGGTATGTTCATTTTATAATGAGTAGAAACTGAAAGATCAGTACCTACAATTTTCTCCTAAATTATTATTTTCCTGCATAGTATTTATATTGGCAAAGGTAGTAATTTTAGTTAAATATTATATAATTTGAAAGAATATGTCTTAAACATCTAGATGTGTTTATAAAATATATTTGATGACTGATGCTTGATCAAATTTAATATCAAAATGGGGAATTCAATCACAGGGAAATACTATTATACATTTACCAAAAGATAGCTCTTCTAAATCATAGACTCATTCAAATTAGAAAATAACCTTGGAAGCTAATGCAGCTTCCAAACCTGCTATAGAAATTTCCTTTAAATTCTAAAACATCCTGACATGCATTTTTTTTTTTCAATTTCTAAATGGGTATTTTCAGTGGTTAAGAATTACTATCTCCACATTTGAACAGTCTAATAGAAAATTCTTCCTAACACTGAAAACAAGTCTGCTTCCCTGTAATAACTTCCAGGCCTTGGTCCTAGGTTGCTATCTTCACATGCCAGTCATTTAAGTGTTTGAACCAGTACCATGTCTTCCATTCCTCCAAAATCAAGGCCTCATTTTTATTTTTGTTCAAATGCTTGGCACTTTAACATCTCCCACAATAGCTGGTGTTATGTATCTCCTTGTACAGTTATCTCAGACAATCTGTCCTACTAGCTCTATTGCTTTTATGGTGGATTGAGCCTGACCAGTGTTGCAGAATCTGTTTCTTGTATGGACCTTGCCTCCCTGTCTATTCTCAGTGTGCTTGATAATTCAGACATGTCATTCCCTCATTTAGCTCTTTAAATCTTATATATCCCACTTGAGCTAGAGTCCTGCTGTGTCTCCCTTTTCCTACTCATGCCCATCAACATAATCAGAACTGTATTTTCTGGGAGAGGAATTATGAAGCCAAATTTTCATAAGTCAATTTGTCATTAGATATGGTTTGAAGACTTTTAAAAACACTAAAGAAAACTCCAGAAACTATACAAAAAGTAGAAACCAAAGCAGTCACACCCTTGATGGTGAATGAGAGGACAATAGGCTCACAAATCAATACTGACCAGCCTTATGATAATAACAATCTAAATTTGGAGATTCATTTGTGCAGCTAGTCCATTTGGATAGAGCATGATATTTTCATAAAACAAGGCCATAATTAAATAAATCTATGAGTCAGATAGTTTTATTCATTTCACTAACTTTGACATTCCCAACCATAAAAGTCTAACTAGCTCAACAAATTGTGCTGATGGTGTCAAGGGTAACAAGATTCCTGAAATAACTCAGAGTACAGTCTTCTGTTAATGAGTGTCATATTGTAGTATAAATATTTCTTTATATGTCTGTCTTCCTCATTTAACTGGAAACTCTTAGGGATAGGGACACATCTTCAGCATTTCTGGGCCCAGCAGTTGGCAGAGTGCCTGTCATATAATAAAGCATCCAATAAACTGATATTATATTGAGCCAATATGTGAATCAAGATATATCTTAGTTGTTTCTGAATCAGTTTGGTATATCTGTATTTTTTTACTTATTTTCATATGAAAAGGAAATTATTTTATGTTAGAATTTTACATTTTAGAATGCTACCACATTGTACTGTATTAATGTACATGCTAATTATTTGTAATATTAATCTTGCTTATGTTCAAAGTATCTGAGAAAATTGGTTTAGGTAGTTTATGCAACTTTAGTTTTTGTAGTACAGTAAATGGAAAAGTTAATCAAAGGCATTTTTTAGAGCAAAATTGCACTATGCAAGTGCATTGCCAATCTTTGGAGAGCATGTATATATTATAGTTGACTGTATAGTTATGTATGTATTGTTGGGTCTTGAAAGTGAAATTATAGATTCAAAGTCATTTATCCACTTAATTTTTTAATGCTTGGGGAGTATTTGTTTTCAGTGAATTTTCATTATAATATTTAATTCTGTTTCTTTTCAAAGGCAATAATGGATAAAACAATGACTGCAAATTTCCCATTTCTCCTACAAGAGCATAATAGTGTTAATGACCTTTTTCCCACTCAGGCAGGGGAATAATGCCCAAAGCTATTTACATTGCACACGCAACTTACTTCATTTCTCTGTTAGTGGAATGTGGGGTTTTGCATATGCTATGAGAACGAAAATTAGCATTTAGACGTCCATGTTAACCATGTTAACATGTAGTAAAACATTTCAATTCTATAAAATAATTAATTTATTAAAATGTATCTCAGAAAAAAATATATTGTCTGAATTTATTGTTATTGCAAATAAAAGAAGTGGAGAAAGGTGAATGCCAGGATTCTCATTTTCTTGCCTCTCCTTTCCCAGGTGTTCTGGGTTTCTGAGTGGCTTTAATGGTCTCAGGGGTACTAAAAGTGTGGTGGTGAAGGTGGAGGATTATCAAAAGGGGCTTCTGTAGCTGGGGTATGTCCAGCAACATAGATTTCAAGGTGGAAAACTAGGTCTGAAATGAATATAGTGACAACCAGTCTTCAGGTGAGTCACAATGGAGAGAGATCTCCAGGTCCTGACTGAGCTAAGAACAGACCAAATGTCCATGGGCCACAGATGACAGTAGCAGAAGTTAGCCAAATCTGCAGGGCCAGGAAATTCCCAACCCTGCCTCACTGGACACTAGGCATACCAGGACCAGTCAGCTGCCAGGGTATGGACCTATCTACTTCATA
Source organism: Homo sapiens (assembly GCF_000001405.40). NCBI lineage: Eukaryota > Metazoa > Chordata > Mammalia > Primates > Hominidae > Homo > Homo sapiens. Next base: position 106,046,409 of record NC_000011.10, on the reverse strand, counting down.
TACCCAGATGTTCATGGGAGGAGCTAGTGAAGGAGCCAAAGTTTGAGAGACTAAAAGTAGTACCTCAAAAGGGCTTTTAATGCATTTGCATTGGACAGATGCTCTCTTAATTCCAGTTCCTGTGATTTTTTTCTTATTTCTGGACAGGGCCATTTTCTGTCATGTGTCTAGTTGTCCTCTGTGAAGAGCTATGATTTCTAAGTGATATTGGCTCCCAAGTCCTTCCTACAGACTAGGGCCCAGGTTGCAACAGATTTCCCCCTTGGGAACCTAACCCTTGAAAAGTGAATTCTGTCCCCATCTCACATGACTGCATAAGGCCACTTGCCTTCTCCAAATTTCCGAAGAGGTCTGGTGCTTACTTGTTAGTCATTGTTCCAATTGCATTGCTCCAGACTTCTTTCCTTAATACCTCGAATCTTCAATGTGCTTCCAACTTTCTGCAGGTCACTTTGCTTTCAAACATAGACCCATTCCTTCTTTTCAATCCCCCAGGCAGAAGCCTTTAACAGAGTTTATTTTAAAACTTAAGAATATCATAGGGAATTGGCCTGCCAGTTTGTTGGAGATGCTCTCCTCAAATCAAGGTCTCCTCTCTTAGTTAACATTTTAATACTCACAGGCCCTGATTGAAGCTTTCAAGTCATTAAACATTATGATTAATCATTGCAGTCTGATGCATTGGCATTTGAAGTACTTTCCCGAAATTCTGAACCCACCTGAATTAGTCCCTTTCCTCTCACTCAGTAGAAAAAAGGACAGAAGCCCCTCAATGACAAATCTCAGTCTCCATTCTTACAAAAAATTGTGAAAAGCATTTAAAATAGCAGTTTGTCCGCTTTCCAATCAACAAGAGTTAGGTAATATTGGGCTACAGGCTCTTATCTATTTAGAATGTAAGTAACAAAATATGTTTTGTTGAAAACTATTTGTAATTATTTAGCTAATATACAGATTTTAATTGATTTCTATGTATATTTTCCAGTGAAAATAACTCTAAAAATGTAATATTCTTTCCATTATGGATGTAAAAAGTTTCAAAATGTTTATAAAGTGTTTTGAGATTTTTGAAACGAATTCAGAATATTGAATTTTGAGGCAATGTGGCACTAGACCAGTCTACATAATGAACATGAATTATTTAAAACTGAATATTTTATTACCGCTTTTTATAAAATCTGTGCTATAGTGATTTTGTGCTTATTAAATTTTATAATTTTAAAGACTTTTATAAAGCTTAATGAGCCTAAACCTAAGATAGCCAACTTAATAATATTCATGAAAAACTTAAGAAATTTGTGGGAGCTATCTTAAAACATAATTTAGGCATAAATATTAAATACATTATCCTAGTATTTACAGTGTTAGATTTTGCTGCACCTGATAATAAATATTTTTGCATTTCTTCTAAGTTTAGGGCTTGTTTAACTTGATTTTGCTCTGATGGTAATTAGTGAATCTTCCATGGGAAGTTAATTACCCTTTCCTAACCCTGACCAAAATGTGTGCTGTAAAATGAGTTTACATTTTTTAATCAAGAAAAGCCTTTCCCTGTGGGCTTTTCAGATTTAAAAATCCAATTAGCCTTTAATGTTTTTCCTTTTAGAGATTAACCACCCTTTTATGTTATTAAACATTAATTGGAATTCAAACTATTTATAGCTCCTTTTAAAACAACCTTTTAACAAATCAGTAAATTTTGTGTTTCTTTTACGAACAATATTCACCTTTTGAATTCAGTATTCCTGAAGGAGTAAAATATTATCACAGTATTCTTCCATTCAATTTCTTTTACAAGAACAAATTAATATGCACCCTTGTTTCTAAGAATTTTTACAAAGAAAACTATTCAATAGTTTAAAGCATCTACATTTCTTTCATTGATAAATGAAATATTGAAGCTCCAACCAATACTTTTGTAAATGTCTACCATGCATGCAGTGTTAGGCAATGCTCCTCAGACTTGCTTCAAAAATAAATCATCTAGGACAGGCATGGTGGCTCACGCCTGTAATCTCAATCCTTTGGGAGGCCAACGTGGGATGATTGCTTGAGGCCAGGCATTCGAGACTAGCCTGGGCAACATAGCAAGACCCCATTTCTACAGAAACAAAATGTTTAAAAACAATTAGCTGGGCATCGTGGTTCACACTTGTAGTACTAGCTACTCAGGAGGCTGAGGCAGGAGGATCACTTGATCCCAGGAGTTCAAGGTTACAGAGAGCTATGATTGTGCCACTGTACTCCAGCCTGGGTGACACAGTGAGGCCAGGTCTCAAAATTCAAATAAAAATAATGGCCCGGTGCAGTGAGTGGCTCACACCTGCAATCTCAGCACTTTGGGAGGCTGAGGTGGGAGGATAGCTTGAGCCCAGGAATTTGAGATCAGCCTGGGCATCACAGTGAGACCCCTTCTCTACAAAAATTTTAAGTCAATCAATCAATCAGTCAATCATTGGGGGTGTGCCTGCTAAAAGTACCAAATGCAGGACCTCACTCTTGGAGATTTTGATTTAGTAAGTTCTAGATTTAGGTCCTGGGAATCCAAATTTTTAATAAGCACTGCAAATAATTCTTTTTGGTGGGCAAGTTGGGCAACACACTGGGTTAATAGTTGAGAAACTAGCTCTGAATCAGACAAGTCTGGATTTGAATCTCAGTTCCACCATAGAGTCAGTTTGAGCAAGTTACTTAAACATCCTGTGCCCTAGTTTCTTTATCAATAAAACTGGGTAAGAGAATTGAAGCACCCACAAAATGGTGTTGTGAGAATTAAATAAAATAATGCATGTGACATGCTTAGCAAATGGAAAGTGTTCAGTAAATATTTTGTCTCTCTTGTCTCTTTTTCCTTGATTTCAACAGAAGCCATCTTCCCCTAACTGTCCCAAATGCTACCACAGTCTTTCATTCTTCAATTAGGGATGAAATTTTAAATCTGAAAGTCACTCAAGTCTGCCTTGGTAAAGAAATTGGTGTGACAAAGTAAAACGTTGCCTAATGCACAGTTTAGTTTTGACTTGGTTCTAAACATTCCCTCTTAGACTCAACCATGAGTTTCTCACTTATTAATTAATTCATTCAACAACAATTTCCTGAGCTTTTACTGTGTTTGTCACTATACTAGGCTTGGGATTATTATGGCAAGAAAACCAGTGTGTTTCCTATTTTTGACTCACTGAGCATCCTGCTGTTTCTGTGAATCTCTTGATTTTGACTGGCTTCTATTGCTAACACTTTCAATTTGGCCCCATTTTTGTTCTCCATGCTCTCCCAGGACCTTAAACCTTCAAAAGTTCCTTAGCTTCCACATCTGCTCTGCCCAGATGAACATTCCCCTTTGCTCCTTGACTCACAGCTCTCAAGATCAACAGGGGCTTCTGTGACTGACGACAGCCAAAGCATGAAGCTCAGCTCTCCTGCTCACCCATGAGTAGGGGAGTTAGAAAATCAGTTTACAGAGCCTAGAGTGGTCATTAAATGGGTGAGAGATCTTAGCAGCCTACAAGGAATTTTTAATATATTTAATAACTTATTTTCACAAAGTGCAATGCAGGAGATGTATACATTTTTGAATGAACAAAATCCAAAAGTTTTTTTCTCAATAATCTCCTACCCTGGTACATGCATCCAGCCATATATAATGTTTTATGTTGGCAAGCAGTCATATATCACACAGGGTATTACTTTAATATTTTTTCACCTGATAAGCTAAATGAGAATACCGTTTCTCACTTGTTTCACCATCATATATCCTCACCAAAATAATATCAGACTTGAAAGTGTGCAGAGGTCAGCTTATTAATATTTATAAAACAAGAATAGTCAATCATTAAAAAGTCCAGTTGTATACAAAGATTCCTCTCATTAATTATTTAGTATTTCTCCTTGATCCTGAAAATGTAATTAATGTATCACCAGGAGAGTAAAAGAAAGCAGAGGCAAGGAGTCAAGTAGTAAAAATGCCATGTGACCAGGAATATTGAGGACATTTATACAATGCAGAGTCAGGAATTCAGTAAAAAAGGTGACAGTTGAAGGAGAGAAATTAGTGATTCTACAAGAGGAGTCATATCAATAGTTGCTGTAAACTGTCACTCCTCAGCCCTGGTCTGCTCAGCTAACATCTCTGGCCTTACATATGCTACACTTACATACGTCCAGAGTTATGACAATCTGTGTCTTTGAGAAGAAAAAGGTGGAAGGCTATCTTATGGAGAGTAGGAGGGATCCAGACTTACAGGTTCTGTTGAGAACAAAGAAGAAACACTCAAATCCAGTGGCTGGAGCCCAGACTTTGTTGTTATAAATTTCCATTCCCATGATAATGACCTCTCTTTGAAACCTGCATATGAAGGTCCTGATGCTTAATAAGAGAAAATGGGTTTGATTCCTTGCATCTTTTATTTCAAGCACCTTAATTTCTTAAGCTGGGGCCTACATGCAGTCAACATTTCTGTGGAATAACAGCATCATAGTTTGAATGGACACATAAGATATCACCTGGAAAAAGGCAGTTGGCTCCACCAGACAGGTCCTCATTAGGATGGCAGGACCTTGTTGCAGTCACCATGTCTATATCAGTCACCTATTGCTGAATTACAAAATACCTCAAATTCAATGGCTGAAAACAATCTTATTGCTTGTGATTCTCTAGGTTAGGGATTTGGGCAGGGCTCAGCAGGGACAGCTTGTCTTTGTTCCATTTGGTGTCAGCTAGGAGATTTAACTAGGGTTGGAGGCCTCTCACATCTGGTGCCTTGTTGCTGGCAGTCATTTTGGACATGTTAGTTCTTCATGTGGCCTCTTTCCTCATGTGACCTCTTTCCTTTGGGGTGCACTTACCAATTTGGTAAGTACTAGCCATGTATGTCTTTTACATAGAAAATTACATTAATCAAAATTAAATAAAGTTTAACATTTAGTTTCTCAGTTACAAGTTATGTTTGGAGTGCCCAATAGCCACATGTGGCTAGTGGCTACCACACTGGACAATGTAAAGTACTTCCATTATAACAGGAATCTATTGGAAAGCACTGTTCTAGGGCCCCTCTCCTCAGCAGGATGGCCTGGACTTCTTTCCATGGTGGTTGGCTTCCCTCTAACTGAAAACAGAGCTACAGGGTCTCAAGGCCTGGCCCTGGAAGTCCCAGATACCACTACTATTGCATTCTGTTGGTCCAAGCAATTCACAAAACAGCACAGATTTCAACAGACTCCATAGCAAACAGTAAAGACATATTGTAAAAGGTGAAGAAACAACAAAGATACAATTCACTGGCTGCCATTTTTTAAATTTGAACTTCATTGGTTTTATACATTTCTTATGGAATTGTTAGACTCATATAACATTGTTTTTTCTTTTTGCATATTTCTTTTTTTAAACTTTTAAGTTCAGGGGTATATGTGCAAGATGTGCTGATTCGTTACATAGGTAAATGTGTGTCATGGGGGTTTGTGGTACAGATTATTTTATCACCCAGGTATCAAGCCTAGTACCCATTAGTTATTTTTTCTGATCCTCTGCCTCCTCCTACTCCCTCTGATAGGCCCCAGTGGGTGTTGTTCCCTTCTATGTGTCCAAGTGTTCTCATCATTTAGCTCCCACTTATAAGTGAGAACATGCTGTATTTTGTTTTCTGTTCTTGATTCAGTTTGCTAAGGATAATAGCCTCCGGCTCCATCCATGTCCCTGTAGAGGACATGATCTCGTTCTTTTTTATGGTTTTATAGTATTCCATGTTGTATATGTACCACATTTTGTTTATCCAGTCTGCCATTGATGAGCATTTAGGTTGATTCCACGTCTTTACTGTTGTGAATAATGCTAAAATAAATATACACATGCATGTGTCTTTATAACAGAACAACTTATATTCCTTTGGGTATATACCCAAGTAATGGAATTGCTGGGTCGAATGGTATTTCTGTCGTTAGGTCTTTGAGGAAACACCACAGTGTCTTCCACAATGGTTGAACTAATTTACACTCCCACCAACAGTGTATTAGTGTTCCTTTTTCTCCACAACCTGGCCAGCATCTGTTCTTTTTTGACTTTTTAATAATAGCCATCCTGACTGGTGTGAGATGGTGTCTCACTGTGGTTTTGATTTGCATTTCTCTAATGACAAGTGATGTTGAGCTTTTTTTCATATGATTGGTGGCTGCATGTGTATCTTCTTTTGAGAAGTGTCTGTTCATGTCCTTTGACCGCTTTTTAATGCTTTTTCTTCTTGTAAATTTGTTTAAGTTCCTAATAGATGCTGAATATTAGACCTTTGTCAGATGTATAGTTTGCAAAAATTTTCTCCCATTCTGTACGTTATCTGTTCACTCTGATGAGAGTTTATTTCTCTGTGTAGAAGCTCTTTAATTAGATCCCACTTGTCAATTTTTGCTTTTGTTGAAATTGCTTTTGGTGTCTTTGTCATGAAATCTTTTTTTTTTTTTTTTTGAGATGGAGTCTCACTCTGTCACCCTGGCAGTGCAGTGGTGCAATTTTGGCTCACAGCAACCTCTGCCCCCCAGGTTCAAGCAATTCTCCTGCCTCAACTACCAAGTAGCTGGGACTACAGGCATGCACCACTATGCCCAGCTGGCCTTCTCTCCTTATCCTATTTTTCTGACATAAACTAATTCCTGCTAATATATTAGTCTATAATGGCTTAAAGCAGGTACTTAATCAGGAAAATGCCTATAACAAAAATTTTATTTTCAAAATTCAGTTCAAAACTCTTCTTTAAACTACTGGGTTTCCTTTTTTTTTGTCCTACACTTTCATTTGTCCTGTTTTTGTGAATATTTGAAAGTTTTAAAAATCAATTTTGCAATGTGAAATTATTTTGATTTGAACAAGTCATTCCTCTTTTACCTGAATTTGGTACAAGGAGCCAGAGGGTTGTTTATCATCTTAGTGATCAGTTTCTTCCTCTGAGAAATGGGAATAATAGTGGTGTTTTCATTATAGTATCATCATGAGAATTCAGTGTTAATATGTATAGAACCCTTTAGATAGTATCAGGCACAGAATAGTATCATATAAGGATTAGTTTTGAAGACTGATTCTCTTTCTAATTATGATACTTTATATATTTCTTTTCAAATAAAATTCTATGGCTTTTTAACTTAGGATGCATACTTAAAGGTATAGAGAACAGTATAAAGTAAGAATTTTAAAATAGTAGTTAATTTATGATCTAACAAATTTTATACTTAATATTAACTAAATTAACATATTTTTACTATATCTAATGTTCACCCACCTCTTTCCTTATTTCATTCTAAGCCTTCTGAGGACAAGAACTGCTCTAACTAAAATTACCGTGGTCCAAAAGTACCTAATAGAGTATTGTCCATCCTGTGGATGTCCAGTGAATGTTTAATATTTCAGCATTTTCAAAAACAGTATTTAATGTTTTGGGTTTTTTTTTGGTAAGGTAAATTGCATTTTTGAGAATAATTTCTTTTTAGCGGTAGAGGCTGAATATACAAATAGTATTTTCAAGGTTAAATCTATTTAAAACCAAGGACACATTTGGCTTTCCCTTTGAACATTTTATCCCTTAACGATTAAATGCATTCATTAAAAAGAACGTAGATTTGTAGCTCTGCTGTTTCATAGCTTAATGGATTTTTGTTTGATTACTGTATTGATTTAATTTTTTAAAGATGCAAATATATGTGGCCTACTTGCTGAAATGTTTTTTCTTAAATGGAGTAAAATTCAAGGCACTCTTCTTTCTTTTCTCATTTTGTCCTGGTTTCTTTTACCATGTTAGAAATGTAAATCAAAGAAGAAGCATTATATACCTAGGCTGAGTTTGCATTAGCCATATGATATTCTCAATGTAAGCCTAGCCACAGATCTGACCTCTGACTTGATGCAGTAGGTGACTTCAGCAAGACCAGCAGGTACAAAAAGAATGATTTCACATAGAAAATCATCTACAGGCAATCCAAACCTTTAGGTGCAATGTCCCAAAAGGCTTTAGTAAAGAGACTGAACCTACTGGAAAGTCTAGCATGAGGAGGGATAGCTCACTAGAAGTCCTGGTCACATGCATCTACAGATTTTGGGGCTGTGAAACAAGAGACACTAGAATTATGAGTCTCAAAGAAGTGTTGTGTGTGTCTAATGGGTAGTGTGTTAGGCTGTTCTTGCACTGATACAAATAAATACGGCAGACTGGGCAATTTATTTAAAAAAGAAGGTTAATTGGCTCATGGTTCTGCAGGCTTCATAGGAAGCACAGCAGCATCTGCTTCTGGGGAGGCCTTATGAGGCTTCCAATCACTGTGGAAAGCAAAGGGGGAATAGGCATATCATATGGCAAGAATGGGAGCAAGAAAGACAGTGTGTGTGGGGGGGTGCTACACACTTTTAGACTACCAGATATCATATGACCTCAGAGCAAGAGCTCACTTATCATCAACAGGATGACCCAAGCCATTCATGAGGGATCCAACCCCATAATCCAAACACCTCCCACTAGGGCCCCCTCCAACACAGGGGATTATAATTCAACAAGAGATTTGGGCGGGGACAAATATCCAAACCATATCAGGTGGTGCAGAGGAAGCAGCAGTAGCTGGCCCAGGACTAGGACATCTCATGGCTCTCTGACAGTGGGCAGGTGGAGAAATGGACTGGAGGCAGGATTCAAGTTTCCACTAACCAAGCACAAGGAAAGCTTATCTAGAAAAAGGGATTATAAGAAAACCTAAAATATCTTTTCAGGAGCCTCTGACGAAGAAAAGTTCTGCCTCTAACCCAGCAGGTGCAATAACAAGTAATAAGAGTAGGACTGATAACAGAGGTTATAGAAGTGTCAAGGCTATTAGCAACACATCCAGCAATGGGGCCAATTCTGTCCACAGGATACATATCACAGCAACAAATTCCAATTAAAGCTCTGTGACATAAAGCATAATGATAGGTACTTTACACTTATTTCTTACTTAACCATCATAACCCTAATCATATAGATAATCTCCATTTTATGTGGCAGCAGATAATGTAAACTGAGGCATAGGTGGTTGTATATCTTGCCCCAGGGCACACAACTAGTAAGAAGATGAGCTTAGAATAGAACCTATTTTCTTGAAACTCCATTGTCTCTCTATGAAAATTTTTACTAACTAGATTATTAAATTGACTAGAACACTCAATTCCAAGATATCATGCTTGGAAGTAGCACAGTTTTGATACTTTATTTGGTCAATATTTTCTATTTTATTACTAGAAGAAATACACATTTAGCCTTTGTTCAACATTATAAGGTTATTATCGCTGGGAATTATAATTGAAAAGGGAGCCCTTCCTTCATTAACCAGAATGCCTCCAAGTTTGAGAGTGACCCAACTACATTATTGACCAATTTTGCAGAGTCTCTCTGCTGACTGTAAATTAAAATATGCTTGCTCTATAGAAATAAAAACAGCCAATATTATTTTACTGCTTTTTTAATTTCTCCTTAGCTTTTCTATTATTTAAAGAAGCAGAATTGATTTTTATTTCCTGTTTCAAATTACTTTAGTCAAGAAACAATGAGCCATAGAATTCCTGTAAGGCTTTGTGATTTGTTCAAATGATTGGAAAATCATTTTGATCATTTAAAAAATGTAGGGATGCTTTCTAATCATATTTGACTGTAATGTAAAATATATTTGAGGGGAAAATGCTAGCAATTGCTTAAAATATTATCAGAACAACATAATAGTGTAAATTATATATATAATAAAAAGATATTCCGCCTAAATTGAAACCTATCTCAAAGTCTGCAAATTAAATACAGTTACCTAATCTCAAATATCCATGCTTACAATTGGAAAGAACCATCATGAGATAATGAAAACATGTAATGGACACATACAAATCAGTCTTATAGACATAGAGATTTTTCAAGCTGCAGTAATAATATCTTGCCTTCACTATACTTCCATCTATTTATCTTCTTTGAAAATCACAGCAAGTACATGAGGTAGACAGACCAGGATCAATGTCTACATTTTATAGATGTGGGTGAAAAACTTCAGTTACTGGATTACTAAATGACAGAAATGAAACAATAATCCTATTTTGGTTATCCACTGCTGTTTAACAAAACACCCCAAAATTTAGTGGTTTAGAACCATCATTGTATCTCCCTCCCTCCCCATTTTGTGGATCAGGAATTCCAAAAAGATTTGGCTTTGTAGTTTGTTTATGTTCTATGAAGCATTAGAGGCAGATGGTGAGGATTCAACTTCCAAGGTGGTTTCTTCACTTACCTGTCTGCTGCCTCAGTGCTTCTCGGCATCTTTTCTTCACCACGTGACATCTTTTCCTTTAGGACCTATCCACAATGCATGGGATTCTGACAGCTTGGTAGTATCAGCGTGACCAAACTTCTGATATGGTGGCTGCTTTGTAAGAGGGCAAAGTGGAAACTGCCAAGCCAGCTAAGGGCTATATCTGAACTGGTGTAGCATTACTTCTGCTGGTTTTTTGTTGTTGGGTTTGTTTGTTTGTTTTTCTTTTTGTTTTGGTCAAGATAGTCACAGGACCTGTGCAGATTCAAGAAAGAGAAGTAGACTCCTCTTGATTGGGGAGTGGCAAAGCCACTTTGCAGGAGAACACTGAGGGGGATGGGAGATATTGCAGCCATTTTCGCAATATATAATCTTCCACAAACTCAAACCTCTTTGAATCGACATCCAATGATGTCTCCACTACACAAAACTGCTTGATAGGAAAAACAACAACAACTAATCAATCAATGCATGAGATTTTAAACATGTATATTAATGGCTAAAATATTTCTATCTGATTAAACTTCTAATTCAGCCATGAATAGGCAATATCTTATACTGCTCTTACGAACCAAGCTCACTTAATTATGCATAGAGAAATGGTCAAAACTCACCTTTTATATAGCCTCTACTATAAGTCCTTGTGTTGCTGTGAACCTGACACCTATTTGTATAACTAGGCCCAGCTTGCTACCCAACCAGATCTTCAACTGTCTGCTCTTCCTTCACCAGTTCCCACATAAACCCCTCCTCCTGTGCTGTCTTTGAAGTTTTGTTTGTTTGTTTGTTTGTTTGTTTGTTTGTCAGGCAGTCTCCACTGTCCTGTCTATTCTTTTTGCCAACTTTCAGTGCTTATCCAAGACACAATAACCTACTTTCCTGCCAAAGGCACAGAAACTCACCCACTTCTTAGCAAGTATTGCAGCCTAGCATATAGACCCCACCATTCTGCCCCCCAACTTCCCCCTAAGCAAACAATAACACTAGACAAAAATCTCTGTGTGAACAAAATCCCAGATAAAAGGTACAGGCAGAGAATAAAGAACCCCTGCCTGTTGGTGTCAAGAAATATAAATGGAAATTACCTTGTAAAGACTCAGAAGTTGAGATGTTGGTATGGAAAAGAACATCAGGAAGCAGGATAAGAGGTTCTTGAGGAAGAGGGAAACAAGATGGGATCTATGCTTTAAGATGAGAATCTGCAGAAGAGCAAATGGGGATAGATTGGAGTGGAGAGTTATTTGGGGGATCATTCCTTTATATAGGCAAAAGATGTTGAGCACCTGAACACAGAGGAGATAGGATAGAGCAGTTTTTAAAAGCACTGAAGAAGCAAAGTTTTAAAAACTGCTTAGAGCTGGGGGTGAGGGAGAAACACAACCAGTCATATTAGAATTTTGAACAGACCCTTTCTTTTGTTAGCTGTGAGAAATTCCCTACGGATTAGTTTGTCAAATGACCCTAGGTATCTTTGCTTCCCAGCAAAAGTAGTGCCTCATGCTTTTGAAAAGTGCCTTGAAATAACAGTTATTACTTTAGTCAGTGATGCTGCAAAACAATTTTTTTCACCATATAAAACAAAAAAAAAACATGCTTGGCTTTCTTTGCAGCATAATTTTAAAAAATGTCCAAAGTCCACATGCACAAATGGAAACAAGTATAATCAAATGGCCAACACAGAAAATGCCAAGTGATGTGCTTCTTAATAATTGTCCTCAGCAGTGCACTGCTATCATTTTGGCAATTAACTATAAGGCAATGCTTGGCTTCCTGTATTTGTGCATATTTTTTTTTTCATCATTCTAAAAGTGCTGAAGTTGTATCATTTAGTTTCTTGTTATTGTTGCCTTGTTTTCTAGGTTTTTCACTGTAGTCCTGCTCATTTTCAATTGTTATGGTTTTCATAAATAATTTTTAGTTAAATGGCAAGTATAAAAAGTGTATAAAAATATTTCTATTTGAAGATCTGTTGATCGTGAAAAAATGGTGACTCTTACACACGGTAAGCTATAAAATCTTGAAAACTGTTGTCAGAACAGAGAAGTAGACACCATTTGGAAAAGCAGTGACTTATAGCAGGAGTGAAGCTGGCAGAATCTTAGAAGTATATTTCAAAATAAGTTCAAAGTAAATTTAGATTTTATACATTTATAAGTCAATGATATAGGTCATAGAGAGTAAACTCTGTAAGAACAGGGATTTTTGTTTGTTTACATAGTAGGCCTCCAATAAATTTTTGTTGAATAAATAAATGTGACAATCAAAACAGATAATCAAGAGATTGATGTAATCTTAGATTTCATTAATAGAAGTTTAATATCCAGAAGAAGAAAAATGATCATTTGATTACTCTGCCACAGGAGTTTCCATTTAGAATACGGCTTTTATGTCTAGAATATTGTGTATTACATTTGAAAAGAGGTAGAACACTAGAAGTATTCTAAAGGCCCAAAGGGTAAAGAGGCTTGAAATCTTATTATGATAATTAATTAAAGGATCCAAAGAAATTTAGCTAGAAAAGTTTAGTGCTGTTGGGGTAATGGGATCCGAATATTCAGCTATTTGAACTAGATTACCCTACGGAGACACTTCTACTCCTGTGTGTCTAGTGATTCCCATCTTAATCTTTGGAATATCTGTTGTCAGTTCTCTATAAAGCTTTTGGAAAATACAGCATGTAAGCACATCACAGCCACATATTTATCTGGTAAGGTAACTAATACCTAGATTCAATTGTAACAATTGTCATTTGTGTAAGGTGCAATAATGGTATAGTATTCCTTATCTTATAGAGATACACTTGGAAAGATTATAGATGAAATAAAAAATAAAAGCTCAAACCCAAGTGTCCCAAGAAAAAGAATAATTTTACAGTGATCTACCTAATGAGTGTGATCATCTCTTGAGAATAAACATGTTAAATACTTTTTTTCCTACCTCCCTTCAACCCCTCTTTATAGTTCTTTATCTTATGCCACAGTGGGATTTTGTCTCCAATTCATTATACAAGACTTGCAGGAAGAATGATTACGCGCTGTTTCTCAAAGTTTGGTTTCCTACTGTTTGCACTGGAGGTGTTCCAAACCAAGGGCTATTTTTTTAGTTCTTACAAGTCTATTTCAAAGACTAATTTTTTGTATTGATAAGGACAAATTCTGAGTAACCTTCTAAGGGAGTCCTTTAAGGGATAATAAAATTTGATGCTCATAAACTGAAACTAACATATCATGAGGTCACTTAGAATCAGACTGCACAAAATGCTTGACAACACTCAAAGTCCCTCTGCGTAAATGGATATGCATATCATTAGAATCCCCAAAATTTTCCAGAGAAAAACTAATTATTACTGAATCATCCATGTTGATTTAACCTGGTTGGGGTTTTTGATTCTTATTAATTAATGTATTTGTACAATTTTTACTTTTGCTTTTTTTTTTGTCTTTTTATGATTGCTATTTCTCATTATTATTTTTAGTTTTTTCCTCTTCAATATGATTGGAGTTCTTTTGCTCACTAGAAAATAAAGATAGCTGTAGTGGGTGAGCTAAGAGTTTGTAACTCAATGTTACGTGGGCTAAATCCAAAGCATCTCAGAACCATTGCTCTTTGAAAGCTCGTTTCCCTTAAATAGATCTGGAAGTTGTATTAGTTTCCTATTGCTGCTGTAACAAATCAACACAAACATAGTGGCTTCAAACAACACAAATTTATCATCTTACAGTTCTGGAGGTCAGAAGTCCAAAATTGGAGTCACTGGATTAAAATTAATTTCCTTACCTTTTTCAGCTTCTAAAGGCTTCTCCCTATTCTTTGGCTCATGGGCTTCTTACTGCCTTTTCCGTACCAGCACTGGTTGGTGGAGTCTTCTCACACAGCCATTGCTCTGACACTCACTTTCCTCCTCCCTCTTTTACTTGTAGGAACCTTGCAATTAAATTGGACCAACAAAATAATCTAGGATAATTTGTCCATCACGTGATCCTCAATCACATGTGAAAAGTCTATTATGCCATATAAGGTAACATATTTACATGTTTTGGGAATTGGGACTTAGACATCTTTCAGGGGATGTTATCCTTCCTACCATAGAAGTATAATTAGCCACAAATTAGTGGCACGTGGGAATGTTTCCTGTTGCCAGAACTACCATTCTTGGCTGGTAGAGATAAGCTCCTGAAATCCTGAATTGGAGATGGCAATTCATTTTGAAGAACTGAAATAATTTTATGAAAGGAATTAGAAACTATTAAAGTGATACTATTTTATTTATAGCCAAGGAGCAGTTTGCATTACATATAGTTTTGCTAGTCAATCCAGAAACTTAACTACCATTTAGCAAATTGTATCCATAGAATAAGTGCATCTTGACTTGTCAACAACCACCTCCCAGATGAATCAGAAAATGCCAGTCATTTCTAAAGTAGTTTCTACTTTGAAAAAAGTGACTCATTAGGCCATTGTTGCTTATTTACAAAATACCTTGAGTTTAGTGTTTCAGTCATCCGGTAGAGCCTTAGAGAGACTAAAACAAAGGATATCCTTTAATGGAAGTTTATTCATTCAACTAATATTTATTATGTCCTACAATGTGCTGGGCATTGTGCTAAAAACTACATTTCCAATGGTGAAAATGAGCATCACCCCTGTCCTCCCTGGGTTTAGTCTAGTGAAAATAATTATGGGAAAAGGAAGAGACAGGTATGGAACAAGGTCACTAGTAAGCTGTATAGCAGTAATGGTCTTGATGAGTTACTATAATGAGAATGTTTTGTCTGCAAGGGGAGGAGGCTTCTGAAAGGAAAAGGAAGACAATCAGATCGACAAGAATAAACTATTGCCTGCTTTAAGGAGTTTCTTTAGGGTCAGTACAATTGTTTGGCAGGCATGTGCCCTCAATGGCATTGCTTAAGAAGGAAAAATGTTTTCCATTTCAATATGGCAGAATCCCTTATTTTCAGAAGCTCTGAGAAAATGGTTTGAAATAGCATGAAATGACAAAATAGACATGCCTTAAACTCCATGCTTCAATTTCTCTGACTGCAAATAGAAAGAATACTTATTAGGACAGAAATGTGAATTTCTGTTTCTTTTATATCCTTTTTTCGTGGATTCTGTGAGTTTCTTACTAAATAATGGGCAGTGAAACAAATTACTTTCATCTCTTGAGGAGCTTCTTTCTTTCTTAAATGATTCTGAACTTTTTCTTCCCTTTTCGAGCATTCACGTGGATAAGCATATTTGAAAAACTGACCATAATGGAATAGTAAATATATCTGGTAAAGCAACTGATTGTTACTATGGCAACATCGAATGTTTGACATTTAGTTTTTCCATTATTCTCTGTTGCTATAGTAATAAAACCTTGAATTCTGACACCATTTCCAAATTGTATTAAAATAAAGCCCTGTTCATCCCCCAAGAAGGAGGGAGAGCCAGTACTATCAATACACAAAATGTATTAGAATGTCTTCTAGCACTAGGACACAGATAACATGAGACACACTGTGCGGCATTTAATCAAACTGAAAAACATGCCTAAAAAGTAGAAAAATAAAGAGGAAAAATCCATAAAGTAGAACAAAAGTTACTTTGTTATTAAAAATCAGCCTTTTATCTTAAATACATATAAAAACAGCTTTCATTTATGACCTGTTAAAATTTAACATCCAATATTATTGCAGAAGGAAGAGCATAATCTTTTTTTGTTTCTTTTTAGAATGAAATATAGTAGAATAATTGGCAATTAAGGGACAAAAAAAGGAGTAAAAATATCTCTTGGGGTTTTGATAGGCTTTCATATATTACATTAAATGCATTATATTCTCATCTACTTTTAAACTTACAATCAGGAACCAGAATAGTATTATGTTACTTTATTTTTTTAAGAGACAGGGTCTTGCTCTGCCATTCAGGCTGGAGTGCAGTGACTTGATTATAACTCACTGTAGCCTCAAATACCTGGGCTTAAGTGATCCCACCCCCTGCTCTCACCTCAGGCTCCTGAGTAGTTAGGACTACAGGTACACGCCATCACACCCAGCTGCTTTCGAAATGTTTTGTAGAGATGAGGTTTTACTATGTTGCCCAGGCTGGTCTCGAACTCCTGGCCTCAAATGATCCTCCTGCCTCAGCCACCCAAGGCATTGGGATTGTTGTTTCTTTTGCCTTTTCCTCTTCAGAAAAAAACATTTATACATATTGTTTCTATTGCTGAACAACCCAGAAAGCCTTACCAGGAATCATAGCTCTTGCATTTAAAAAATTTAAATGAGTTCAACATAAGTTAAATGAAAGGCAACTTTTCTTAGCAATCTTAGGATTCCATTTACATTTGCATTGCTCTTATTGTGTATTGATCACAGACTGTTTTACTCTCCATGAATCAACTAAATAGAAGAAAAAATCAAGAACGTTGCTTATAGGCAACACAGTCTTTGGTATTTAGGGCTAAGTGTACCATGAAGATTGATAAAGAAGTGGATTAAAAGCAATGAGCAATGTGGGATGAAAGAGCTCTCAGTCAGCTGCTAAACAATGATGGATTAACCGAGTAAGGCTACTATTCTAAGTAATTATGTAATCATTGTCTATTCCACAACCTGAATTCTATTTTTTTTTTTTTTTTTTGGTAATAAATAGTAAATGCAAGGTCAATGCTAGGTGCTGGAGATAAAATAAAGATTAACAACAAGATTCCTTCCTTTGACAGCTTACATCATAGTCAACAAATGTTAGAAAAAAGACTGTGGATTGTGAAGGGAGTTCTGTTGTCCTTCTACTCCACTAAAACCTTTCAAGCCTTTTAGTCACTTTTAAAGTAATCTCCTTGCAGGTATCAATCACATCATTTTAAGTGTGAGGTTTTAAGTGCACAGACTACGGGGGTTTAAACTCCAGCTCTGCCACTTACTAACTGTGCAACATTGGAAAGATACTTAATATCTCAGCCTCAGTTTCCTCATCGAAAAAATGTGAAGAATGCTACTAGTCTTCCCACATAGGACTGTTATAATAGTTAAATAGATTAATACATGTGAAGGCCATAAATCAGTGCTTGGCACAGAATAATATTCAATATTTATTAAATGAGTTAAGAGAACTGGCCAGTGAATGCAAAGCTTCCAATTAAAAAAATCTGTGAAATTCTTATAAAAAGGAAATCAAGAATACATGCAAATAAACACAAAGTTACAAAAAGACACGTAATTTCTCAAATAGAGACAACAACATGCATAGTCTTTACTACTAACAATGTGTGCATCTGTTTTTCTGTTGATACATCATCATACAAAGACAGCTGGATCCATTTTCACTAAATATTCAGGGTGCATTTGGCGTGGGGTGATGTAAAACATAGGCTATTTTGCATAAATAAAATTCATTGTTTAGGAGACTCAAAGAAACAGGTGATCATACTACAGAAATACTAAAATTATTGTTCTACAAGAGGCCTTTTTGACTATCAAACAGGAGAGATATACCAAAAGTGATTTTTCAAAATGAGCTCCAAATAAAAAGTCATTAGGACACATGTCCTAAATTGCAAGCGCAGATTTACAAGCACAGGACCCATATGACTTCTCAAGATAGCAGACTGGTCTTTGAAACTTCAATCTGTCATCCCTACTTCTTGCTATAATGATTATCATATAAACATAACTAATGTCCCAACATTTCCTATTTTTACCATTTATATGGGGCAAAAAAACTAAAGGAAAATAATTGCAACAATTTCTATAGGCACCATACTGGTTTTCCACTCAATGTAAATTTTTCAGAAACAAAATTTGCTGTTGAAAAGCTTTCAATGTTATTTTACAAACCATTGTAATTTACCTGATGGGTAACAAAAATTGTAAGTGCTTTGATGGAACACTACAGAAAACAAAACAGAGTGAGTTTTACTTTGTCTAGTATTCAGTTAAATTCAGCATATATATATTTGCCAGCCTAGGTGCCAGGTAATATGCTAGGTGCTGGAGATAAAAAGGTAAAAAGGACCAAGTGCAGTGGCTCATACCTGTAATCCTAGCATTTTGGGAAGACAAAGCAGGTGGATCATAAGGTCAGGAGTTTGAGACCAGCCTGGCCAACATGGTGAAACCGCATATCTACTAAAAATACAAAAATTAGCTGGGCATGGTGGCATGTGCCTGTAATCTCAACTACTTGGGAGGCTGAGGCAGGTGAATTGCTTGAACCTGGGAGGCGGAGGTTGCAGTGAGTTGAGATCATGCCATTGTACTCCAGCCTGGGTGACAGAGCAAGACTCCATCTCAAAAAAACAGGTAAGAAGTACAGTATTATATCTAAATAGAACATATATATATGTCTAAAACTGTTATGAAAATTGAAAAGTTGATCTGTTCTAAGGTTGTCAGGGAAGAGTGAGTTTTGAAGAAAATAAGAATATGTCATAAGGACAAGAAAAAGAGTGGGCAGAGCATTGCAGGAAGAGAAAACAGCATTTGCAAAGGCAAAAATGGAAAAAGTCAATAGCAAAATCCAATAAGCATAGTTATTGTACAACAGGGGTTATAACATGTTCGCTGAGTTATTTTTTTTCTTAACTAAACTGCATTTGGAGACGAGAAGTAAAGTGATATTTTTACTTCTCTTTTGTTACATAATAAGCAATGAAATAGAAATAGTTTAGTTTATTATATTCCCAGTCTGAGACTTTTAATAAACTGTGGCCAGGCAGTCTAGAACAGCAATTGATAGAAATAAAATGAAAGACATATGTATTAGTCCATTTTCATACTGCTGATAAAGATATACCTGAGACTGGGTAATTTCCAAAAGAAAGAGATTTAATGGACTTACAGTTCCATGTGGCTGGGGAGGCCTCACAATCATGGCAGAAGGTGAAAGGCATGTCTCATATGGTGGCAGACAAGAGAAGAGAGAGCTTGTGCAGGGAAACTCCCATTTTTAAAACCATTAGATTTCATGAGACTCTCATGAGTAAGTAGAGACAAGCATGTCTCTACTTACTGACAAAGTCATAAGTAATAACCTGTAAGCTTACACCAATCATTACATTTTAAAGCGTATATTTCATAATTACTTCCTATTTTATGGGAGAGTTCCTCCAAGAATATCCAGCAAGGATTTACCATTCATTCAGAATATTCCATCATTTATTAACCAAATATTTTTTGAGTGTCTGTTACATTCACTATCATGATTACAGCACAGGAAAGACCCACCCCTGTAATTCAATCACCTCCCACTGGGCTCCTCCCAAGACATGTGGGAATTGTGAGAGTTACAATTCAAGATGAGACTTGGGTGGGGACACAGCCAAACCACATCAACATAAAAGTTCAAATTTTCTATTAGCCTCATTAAAAAAAATAAAAAAACACAAGTAGCCAAAGAAATATTCAGAAAAAAGAACAAAGTTGGAGGTATCACACTTCCTCATTTCAAACTGTATTACAATGCTACAGTATCAAAATAGTATGGTACTAGCATAAAACCATACACACATACCAATGGAACAGAATGGAGAAGCCAGAAATAAATCCACTCACATACAGTCAACTAATCTTTGATATAGGTGTCAATGAATATATACAATATGCAATGTGAAAACGATAGTCTCTTCAATAAATGGTGTTGGAAAACTTTTGTATATGGATATCCACATAGAAAAGAATAAAATTGGACCCTCATCTTATACCACATACAATAATTAACTTGAAATGGATTAAAGATGTAAATACAAGACTTGACACTCTAAAACTCCTAAATGAAACCATAGGGGAAAATCTCCTTGACATTGGTCTTGGCAATGATTTTTTGGATAAGACACTGAAGCACAAAGAAAAGCAAAAATAAGTGGTACTACAACAAACTTAAAGCCTTCTGTACAGCAAAGGAAACAAATGGAAAAGCACCTATGGAATAAAAATAGTTGTAAACCATATATCTGGTAAGAGATTAATATCCAAAATATATAAGGAATTCATATAACTCAATAGCAAAAAAACAAATAACCTGATTGAAAAATGGACAAAAAAATCTAAATAGACACTTCTCCAAAATAGACATACAAATGGCCCATAAGTATATGAAAAGATGATCAACATCATTAACCATCAAGGAAATACAAATCAAACCCACAATGACTCGTCACCTCATAGCTGTCAGAATGGCTATTAGTTTTTAAAAAGACAACAAGTGTTGGTGAGGACATGGGAAAAGGAAAACCCTTGTACACTGTTGGTGGGAATAGAAATTGGTACAACTATTATGAAAACAAGTATGGAGGTTCCTCAAAAAATTAAAAATAGAGCAACCATACAATTCAGCAATTCAGCAACCCCACTATTGGGTATATATTAATAAGGAAATGAAATTAGTATGTCAAAGACATATCTACACTTCCATGTTTATTGCAGTATTACTCATAATAGCCAAGATATGGAAATAACCTAAGTGTCCATCTATGGATGAGTTCATAAAGAACCTGTGGTGTGTATATGTATATACATATACATATACATATACATATGCACAATGGAATATTATTCAGCCGTAAAAATGAAGGAAATTCTGCCATTTGCATCAAGAGGACGTTATACTAAGTGAAATAAGCCACACACAGAAAGACAAATACTGTATGATCTCACCTATATGTGGAATCACAAAAACTTGAATTCTACTCAGATGCAGTGGCTCACACCTGTAAGCACTTTGCAAGGCTGAGGTGGAAGGACTGCTTGAGGCTGGAAGTTCTAGTCAGCCTAGGCAACACAGTGAGACCCTGTCTCAACCAAAAAAAAAAAAAAAAAATTGCCAGATGTGGCAGCGATGCCTGGGGTCCTAGCAAGGTGGGAAGATCACGTTTGCCGAGGAGTTCTAAGCTGCAGTGAGGTATGACCATTCCATTGCACTTCAGCCTGGACAACAGAGTGAGACTCTGTCTCTAAAAGGAAAAAAAAAAAAAGTAGAACTCAAAGAAGTAGAGGGCAGAATGGTACTGCCAGGGCTGGGGGTTGTGAAGAAACCTCCAGTTATAAAATGAGTAAGTTATGGGAATCTGTCATAAAGCATGGTGACTATAGTTAATATTATATTGTTTACTTGAAATTTTCTAAGAAAGTGCATCTTAAGTGCCCTCACCTCCCCCCCCCACCCCCCCCCACCAAATAATGGTAACTATGTGTGGTGATGGATGTATTGATTGTGGTAATCATTTCACAATGTATATGTATATCAAATCATCATGAATATATATAATTTTTATTTGTCAATCATACCTCAATAAAGCTGGAAACAATTTAAAAACAGGTAAAATTAATTTTAATAATATATTTTTCTTAACCTAATTATGCAAAAATTATAATTTCAACTTATAGTCAACACAAAAATTATTAGTGAGATATTTATTTTTTTCATGCTAAATCTTGGAATCCTGCATATATTTTACACTTACAGCACATCTCAATTCAGACACTATTTTTAAATCAGAAATACTTGATCTATATTTAGATTTCAAAAAGTTTACAATTGAAAAAGTATACACATAACCCAAATTTTCCAAATAGAAGTATCTAGTAACTTGAATCAAATATCAGTTTTTAAATTAAAGTTAATTAAAATTAATAAAATTAAAATTCAGTTATTTGGTTGTACTAGCCACATTCCAATGACTCATCTGGCTATCACAGTTGGACAGCACAGTTGTAAAGTAAGTGTGTAAGTATCTTTGGGTCAAATCTCTAGCCTGGACTTAAGAAAAATTAAATCAGCAAACAGGTTGATCATGGAGTACTGATAGTACACATTATGGATTACCTTCAAATTCTTCATTGTTGGTCCATATCCACTCAGACAAGATGTAGCTGAGAGGAAATAGTGAGGGTATTTGGAAAAGATACTTCAATTAGCAAAGAGACTGAGGTTAATTGGGGAAAGCTTAGAGTTCATGATACGAAAGCAAAAGTTTGTTAATACTGATTCACCATTCTTGTCCCCATTACTGAGGTAAATAAACAGAGTCAAGTGGTGGACAGGTTCTGAACAGAACTGATAGTGTCTGGTTATGATGGGGATAGCTAGTTATCTTACTTTCTCACTGCACTCATCAAAAAAACACCACCCACCATGAACAAAATCCAAAATTATAAAATACAACTTGTATTTTTCCAAAAATTACAAGTTTCTTTTGATCTACTTTGGCAAAAGTATAGACATGCTTCTTTGACAAACATGTCTATACTTACTGACAAAGTCATAAGTAACAATCTGTAAGATCAATCTGATCATTACATTTTAAAGAGCATATTTCATAATTACTTCCTATTTTATGGGAGAGTTCCTCCAAGAATATCCAGCAAGGATGCACCATTCCTCCAGAATATTCCACCATTTATTTACCAAATCTTTTTTGTCTGTTACATTCTAGGCACTGTGTTATTCACAACAGTAAACAAGAAAAGCCCCACCCACATAAAATATGTGGGAAGTGCTGTCAGAGGAAAGGCCGTGATGAGAGCTCGCTGAAGTAGGCTTGCAGATTTAGTAAACAAAAATTTTTATTTTTTTAAATTTAGCAAATAAACATATGGATACCAAATATTCCATTGGACAGATTAAAAATTATTTGCTTTTTATCTGAACTTCAAATTTAACTGAGCGTCCTGTTTTTATCTGGCAAACCTACAGGGAAGGGAATACTTGGAAGTGGAGGGAGGGTGAATGGAGATAATTTTGGAAGCCTTCCTTTAGAAAGGAATTTCTAAAAATGAATGCTAGGCATAGCGGAGAAGCAGGGAGGAAACACAGCAATGCAAACTGACTTCCCAGTAGCCACTGTAGAGTTCAGGAACTGAAAGAAGCAAAGGGAATGGGGTAAGGAAGAAGAAATGTGGGTATAATGTCGAGAGATGAAGGTTGAGGGAAAAGTAGGTGCCTTATTTTTCAGGTTCGATAAGGAGTTTGTACTGTATCACCAGTGGTGAGATTCCACTAAAAAACTTTAAGCAGCTCATTTTGGCTACAACGTGAAGAATGAACTACAGTCCGGCAGACAGGATGTTGGGAGACCAGCTAGGAGGCTACTGATGGAATTCAGGTGAGTCCACAGAGGCCTGGACAGAGGCAGCGGGAAGAAAGGTGCACTAATCACAAACACCTGAACGTGAGACGGCAGAAAATAAGCAACTGCAAACTTGAATATAGAGGAGGACTGGGAGAGAAGAAAGCAGAAGCACATATTTGGGGAAACAGTGAAGAATGGTAAAAAAAAAAAAAAAAAAAAAAAAAAATTCAAATGTCTTCTGGGAAGTATATAGTATGATAAGGACTAAGAAGTGACTCCTAGATTTAGCCATAAGGAAGTCACCAGCGACCTTTGGCACGGGCAGCCTTAGAGGAATGGCTGAGGCCAATTAGGTCGCAGCTGGTCGAGGAGAAGGTGATGCTGGCCTAAGAACCCGACTGGAGCAGCACAAGTTTCCTACTTCTTCTTTGCCCTTTTAACAGGTGAGGGTCAAGGACAAGAGACGAGTTTGGAGATGCAGCGGCCAGTGCCCCAATCAGTTGGAACAGCGCAGCAAGCGGATCTCTAGGGGCCAATCCCTTCCTAGAGTCCACTTGACTGACAGAGCTGCGCGCCACAGACGGGGCACAGACAGGGAGGTGAATCACGAGGGGGCGGAATTCCAGGGCACTAACCCGGAACCGGTTTGGGACTTGATTCCCATTGTGAGGCCAGGCCTAGGGCGGGCTCTCAGCCAGAATGGCTACACCATTCTAACCAATGGATGAGACTCATCAAATGAGCGGCAGCCATATGAGCCATTGGGGTGGCGGGAGATGGGCGGGCCCAGTTAGTGGGCGGGGGATCAATGAAGCATCTTTTTTCCTACCCCCCTTGGGGCGACCGTGGGGAGGTGCCGCCGGGGTCGCAGGTGAGCGGTTCTATGCTGGAGGAGGCGGCCAGGGAAGCGGCGGCTCCGTGACCAGTGGGTGCCCTCGCAGTGGGTAGGGTCCCGGAGGGGTCAGCGGCAATTGGCGCAACGCTTGCTGCCGGGTTTGGTCCAAGGGCTGCGACGTAGCGGGACTGCACGCTCGGGAGAAGTGCCACGCGCGTCTGTCGCCTGACCGGGGAGGCTGGGGAGGGCCCAGGCCACGGAAACAAGACTGCAGAAGTTTCTGGGCACTCAGTCGGGACTCTCATTTAATACCCAGAGAGAGGAGATCTTCCAGGTTGCCCCGACTCCCACCGGGACTCCTACCAGCAGCAACCTCATCATTGTGGCCGAGGCAGGTGCGCGCCCCTGCTCCCCTGGGTGGCCTTCCGGGAGCCCAGTCTAACTCGATTCTTCCCAGGGGCTCTTTTTGGACGGTCCCAAAGGAGGCAGCGGGAGGGAGGTGAAAGATACTTTGATAACCGTCGACCCATAAGTATACTTGTTATGCACCTACCACGAGTTTTAGAGAAGAACATACTTTTTGGCAGGGAAGTGAATCCCCTATAAGAATATAGGGGAGGGGAAAGCCACACTTTAAAGAGAATTTGGGTAGGGTTTGATATTGTAGATTTGTGATGCTTTTCTTCTTGAACTGCTTAACTAATTTACCCTCAAATTTTTTTGATCCGGAACTTGCCGTCTGGTTTTTCTCAGACTTCTTAATTCTGACTTATCATGAAGTATCTAGGAACTTCATTCTCAAGTTTTAGTGCTTGTAAAAAGTTGCCTGGTTATATTATGCCATTGGCAGTACATCATCTTCACAAGGATTACGTAAGTGAACTACATCTCATTCCTGTTTCCAACTAGTGAAGAACGATTGTGAAATGGGATTTTAGAAAATGGCTGTTCTCTGTGATTGGGCATAGAAGGTTTGTAAGTTTTAGAGACTGCAGCTGTTGAATCCTTTCTGCTAAGAGAGCGATGACAGGCAATAGAAAAGGGATAGTGTTTGACATCTAAAATGACATATTTTCACATTTTATGAGGTGTTATATCCCCAGCACCAAAAATAGTGCCTTTCACACAGTAGGAGCTCAGTAAGTATTTTTTGAGGAAATTATTGGGGAATGAATGGATGGTAGAAAACCCAAGCTTCTGTTACTTGGATACCGGCATATAAAGGAGAGGACAGGAAGACAAACATTTCTGGAAATGGCTTTTATCCAGGTAAGCATATCTACAGAACTTCAACAACTCAAGATGCATCAATGCTGGCACTTTCTTGCACTTAATCAGAAAATATCAAGGTTTTAGAAGAAGATTTTCACACAATTAAGCCAAGACTGGGTATCTAAGGTGCATCCCAATATCAATTTCAGTCAGGTTAAAAATGTATTAAAGCCCATTTGATTAAATGAAATAGTTCATCAGTTCAGAATAGATCAGTCAGGACAACGGGATACCACTTTGTAAGTTAGAGATATGGAGTTAGGAATTGTTGGTCAAAAATAGGCCCTGCAAATAGCAACAGCTGCTGTCAAACTTTAAAAATATATTGACTCAGTGGTACTTCAAAAGGACTGCTATTTCTACCATGTACCAATACATTTACAACAATGCGATTTCTAAATTGATCTCAGATTCTAAGAGCAAAATCTTACGGTGGATATCTGCATAAATTTGGACTCTCGACAACTTCAATCATTTTTATTATATACTTATATTGGTTATATATTTATATGTTACTACAGTAACAGTTCTTCCATATTAATGGTAGCCTGCTTGAATTTCAAAAAACTTTCACAGTTATATTTGTCTCTTTCAGTTCATTTTTAGCAAATAATAGTCTTATTAAGCCAGAATTCGCTTAGTAAGATTTGCTGCTTGGCACTATCCTAATTTTCCAGCTTTAATTCCTGATACTTCTTTCTTTTATTTCTGTCCCTCATTAGTCTGTTTTATAAGACCCAAATCAAATGCTGATTCTGACTCAAAACATTCCTTGATCCCATCAAAGATTTGTCTTTCTTATGAATATCCAGAGTATTTTGTTAGTATTTCTTTATTGTAGTTTTTGTATATTTGCATTATTCATCCAGTGAAGAAATATTTGTTAATTACATTCAGATACTGTACTGGGCAATGGATAATAGCTGACATTTGTGGGCTTACTATGTCTTAGGCATGATAAACTTCTTAATCGGTTTATCTCTTTTAATCTTCAAAACATCACGAGTATTAGTCTATTATTCCCATTTATAGATGAAGAAACAAGTTTAAGAGGTTAAGTAATTCGCTGGAGATCACAGAGCTAGTTAAGTGGTGGAATTGGCATACAGCCTTAGGTAGTCTGTATTCACAACCTTCAGGTTACAGACTTCATTACAATTTGTTTATGTACTTTTTTTATGCATCTGTGTTTTACTAAGTTGCAAATTATTTGATAGCAGGAATAATATATTCGTATCTGATCTCTTATTGCTCCTAATGTAAATCAGTGGTGTAATAAAGCTGATAGTGGAAGCACATAGGGAGGACATCAGACTTAGGTGAATGGGAACAGTGAAGAGATCCTGGAACAGAAGACATTTAAACAAGAGTGCTGAAGGATGAGTAGGCATTGGCCTGACGAAAAGGCAGACACCATGGAAATGGGGAAGATGACCTGGGGAAATATATGTGTGATAGTCCAAGGTCAGGGACCATGATGGCTTGAGTTGTGCTGTTCCAGTATGGTAGCCAGTAGCCTTACATTATTGAATGTAAATATCTCAATAATTGTTTATATTGATTATATTTCAAAATAACATTTTGGATATATTGGGTTAAATAAAATACTCACTTTTACCTGTTTCTTTTTACCGTTTTAATGTGGCTACTTGGGGATTTAAAATTACATATAGGGCTCTTACATTTCTATTGGACAGCACTGATCTAGAATTTAGAGGGATTTGAAAATGACTGGTATTGTGTTTGTGTGCCACCTACATGTGAGTACATGTTTGATGAGGAAGGTGGATTGGGAAAGTAGGTTGGGAGTTGGTACTGGAGGTGATGGATAAGACCAGAAAAGGTAGATGGGAAAGTGTAAAGGTAGGGTTCAGATAGGGTTTACAATAGGAAGAGAGGAAGAGCAAGGGAAGTAAACTTACCTCTTAAGTGCAATGGAAAGCCTTGAAAGGTTTTAAACACTCAGTATATACCTATTGAATGACACAGTGTCCTAATTAATTCATCTAATAATGCATGTTCCTGATTTATACTACTAATTCAGTCATAATTTTTCCTAATGGAGATATGGATAGGGGTCTAAAGACATTCTACTTAGAAGAAAATTTGGTTCTCAAGAGAGCAGTCCTTTTCTTCTTATATCTAAATCACCTAAGCTTTCATTCATTCTTTTGATGTGTTTCCAACAAATAGGAGTGTGAATTGGTCCTACAACTAGCATATTCTTCTTGCATTTGACATAACATTCTCTTGGGCATATTTTTCCATAAATAAACCAGCTTTGTCTGTATTTTAAGTCTTTTGTGGCAGATGAGGTCTTTTCTTAATAATCTCCTAAAGGAAGTTTCTTAGGAGCTACACCATTTGCTCTCTGCCTTGCCTTTCTGTACATATTTCACCAAGTAAACTCTTAACATTGATTCTCTAGTTGGGTGGTTCTCAATCCTGGCTGCAAATGAGAAGCACTTGGAGAGCTTTTAAACTCTGAATGCCCGGCCCCATTCCAAAGATTGTTTTAATTGGTCAGAGATGGGAACTGGTTATAGGTATTTTTAAAAGCTCTTTAGGTTATTTTGATGTGCTATAGACCTACACTTTTGAGTAGATTAGCTACTAAATACATGTTCTATTGGGTTCTTGAAATGTGACTAATACAAAATGAGGTATGTTGTAACTGTAAAGTACACATTGTATTCTAATGACAGCGAAAGAAAACAATGGAAAATTTCTCATTGATAATTTTTATATTATTGCATATTGAAATAATATATTGACTATACAGCATATGGAGTGAAATAAAAGCTGTTAATATTAATCACCTTTTCATTTCATTTTTACTTCACTGGGATCACTAGGAAATTTTAAATTACGTGTGTAGATTACATTGTATTTCTATTGAACAGTGCCACTCTAGCCTAGACTGTTGCTACTCAAGATGCGGTCCGAGGACGTCATTTGTCAAAAATGTAGAATCCCAGGCCCCACCGCAGACCTGAATCAGAGTCTGCATTTTAATGGGGTTCCCAGGTGATTCATATACATGCTATAGTTTGAGAGACACAGCTCTAGCAACATCTAAAAAATGTTTTTCAATTGTATAATTTTTCTTCATTTCTTATTATTTTTCACTGTGGATTCCAACTTCGGCTCTTCATTTGTCATTTAGAATCATTCATATGCACGTCATTTCTCTGTTTTCAGTAAATTCTCTTAAATTTTTTTATCGCTTAACATTTTCAACAGACATAGCTTTTTAATGTATGTGATGGAATTAGTATGTATTCATGTAATACATATAATTTGTCCATAAATATTTACATACTATTATAAACGATTTTTCTGGAAAGAATTTCAAGAAATTGCTAATAGTAGTTACATTGGTGGTAGAAATTTTTCACTTCATTGTGAATTTACATTCTTATTTAGATTTTCTAACTATATGTATATTTTGCTGTTTTAAAAAAATGGGACTTTAAATAATGTAGTTCTCTATAATAAAAATTTCTTATAAGTAGATTTTTAATATAATGTTGATCACCTCAAAGTAAAATAAAATAAATGTGCTGTGGGCTAAGAAGCAGCCATATGGCTGAGACAGAAATGACTGTGCACATGATCCCCAGGTTGGTGGTAGACAGAGTTAATGAACCTGTTGTAGAGCATAGGATGTTCTGTGTCTGCGAATGTTCCTAAGTTGATCTGTGAACATGTACACACACAGACAGATGCATTTCCTTTGCCAATTTTGTTGGCTTGCATCAACTATAGCATCTACGTGGGGATTATGTGCTAAGACATCCATACTCTAACATGACATTTATTGCATATATTCCATTATGTGACTTAATAGTTTATTCATCCAGTCCCCTTTTGATAAATATTTCTATTTTTACCATGCTTTTACCTTAAAAATGTGATAGTGATTTTTAAATGGCTCAAAAGGCTATGTAAATGCTCTGAAACATTCTGTGTATTTTGGAAACCAAAATTTATCTTTATCACATGTAGGCATTTGATTTGGTGGGATGTGATATATCTTTGGCTCTCTGTTCTGTTTTTTGAGGACATAAAATGTGCTGATTTTATTTTTTTTAATGTCCTTGATAACCTATTTATGGTTGGTCAATATGCCTGACTAGCAATATAGCCTGTTAGCTGAAGATTTTTCTTCAGAATTTTGAATAACCTGTTAACTGTCTCATTGTTTAGTGTAGTTATAGGGTGGACATCTGTTCTTCACTTACAGGCTAACTGCTTCTTGCCTATGTTGACTTGCTTCTGTTTTCTTATAAGCATATGCTTTGTGTGCCTATGGAAACTTCAGTTTTCCTGACTTACTTTCCTTGAATTAGTTTCTGTTTCTCTTTCTATACCCTTTCCCATCCCTTTATCATTTTCTTGTTTTGAGTTCATATTTTTACCTCCTCCTATTTGTTAGGCACAGTGCCAGGTATTGAAGATCCTGTTTTTAGAGCAGATGGGCGACTATCTCCTAGGTCCTTAGAGGTGGGGCAGATTGTAGAAGGAAAAAGCCAAGTTTTGACCAATAATTCTTTCACTTGTCCTGCAACATAGGGTACTAAGAAGCAGCATATTGGGGCTGGTTTAATGATGTGTGTAAATCACTTTGCTTCAGTTTTTTATATTGTGGCTTATAAACATGGTACCTCATGAATATTTTTAGTCACCTCTAGAGGAAAGCTGAATGCTTGCCCAAGCTATTGGATAATTTGAATTACATAGGAATGTTAGGCCAGAGTATTAATTAAATGTGATCCTCTAAAATTATTTAAGTGTTCTAGGCTCAGCATGGTGGCTCACACCTGTAATCCTAGCACTTTAGGAGGCTAAGGCAGGAGGATCACCTGAGGCAAAAAGTTCAAGACCAGCCTGGACAACATAGCAAGACCTTGTCTATATAAAAGCTTTAAAAATTAGTAGTACATGGTGGTGCACCTGCCTTGCTACTCAGGAAGCTGAGGCGGGAAGATCACTGGGGCTCAGGAGTTTGAGGGTGCAATGAATTATGATTGAGCCACTGTACTCCAGTCTGGGGAACAGAGTGAGACCCTGTCTCTAAAAATAAAATAAAATTATAAGCATTCTACAGTGTTCACTAAACTGCCTTGGAATCAGATGTTAAAACATTTCATTTTCTTTTATTTATTAGATAATATTTGATTTACACAAAAATAATATAGCTGGAGTGTTCTAATAAAGCAGCTCTCTGCCCACTCAAAAAAAAAAAAAAGTTCTAATTTGACAATTCTGTAGTATTAGTAAGTGCCGTCTTGGCCAATTTTTAGCTCCTAACATGACATGGCTGAATGTGGAGTTGCAAAGAGATGTCCGCAATTGATTCTTGAGAGCTCTCATGGGCAGGTTCCACCACACTCCTAATGTAAGTATATATGTTATGAAGCATAATAATAAAGACCCATGGGACCTATCCCTCAACTTAGGAACTAAACAATTCCAATATTATTGTGACATTTTTGTTTCCTTTTGTCAAAGTTATTTAAATGTTTTGCCTTTGATGTGGCAAATACATAATAGTGCTTAATGTGCACCAGGAACTGTTCTCTTTGTTTGACTAAGTCCTTTAATCCTTATAGGATTTCTATGAAGTAATGTTATTATCATTTTACAAATAAAATTACGCATAGGGAAGTTAAGTAACTGAGGCCACACAGCTAGGAATTGCCAGAGCCAGGACTCTAACCCGGGTGGTCTGACTCCAGAATCTGTGCTCATAACTACTACACACACTACCTCTTTTGATGTTTCTATTTATAGATAAACTTTGCTTATATTATTTGCTTATATTCTAGAGGATAAAGGTTTACATTTGACTGTAAGAGGAGTATATCTCTAGGGCAGTATCAAGAGTGCTATTGTTGGTTATACATTCCAATTTTGTGGATTTCAATTTTATTATTAAATTTCTCTTGAGAAATTTTCAAAGTCTATAAGTCTACTTTAGAAATAGTTGGCTTGCAGTCTTCTTTTCTTTTGTTTTTGCATACGTTGCCCTTTTTTGTGGGTATGTGAAATTGACAGTGATTTCTTGAGAGTTCATTTCAGCTGTTTTGAATTTTTAGTTTTCTGACCTCTATTTCAGCAGCAAGTGGCAGTTCAGGAGATGGTTATTCCACATGAGTGATTGGAAACAAAGATGTGGTGATGGGCATATATTTGTTGATGTTATTAGACACGTACAAAGTCAGCTGAAGAAAGAATACCAAGAGCTTGAAAAGGAAAAATGCATAAAGGTTTAATGCAATGGTGATAAGAAATGCTTTGTTATTAAGTTTAAAAATAAGGTATTAGCATCCACTTTTCAGTCTAAAAGAGAAAAGATGATAGAAAAGATGTGCATTTTCTTATTCAATTTAGCCTTGCTTAATTGCTATATTTTTGCTTCAGTAGAAGATACTATTTGTATTGTGAATTAGAGTAGAACTATTTTTCACACTAATGAAAAGTTTAAATTGGCAGACAGAGTAAGAGAAAAGAAACCATGTGTTAAAAGGTAAACTGAGACATGATAACTTTTAACAAGTTTATTTGAGCAAACAGTGATTCTTGAATCAGGCAGCTCCAAACCAGAAGTGGTTTGGGGGCTCTGCAGTGGAAACACAAAGCGGGGAGGCTTTATAGGTCTAACAGAAGTAAAACAAAGTAAATATTTGATTGGTTACAGTTATAAGATTGTCTAATTTGACCTATCCTGCTGGAAGGTTACATAAGTTAGTTGCATAAGTTAGCTGACAGCTTCTGATTGCTTAGTCTTAAGTTTCTTTTTTAAAAAATATCGATATTTACCAAAAAAATAGCCCAAGTTAAGTGTTGCATATGTTTGCAAATGAAGCAAGGTTAAAGTCTCTTATGAGGCCTAACTGGTTTTGTCTGCTTAGGGATTCTTCAGGCCAGGTCTCCGGTCTAATTTACTTTAACAGGAGGTAGAGGAAATGTAACCGATTGAAAGAATTTTATCTGGACCTTCCACATAGGTAAGAGTCTCCTTTTGAAAATCTTTTACTAAATGACATCTCAAAACTTACCTTAGCAACACTTTTTTGTTGTTGTTGTTGTTTGAGACAAAGTCTCACTGTTTCCCCCAGGTTGGGGTGCAGTGGCACAATCTCGGCTCACTGCAACCTCCACCTACTGGGTTCAAGCGATTCTCATGCCTCAGCCTCCTGAGTAGCTGGGATTATAGGTGTGCACCACCATGCCCAGCTAATTTTTTGTATTTTTAGTAGATACGGGGTTTTGCCATGCTGCCCAGGCTGGTCTTGAACTTCTGAGCTCAGGCAATCCGCCCGCCTCAGCCTCCCAAAGTGCTAGGATTACAGGCATGAGCCACCGCGCCTGGGCAACAACACATTTTTAAGGTTTAGCTATCACAAGCTGCTAATAAAGTCAAAGTACATGTGACGTGAGGGAACCTGGTGGTAGTAAGTCTTGCCATTTAACTAGCTGTGTTGTGGGCAAATTAACCTCTCTGGATCTTGTTTTATAAATAGAAAGGCTGGTATCTCCCATTTAATGTTATGATGGGGTTTAAATGACAGGATTTGGAACTTCATGGATAGTTTGATACTTTTTTTCATATTGACAGGAAAAGTTTAAGGTCAAACAGTGATAGAGCTGGAAGGGATCTTAGTAATGTCATCCCATTTCACATTTTGTAGGGGAGGAAAAGTCAGCTCTGTAGCAGTTATCAGTGAGTGAATTTGAAGTCAGACAGCATGGTCTGTGTAAGGTACCCCTTACTCTTTCTGAGCCCTGTTTCCCCTTACATCTTTTAAAATCTCTTTTCCAAGTCAAAGTGCTTTTTTGACATCTATCCCTCAGTTGAATCATTATTATTCTCCTCAGTTGAATCAATATTAATAAAGCAATATGTACTATACTGTGTGAGACACTGGGACCTTTTTGGTAGATGACCTCATTTTCTGCCGCTATGAGACAATCGAGTCCCTGACTCACTCACCATCTGTTCCAGCCTCCTAGTATGCCTTCTGATAATGCAAAGGCTAGCTAGCACAAAAACTACACTTCCCCAATCCATTGCAGTGAGGATTGTGGATGTGCTTTAGATTCCACCAGATGCACTTATGTAAGGCTTGAATTCAAGGTAGATAAGAGAGTGAGGCATGTGAATCATCTGTTCTACTAGTGTGGGTCTAGCACAGACGTTTTACTGTGCATTAGAGTTATCTGGAGGGTTTATTGAAACACAGATTGCTAGGTCCCACTTCGAGAGTTCCCAGTCTGGAGAGGAGCCTAAAAAGTTTACATTTCTGACAAGTTTCAGGTACACCCTCTTTGACAGTCTGACAACCTGAGATTCTGGAAATTGGAGAAACATTGTCTCGTATCTAAAAGAAATGCTTACAAGAGAGGATCTTTTCCACTCAAAATCTGTATACAAATATTGCCACATGGATATTTTAAAATTTATTTAATGGAGACTCCAAGTATACGTACTTTCCTATTGTGCTCTTCAACTCTACAATTAAAGTGGCCCAGAAAAATACAAAGTACTGCTGAGAAATTCTCCAAAGAAAGGCACATAATTAAGAGCCTTAATTAGAAACAAAAATATAGTCCAGCCTGGTTTTGTTTGATGTTAGGGGCTTTTGTTTGGTGGTTTAAGGGAGGGGAGGATGGGGTGAGCTTTGAGGAACAGAATTACAAGGGCAAACCATGCAATGTGCACTAGTCTTTGAAAGGTTTAGGAATCTAAAAAATTTTTTTGGTGATATTTTCCTTTTTCTTTTTGAGTGATCATTTTTTTTTTTTTTTGGTTATCTTTTTTTGTTGATCTTTTTTGTTGATCTTTTTACTTACATGATTAATTAGGTGGGATGGCTGGGTAAAATCCTTGCCATTTTTTTGTTACCCCTTTAATTTTGTCATATTCCTACAATACTTTCATTGTTTCAGGAAATTATATTCGAAATTTAGGATTTCTGTGTTGGTTTATTAACCTTAAAATGAGTTTGAATTTGTGAAGTAGTAAAATGTAGGTAGTTGGCATTTATTTGATCAGATTACATTGTCTCAAATTGGTTTCTGAGTTTTATTGATTTTGCAGCTCAGCCTTTCAGTTTTTCTCTAAAATTATTCTGCAAAGTGTACTTTTTCTTTTAGATATCTCAAACTAATGATTATTTTGGCAAATCGACTCTTTCATTCATTCAAAACATATTTATGGTATGCATGCCATGTGCCAGAATCTCTGCTAGGCTCTGGGGAGGTGATGGCCAGTGGAAACATCCCTGCCCTTGTGAAACTTTGCAGTGAACTGGGGAAAGGACAGACTCTGAGCTGTATGTTAGCACAAGTATAAAATCCAGTCTAGGAAGAGTCCTGCAAATTTTATGCTGGAGTAATTTGATTTGTCAGGAAAGGCTTCCCTGAGAAACGGATGCTTAATCTGCAAGCTAAAGGATGAGGAGGAATAAAGTAGACCGAGGAGGAATAAAATAGACCGAGAAGGGAGCAATCCATTTTCCAGGCAGAAGGAACAGTGTGGACAAAGGCCCTGAACTAAGAAAGAGTTTGACAGGAATAGGTGGCTGAAAGATGGCCAGTGCAATTGGAGGAGAGAGGGAGAATTTGTGGGAGAAGGAGCTGAAGTAGTAGGAAGGGAGTCAGGAATGAATAGTGGCAACTGGTTAGGAACCTTTGCAGCACACCAGTGGGGAGAAAACGGCAATTTGGACTATGTTAGTACTGGCAAAGATAAAGAAGTACACAATTTTAAGCTATATTTAGAGGGTTGTTTTTTGTTTCTCTTAAAAATTATATAGTTCATTAGGTTGAAGTATGTTGTAGAAGTTGCAGATTGATTGATTGCTTGTACTTTTTTCCTTTTAGGAATTATCCAGACTGCCTTGCCACTAGATGAATGGAAGACAATGATTTGAACTAAGGGCCAGCAAAGAATTATCCCTGGTTTTTGTGCTTTGCAGCATTCCTCAAATTGTTTTCACATCTCTTACCATAAAAACTGCATTGAAATTGAAAATGAAGCAGTTGAAAAGAAAAAGGAAAAGCAATTTTAGTGTTCAAGAAACTCAGACCCTTTTGAAAGAAATTACGAAAAGGAAAGAAGTCATTTTTTCCAAGCAGCTCAATACAACAATTAATGTGATGAAGCGAATGGCTTGGGAAGAGATTGCACAGTGTGTGAATGCTGTAGGAGAAGGAGAACAGAGGACAGGGACAGAGGTGAAAAGAAGGTACCTTGACTGGCGAGCACTTATGAAGAGAAAGAGGATGAAGGCCAACATTAAGCTGGTTGGTTCAGGATTTCCCCTTCCCTCCTCTGATTTGGATGACTCTCTCACTGAAGAGATAGATGAAAAGATTGGATTCCGAAATGATGCAAATTTTGACTGGCAAAATGTGGCAGATTTCAGGGATGCAGGTGGATCCTTAACTGAGGTCAAGGTGGAAGAGGAAGAAAGGGATCCGCAGAGTCCTGAAGTAAGTATTAGCCTCTGTACCCTCTTTTAATCTTTTCAATTCTGATGTGGGAGATTATTGTTCAGGAACTGTTAACACATTCCAAGATTTTCAAGCTTATTTAAAAATAGTACATAACAAGTCATTCTGCTTTTCTCTTTACATCGTTAATACTTTTCTTCCCACCTAAATATAATTACCTAGGTTATATGTATTACAGACATCAAGTAATTCAGTGTAAATGATATTCAAAATTCAAATTAAGTATTTTTCCCCAAACGACGCAGAAAGCTTTTAAGAAATATTTAGACAAATTGCCACAAAGTAGAAGTCAATACTGAAAATTGCTTTTCTCTTTGCTCTTAGTTTGAAATTGAGGAGGAGGAAGAAATGTTGTCATCCGTCATACCAGATTCCAGGAGAGAAAATGAACTTCCCGATTTCCCCCACATTGATGAGTTTTTTACCCTTAACTCAACACCATCTAGATCTGCATATGATGAGCCTCATTTGCTCGTAAATATTGAGAAACAGAAACTAGAGTTGGAAAAACGACGACTGGATATCGAGGCCGAAAGGCTGCAGGTAGAAAAGGAACGCCTACAAATCGAGAAAGAGAGGCTGCGGCATTTAGACATGGAACATGAGCGGCTTCAGCTAGAGAAGGAGCGGCTGCAGATTGAAAGAGAAAAGTTGAGGTTACAGATAGTCAATTCAGAGAAACCGTCCTTGGAAAATGAACTTGGTCAAGGAGAAAAATCCATGCTTCAACCACAGGACATAGAAACAGAGAAGTTAAAACTTGAGCGAGAACGCTTGCAACTGGAAAAGGATAGGCTGCAGTTTTTGAAGTTTGAATCTGAGAAGCTGCAGATTGAAAAGGAACGCTTACAGGTAGAGAAAGACAGACTTCGAATTCAGAAAGAAGGACACTTGCAGTGATTTTTCCAGGCTTCCATTTAGCAAATGTTTGAAAACTCTAGATTTTTCTCATATCAGGTGATATAATGATGGTTGCTGGATTAGCTGTGGTTTCTTGTCTAATGTCAGTGTTCAGTAGGAAAAAGTTATATGTGGATAACTGTATGCCTAAGTAGTATATAAAAGCTGTGCCCTAGCGTAAACAGTATAGCAGAAACTTACTGTGCTGGACTCTTTACCTTATAATATTACATAGAGTCTTGTATTGTCTGTGTACCCAGAGTTTACAATTATGTCCATATAAAATTCTAGCCCAGAAGTTCTCATCTGGGGTAGATTTTGGCCTTCAGAAGACCAATTTGGTGATGTCTGGAGACATGTTGGGTTGTCAAAACTGGGGTGGGGAAAAGGTTGCTACTGTGCAATGCATACCTCCTCAACACCCCCCCACACTCAGTAAAGAATTTTCCAACCCAAAATATCATTAGTCCTGAGGTTGAGAAACCCTGTCCTAGCCTAACTGTGTACCTCTATAGCTATGTTTTATAGTTTTAGAATATTAAAACCTCAGATATTTATGTGGGTAGGTACTTAAATGGCCAAAAACTTTAACTATGAAATGTTACTGTGTAGTATATTGAATATAGGAAGTGATGAAGATTATAGGTATTTTATTCCCATGTTTCCATCTATAAATAGCCTTCTCAGATTCAGAAAACAATACAGAGAACATCAGAAATTTTCTAAAATGGGTCACTTTGAAAAGAATTCTTTTTCTCACTATTAATGCTTTAGAAGCAAGACGCAATTTTAAAGCTTTAGTTCCTTTTCTTTCAGTCATTGTCTTAGTTTGGGTACAAAAATGTCATTTCAGTAATGTACTGAAATCTTATAAGTGAATAGTTGAAGCTAGTAAAAATGATACCAGTATAAAAATGGTACTTGTAGTCCATGAGCTTGAACCCAATGACTGATTGTTTGACTTTTAAAATAAGTAATAGCAGCCATTTGGGAGTAGGGGGTAGGTGGGGAAGATGTACTCCGTATCAAATAATAATGATGTTGAAATAATGATAGTAGGTATGTATTATGGATTGGAGAAGCACTTATTACACTATCTAACCTAATATGTAGAACAATTCTTGAGAGTTGTATCTGTCGTTATTTCTGAATGTGAAGCTCAGAGAAGTGACACAGAGTAAATGGCTGATCTTCTATATTGTAGTATATTTTGTCCTTCCCTCTTCCCTGAGGAACAAAGCACGTATCTTTAGTCTCTTTGATATTTATTCTGAGACCAAGGGCTTGCTTGACCTGATGATTTTCCTTCAGCTCTCTGAAGGTGCTTTTTCCACAATCCAAGTGATTCTGATACACACTAAAGTTGAGAATCACTGCACTAGATCACTTTGTGTTTTCTGATTTTCAAGGTTGATACGTAGCTTTAATACAGCTCTTCTGTTGACAGTTATTACTTTAATTTTGCATTTGTTCCTTGTAAGAATGGCTGGAAACTGTGTGTTGACATTTGAGGATGGGTATGCAAGGAAAAAATATACTTCTGTTTACTTACTCTGACTTTGAAATAGTGTTATTTTTCTATATCTGAAATAAATGCTTCTACCATAGAAATAAATTTGCCTATACTATCTGAGAATTTGTAATTTCAGATGATACTCAGTGCTCTAAGGGTAGAGGTTATCAAGCTTAGAAGAGAGCCCTGTCACAGTCAGTGAGGACAGAGGCCTAAATAACATTTGGACTGGACATTGAGCTATGTATGCTGCATATGTTATTTGCTCCTCAAAAGAACCCTTGAGATCTAACTCAGGTGATACGGTTTAGCTCTTTCCTCACCCAAATCTCATCTTGAATTGTAGCTCCCATAATTCCCATGTGTTGTGGGAGGGACCCAGTGGAAAATAATTGAATCATGGGAGCAGTTTCCCCCACTGTTCTCATGGTAGTGAATAAGTAAGTCTCACAAGATCTGATGGTTTTATAAGAGGAAACCCCTTTCTCTTGGTTCTCATTTTCTCTCTTGCCTGTGTCCATGTAAGACATGCCTTTCACCTTTTGCCATGGTTATGAGGCCTCCCCAGCCACGTGGAACTGTGAGTCCATTAAACCTTTTTCTTTATAAATTACCCAGTCTTGGGTATGTCTTTGTCAGCAGCATGAAAGCGGACTAATACATCATGTTATCTCCACTTTTATGACAGCAACAACAAAAAAAAGCCTCATCGATTTAATTAACCATCTTTCTTAAAAATTACATACTAATATTGACCCAAGTTTTTAGCATAAGAGCTCTAAGGAAAAGGAATGGTGAAAGTTTGTAGGTATAGTTATAAGTATTGTAGCTTTGCCATTTGCTATTTGCGAAAGGCATTTAACTTGCTCTTCAATTTGGTTTCATCTGTAACTGGGGCATGATACCTACTCTGCCTGTGCTACATAGTTTTTTTTGTTTTGTTTTGTTTTTTTAAAGAAAATGGTAGAAGTATATAAACTATAAAATGCTACTTAAATGAAAGATGGTATTAATGTTGGATTTGAGATCCAGGGTTTTTTGAGATGGAATTTCACTTTGTCACCAAGGCTACAGTGCAGTGGCGCAGTCTTGGCTCACTGCACCTCCACCTCCCAAGTTCAAGCGATTATCCTGCCTCAGCCTCCTGAGTAGCTGGGACTACAGGCAAGCACCACCACCACCACCGCACCAGGTGAATTTTTTTGTTTGTTTGTTTGTTTTGAGACAGAGTCTTACTCTGTCACCCAGGCTGGAGTGCAGTGGCGCGATCTCAGCTCACTGCAAGCTCCACCTCCCGGGTTCACGCTATTCTCCTGC
The DNA here is from genome assembly GCF_000001405.40 of Homo sapiens. Classification (NCBI taxonomy): domain Eukaryota; kingdom Metazoa; phylum Chordata; class Mammalia; order Primates; family Hominidae; genus Homo; species Homo sapiens. Next base: position 106,006,704 of record NC_000011.10, on the reverse strand, counting down.
CTCAGCCTCCTGAGTTGCTGAGACTACAGGCACCCACTACCACACCCCACTAATTTTTTGTATTTTTAGTGTAGACGGAGTTTCACCATGCTAGCCAGGATGCTCTCAATCTCCTGATCTCGTGATCCACCCGTCTTGGCCTCCCAAAGCACTGGGATTACAGGCGTGAGCCACCACGCCCAGCCGCCAGGCAAATTTTTGTATTTTTCATAGAGACGGGATTTCACTGTGTTGGCCAGGCTGATCTTGAATTCCTGACCTCAAGTGATTCACCCGCCTCTGCCTCCCAAGCTTCTGGGATTACAGGTGTGAACCACCATGCTGGCCAGCTTTTAATTTCTTAGGGAAAGCATGAAAATAGCTAATAATTATTTTTGGATAGAGCAGTCTTAAATGCCTAGAAATGAGAAACTAAAAAGAAGCATAATATCTTCTAGGGCTTTGGTTGAAGAGCCTTGGGTTTCTTAACCTGCTTCAGGTGCAGATGGGTTGGATTGGTTCATTCCAGTAGGAAACACTTGCTGCACTTCTGAGGTGGTAGGCACACTCATAGTGAGTGCATCTGCTAGCTATTGCTGTGTAACAAACTGATCAAAAATTTGATGGCTGGAAACCCCAACCATTTATTTTGTTCAAAATTTTAGAGGAAATGAGGTGCAGCTTAACTGAGCGGTTTTGCTCTTGGCTGGGTTCTCAGTGTCAGCTGCAGGTTGGCTATGTGGTTCAACTTCTGGAGTTAGCTAAATAACAGAAGGGCAGGGGGTGGTAAGTGGTGGAGCTAAGCTCTCCCTATGGTGTTTGATCCTATAGCCATGGTAGCTTGGGCTTGTTCTAATGGAGGTGGCAAGAGTAAAGGAGAGAAAGCAGAGGTGTTCAAGCTGTCAAGGCCAAGTCTCAGAACTAGCACTTCATTATGCTTCTGCCACACCAGATTGGCCAGAACTAATCACAGAGCCAGACCAGAGTCAAGGGGTGGGGAATAGAGTCCACCTACTGATAAGAGGAGCTGTGAAGTTGGGTAAAAATGGGATACAGGGGCTGGGTGCGGTGGCTCACGCCTGTAATCCCAGCACTTTGGGAGGCCGAGGCGGGCGGATCACAAGGTCAGGAGATCGAGACCATCCTGGCTAACATGGTGAAACCCCGTCTCTACTAAAAATACAAAAAAAAAATTAGCCGGGCATAGTGGCGGGTGCCTGTAGTCCCAGCTACTCGGGAGGCTGAGGCAGGAGAATGGTGTGAACCTGGGAGGCAGAGCTTGCAGTGAGCCGAGATTGCGCCACTGCACTCCAGCCTGGGCAACAGAGTGAGACTCCATCTCAAAAAAAAAAAAATGGGGTACAGGGAGGGCTGAGGAATTCTGGCCATTTTTGCAATCAGTCTACCACATCTTCACTCTGGTTTGCCTGGGATACTTTGATTATACCAGTGGTTGTGATATCCTATCTCATTTAGCATTAGTTCTAGACAAAAGTGCCCTGATAAGGACTTTGAATGATATGGGCATCCTTATTGTAAGGAGCACCTTCCCATCTGTTTTGTAGAAATGGCTGGTTTAGGAGAAGGAAGGGACCATAAATTTGCAGAAAAGAAATATACAGTGTTCTCTCAGGCTTTTTCTTCTAAATTAAACACTTTAGTCTTTGTAATTGAAGGGAATTTCTGCTTCACTTCTTTCATTTTCTGCCTAATTTGTCCATTTTATATTACTTTGCTGCTTCTCTGCTCATTTTTCTACTTCTTCATGCTTTGTCACCTCTATCCTGTATATAAAAGCAGATCATAATGCTTCCAGAATATTTTATTTTGAATAGATACCTTTTCCTACCTCTCTGTCCTTAACATTTTCGTTTTGAATCCAAAATGATTTTTACTGTGCTCTACATTTGTGTTAACATTACACTTTCCCAAAAGTAAATTTAATTTATAAAATATTTAATTTTTAATTTATCAGGGCTTTCTAGTCACTATCATCAGAACTGAAGTTATAATTTCTAAAGCTCTCAGAGAACTACCAGCCTGTTTCCTGTTTCCACCTGTAACTTCTTTTTGACATGTGTAGATCCTTTTTATACATGCCCGGCAGCATTTTGCATGGGGCCTTAATTAAAATCCAGATGAGGATTGTCTGCCAAATGTATCATTTTGAAAATTTCTCCCAATGCATATTGAAAGGGATCTAGCTTATGTATGACTGGGACACAGCTGGAGAAGAACATATCTCTTTTTAAAAAGGAAAGTTGGATGCTGAAATCACAGATTAATTTACCACTGTAGATAGAGGCATTCAGACTGTGCTGTTTGAATTAAGACTAAAAAGAAACAAGAAATGGCAATTATTATAACATTTGAATTTTTGTACATTCATATAACTTTATCAATACCCTTTATTATTTACCATTTGTTTCTTTGATGTGACCCATTCATCTTTAGAAAAATAAACTGAAATATAGTCAGTCAACTCTTAATGTCATTTTCTTTCTCATTTAAAATCTCCAGTTCCAACATTTGAGCTGAAATATAAATTTACAAGCATTTATAATCTTGTAAATTTGTAAGTTATAAGCATCTCACCCTGTATATTTTCGTTTCCCCAAATACACAATGCATGCCAGAATCAAATTCATTAGCTGTCTTCTCTCATACCTGTAAATCATCTTCTCTCTGCAGGGACACCATTTGTATCAGGTTGCTTGGAAATTTTAGATGTATCTTTGAGTCTTTTGCCTTCATTCTATACAAGTTGTTGACCAAGTCATGTATTTTCTCCTGCTGATGCCTCAGAACAGCCTCCTTCAATCTCACATGTAGTCCTTAGCATGGAGGCATGTGTAGCCTGTATTCCAGCAACCTCTCAAGTTTCTTCCTGTCCAGTCCTCCCTCTGTTATACTTCCAGAATAGCTTTCCCAAAGTATCGGGGGAACCAGCCCCCAATATTTCAATGTAGGTTCTTTTCTATTTTCCCTAAGTGTCGACTGGTCTGAGAAATAAAGGGAAAGAGTACAAAAGTGAGAAATTTTAAAGCTGGGTGTCTGGGGGAGACATCACATGTTGGCAGGTTCTGTGATGCCCCCTGAGCCGCAAAACCAGCAAGTTCTAATGAGCGATTTTCAAAGGGGAGGCGGTGTACGAATAAGGTGTGGGTCACAGAGATCACATGCTTCAAAGGCAATAAAATATCACAAGGTGAATGGGCAGGGCAAGTTCACAAGGCCAGGGCAAAACTAGAATTGCTGATAAAGTTTCATGTCCCACTGTGCATGCATTGTCATTAATAAACATCTTAACAGGAAACAGGGTTCAAAAGCAGAGAACCGGTCTGACTAGAATTCACCAGGCTGGAATTTCCTAATCCTAGCAAGCCTGGGGATTCTGCAGGAGACCAGGGCATGTTTCATCCCTATCTACAACTGCATAAGGCAGACACTCCCAGAGCGGCCATTTTAGAAGCCTCCCCCTGGGAATGCATTCTTTTCCCAGGGCTGTTAATTATTAATATTCCTTACTGGGGAAAGAATTCAGCGATATTTCTCTTACCTGTTTTCGACAATAAGAGAAATATGACTCTGTCCTGTCCAGCTCCCAGGCAGTCAGACCTAATGGTTATCTCCCTTGTTCCCTGAACATCGCTGTTATCCTGTTCTTTTTTCAAGGTGCCCAGATTTCATATTGTTCAAACACACATGCTTTACGAACAATTTGTGTAGTTAACGCAATCATCACAGGATCTTGAGGTGACATACATCCTCAGTTTATGAAGATGACGGGATTAAGAGATTAAAGTAAAGACAGGCATAGGAAATTCTAAGACTATTGATTGGGGAAGTGATAAATGTCCGTGAAATCTTCACAATTTATGTTCAGAGATTGCAGTAAAGACAGGTGTAAGAAATTATAAAAGTATCAATTTGGGGAACTAATAAATGTCCATGAAATCTTCACAATTTATGTTCTGCCATGGCTTCAGCCGGTCCCTCCGTTTGGGGTCCCTGACTTCCCGCAACACCAAAGTACTCCTTTTCTTACATCCTGAGAATTGACAGGACATGAAGTAGTGAAGATGAACAAAGCTCAGGGGAAACCATAGGTCCAGCCCCAGCTCCACTTCAGATGACAGATGTGGGGCAGTCAGTCTCTCTGAGCCTCACTGTTCTTGTCTGTATTACATGCAGTATATGTGTGCTGTCTGACACTCACCATGTTTGGAATAATAACATATGAGAATGCAGTTTAAAACTGGAAAGCAGCATGGAGGTATTACTGGTTTTTCTTGTAAGGAATCAGGAGAAGTATGAAGTCCACAAATGTCCTTTGCCTACCCTTTAAAGATTTCCTCCTGCCATCATAACTAAGTGTGCTTGTCAAGCTGCTCTCCAAATACTCCCTGTATTTTTCTTTGATCATGTCACTTTCACTCTTTACTTTACCATTTTCTTTTTTCTTTTTTTTTTTTAATTTTAGTTTTAGAGACATGGTCTTGCTCTGTCATCCAGGCTGGAGTGCAGTGGTGCAATCATAGTTCACTGCAGCCTTGAACTCGGGCTCAAGCAATTCTCCTGCCTCCCAAAGTGCTGGGATTGCAGGTGTGAGCCACCGGCCCATTTCACCTTCTCATTTTCTATTCTAAAGTGACATTTAGTGGCATAAAACGTCAGCAAGATGGAAGGGCTTTATCATTTCTATTATTGTTTACCAGAATTTAAAAGTATCAAAATGAATTTCACTGAACAAAATTAGAATATTTTATCATATAAACTTGGTATCATGTCTTTCAAAGTCTCCTTGGGAATTTTTTGAATACAAGTGTTAAAGTCAACACCGGTCTGTCCAGCTTATGACTCGTTCCCCTCTTGCCTGAGAACTGCTCCTAAACCATAGCAGTGGGCCCTGGCAGTCATGTGTGTTCTGTGACTGCTCTTTGGCTGTACTGTACATACTTGGACCAGGCATGGTCATAGCTTGGCTTTGCATTCCCTGAGAAGACTGTACTGTGCAGAGGATTCTCTTTCCCATTAAAGATTATCTGTGTCCTGATCTAGATACAATGTTGTTTTTGATGATTTTGCAAATGAGTAGGATGGCAAATACTTCAATTCTTACCTGCCTAGTATATACTCTGTGGTGCCACCCTATGAGACTTGGGTCAGTTGTTGGTTTTGAGTCCTCTTGGCTCCCCATGGTATTTCCAGATTACTGTTTCTCTGTTATTTTTTAAAAACTACCTTTGAAACTGATACCTGCTGACTGGCTAAAGCCATCTTCCTTTTTTCATTACTCTTTTTGCTCACATCTTGTTTGTTAACAACTGCCTCATCTTCCTCTTCACGCTGGTCATCCTAGGAATTTCCCAGGAAACTAGTGTCCCAGCGTAGAATCTGAGAGCTTTGGCTACTTAGTTCTGCATCTTTGTCATCAGTTCCATCTCTTCCACTTCACCTGTCCTTGTCCTACAGTATTATTCTGGGCCCAGTTACTACTGCTCCTCCATGACCATGAACTCAAACACCAGCTCAGTGACTAAAATCTATGATCCTCCTAGTTTGCTGCACATGTTTTTCATCCTCAGGGCTTAAAGTTCAGTGACCCCTCCAAGTTCTCCTACCACAACTATCCTTTCTCAGCTCAGATTAGATGACTGCAATTTCATTCATACCCAGGCAGATTGGTGCTACTCTAAATTCACAGCTCCATCTCTCTGAAACCATGGTATTGTGGTTGGACTGTGTCCCCATAAAGATATCTTAAGGCCGTAAACACCAGGTACTTGTGAATGTGGGTTTATTTGGAAATAGAGTGTTTGCAAATATAATCAAGATAAGAGCACATTTATGCAATGATGCAAAGAATCAGATACATGGGCTGAAGTCGAAGACTCAAGAAAGGAGATAATTGGTCATGTGAGACTGAAAAGGTGGAAGAGGATGAGATCAAGACAATACCTGAACAGATTCTCTTTTAATAAGAGTAAGAACTACCCTAGGACTACATTCATTGTAATAATACACTGAACATATGATTGCCAATGTTTAAGCATTTTTTTTACTTTTGCTTACTTACAAATTCTATAGGCTCAACTAATAACAAAATATACTAACTGGCCTTTATTTAGCACTATATACTCAATAAATTCCTTTAGCTATCATATTTAATTCTCACAACATCCCTTAAGGCTGCAGCATCAACTGTTGCCTAAGTTTCCAGTCTGCCCTTGCCCTACAGATTTCAGATTTGCAAACTTCCACAATTGCATGAGCCCATATATATATATATGGTATTATATATACACATATATACATACACACACACATATACACATATATACATATACATACACACACATATACATATATATATATATATATATATATATATATATATATATATATATATATATATATATATTCTGTCCATTCTGTTTCTCTGGAGAACTGTGATAAATACATCAGATCTGAGGTGGGGTGTGAAGAGGACTATGGGTCACTGAGAAATTAGATATTTTACCCAAAATTACACAGTTGGCAATTGATGAGTTCAGATTTAAAACAAAACGTTTTGACTACAGAACCTGCACCCTTAATCACTACTATTTTTGCTACCATGCTGTCCTTGTTCGAGGAGGGATAAGAGAGGATGAGTATAGGTTTTAAGTTTGGTGTCCAGAAGTTGAGGAAGTTACCGTCTGATGGCTTCTACTTCCTCAAAAGCAAGGTTATCGACTGAGCATGAATGGAGGGCCAAAGGGAGGTTGGAACTGTCCAGTGGAAAGACTTCGATATCACATGCGTTCCTTTTCTAGGGTGGCCATAACAAACTACCACAGACAGAACGGCTTAAAACAAGAAATTTATTCTTACATTTCAGGAGGGCAGAAGTCTGACATCAAGGTGACAGCAGGGTTAGTTCTTTTGGGGGCTGAAAGAGAATCTGTTCCATGCCTCTCTCCTAGCTTCTGATGGTTACTGGCAAGAGTGTTCTTTGGCTTGCAGCTGTATCATTTCAATCTCTGCCGCTGTCTTCACATGTCTTTCTTCTCTGTGTGTATCCTTGTCTCCAAATTTCCCTCTCCTTATGAAGACACCACTTATTGGTTAATCCAGGATATGTGCCCAGATAACAAGGGTTTGGTTATTCTGAAAGGAGAAAATAGATTTTGTGGGACAATAGCAGTCTCTGTCACAAGTACCATCTCTCTTATTGTTATTTTCTATTTTATTTGTTGGCAGGATTTAGGAGGATGTAATGTGGCTTGCTCTTAGCTTCCGGCATTGTAATTGAATATATCATACTCTGCTTCTTGAACTAATAGTTACACAAAAATTCCACATAATTAAAACCAAATAATAGAACAGTGGGGAAAAACATGCTAATTTGTTTCCAAAAAATTTTTGAGAGCAATATTGTCATATTTAGAAAAATAATTTAGTTGCATTTCTATACCGTAAGAGAAAAGGCCTCCTCTGTCTTGCTCATAATTTTGTTTCTAGTACTTAGCACAGTGCCTAGCACAGATGATTTATGTAATGAATATGTTATACTTATTAAAGGAGCTTGATCTCGTCTAAGACTTTTTATTTTTTAATTTAAGGCAGTGCATACTAGAGACAAGTGTATAAACCATGGAGTAAGAACTCAGCTTAGATCCCAGAGCCATTGTTTTCTATTAGAGTGGCCTTGTGTATGTTACTTAACCTCTTTGAGCTTTAGTTTTCTCATCTGTAAAAGAAGGATATTGTGGACATCTTTCCAGGTCAGTACATGTAGATATGTACCTCATTATTTTTAATGACTGTACAATTCAATTTTATGAATATTAATTACAGAATTAAGCTCTTTTCCTATGGCTGGACATTTACATGATGATGATTAGGAGGATTGATACTTTACAGTAGAGCTAGTGTAAAATGAACATTGAAATAGCAAAGCTATGTTTATAAAATTATATATATACATATCTACAGCCTTGGAAATATGAACAGTTGGTTAAATTTCTAGAAGTGGTATTTCTGGATCGTAGAGTATATGTATTTTAACTTTTAATTTATATCGTCAAGTTACATGCAAATATGGAACTCCCAACAATAGTGTTAGAAACTTATTTTCATCCTTGCTAGTACTGAAAATCTTATATGTATCTCATTTTGGTGTCAACTGCATTTCTTTGATAATTAGTGATGCTGAGCATATTTGCATGTATAAATTGACTATAATTTTTCCTTTCAATTTATAATTTTAATTATTTAGAAAAGTATATTAGGTATATTAACTATCTGTTTCCAAAATACTATGTATATTCACTTCTCTCATTTCTCATAACTTTTTATGGAAATTTTCATCATAAAAATGGTTTAAAAATGTATGCAATCATGTGATTTTTCTGGATTTGGGTTTTTCTTAGATGATCTTTCTCTTATTTCTAGCCCAGACTTATGTCTTGAATTCTGGACTAGATTATCTAAGTGCCTATTCATCTTCACTAGCCTATCTAGTTGACATCTCAAATCCAATATGTGCAAAATTGAATGCTTAATCTTCATCCGAAATCACACATGGCCTTCTAGGCCACTGTGAGGGCTTTGGATTTTACCAAGCAAGGGCAGAAGCCTTACAATGGCCTAGAAGGCCATGTGTGATCCGGTCCCCCACCTCGTTTCTGACTTCGTATCTTACTATTCTTTCCCCTCACAACAAGGCAGCCCCTCTGGTGTCTTTCTCACTCCTTGGACATGTTGGACATGCCCTGTCCTTAGGTGTTGGCACTAACCATTCACTCTGCCTGCAAGACACTTTCTCTCATGTATCTGTATGATTTACTTCTACACTTCTTTCAAGTCTTTGTTAAAATGTCACCCTCTCAATGAGGCTGATTTTGACCACTCTATTTAATATTTCAAACTGTCCCTCTCCCCACCAGTCCCAATCCCTTTTATCTTGCTCTTCTTTTTATTCCAGAACATTGTCAATTCTAATGTGTCACGTAATTTACTTATGTATTATATTACCATGTATTGTCTGTCTTCTCTTGCTATACTATAAGCTTCACAAAAATAAGGATCTTTAATTGTGTTGTTCATTGCTTTATCTCAAGCGCTGAAAAGAGTGCCTGGCCCATCATACATTATTAACTCATTTATTGAATAAATGAGTTAAGTAGCTTCCATCTAACAATATTTTATTTCACTTGGATCTCAACATTTTTTTAAAAAAAAACTTTAAGAAATACATGTGTTTCTTTTTCTCCTCCAGTAGTTCTATTTGACAAGACGTGTTATGATTGTTCAATCTGATTCTCTGCCTTCTGGAACTCCTCAGATAGGCAGTTGTTTTTTTCTCTGATGATTCAGTGACGCTCTGACCTTGTTTCTAGTTTTATTTCTTCTCCTTCTCCTCCTCCTCCTCCTCCTTCTTCTCCTCCTCCTTCCTCTTCCTCTTCCTCTTGTTGTCTTCTTCTTCTCCTTCTTCCTCCTCACCTTCCTCCTCCTCTTCCCCTTCCTTTTCCTCTTCCCCTTCCCCCTCCTCCTCTTCTTCTGCTTCTGCTTCTCCTCCTCCTCCTCCTTCTCCTTCTCCTGCTCCTCCTTTTTTTAAAGGGACAGGGTCTCATTCTGTTGTCCAGGCTGGAGTGCAGTGGTGTGATCTTCGCTCACTGCAGCCTTGACTTCCTGGGCACAATCTTCCCTCTTCAGCCTTCAAAATAGCTGGGACTACAGGCATGCATCACTACATCTGGCTAATTTTTAAAGTTTTGTTATATAGAGACAAAGTCTTGCTATCTTGCTTAGGCTGGTCTTGATCTCCTTGTCTCAAGTGATCTTCCCTTCTGAGCCTCCCAAAGTGCTGGGATTACAGGTGTGAGCTGCTGTACCTGTCTGCTGCTAATATATTCCTAATGCAGGAATACTTAAAAGGGGTTCTGTGTGATAAGGATAGGCTGTCAGTCCTGCCCAAATCACCTGGAAGATGCTGCTGCCCTGGACTTTCCCGGCTTCAAGTTTGGAAAGACTCAGGCCACCTGTTCAGGTTATACTCTATCTTTTGGAGTCACTGCCATCTAACACATTCATAAGGTTACTGGTAAATTTCTCCTTCCAGTTCACAGAACCCCAAAGTCCAAGCTCTTCTTGGGATTTCCTACCTTCTGGAATCACTCCTGGGATTCTAGCTGTTCTCCAGTGGACCACCCTGTTTTTTCTAAAGGAACCCCAATGGAGGCAGAAGTCTTACCACACCCAATCACTCACAGATCTCAGCAGCCTCCTGCCTGAAGAAAGTAACATGAAATCGGGAGTGAAAGCTAAGAGAGGTACAGATGGGTTGCCTGACTATACAACATATTCACCACATTGTTACCAACAATAGGCCGGAAGTGGGAATTTTGCAATTTGCACTTTCATGGCAGTGCTTCCTAATAGGTGTTTATGAATAGATTCCAAATGTGCTTCAGCCCTAGAAATGGCAATGAAAGTCTTCAAACTAGAAGATGCCTTGTCAGGGACATGACGTAAAGGTAAGTCCCATAGTTTCTTCTGATTCACCTGGCACCTGCTGCTCTGCCAAGTGGTAGGAATGAGACCAAGGAGGTTTGAATATCTACTCAGCGTTACTAGCACCATGCTGTAACCAACTGAGCTAATCAGCCACCCATTGATTATCTATTCAGTAGCTAGCTGCAGAGAATCTCACTGCCCACTGTGGACAAGAAGCCTGAGAAGCTGCTGGAGGAGATGCCCAAGGATCACTGCACCCAGCCCAAGGTCTTGCCATGGTATATGTGGGTGGCAAATGGGAATGGGAGAGGGCAGCTCTACAAAGCATACCTCAGCAGCAGCAAAGAATCTCTGTCCTCATGTATCAGTCCTCTGAACCTTTGTGGTGCATGTGCTTTTTAATGGCATTCATGCCAGCTTCAGAGTGACTGCTCCAATGCAGCATGTGTCTTCTCCAAAATAGAGTATCATTATTTTAAAATACTTGGTATGAAAAAATTTGATGGGATTCAAATCCATTCACATTTTGCCAAGGATTTTTAATAGTACATTCATCAACAAAAAGTAAGCTGTACTATATCCTTTAAATATAATTTCAGCTGTTGTATAATTTAAAATGGCTGTAAAAATGACTTAAATGTTTATATCCTACTTGTGCAGATAGTATTTCTGATTGATGTCATCTATCAAGAATTTCAAGAGATTATCTCTTTTTTGTCTTGAATCGTGGGTAGTCATTTAAGTATACAATCTGATTTCAAAAAAGTTATGGCTACAGAAACAAGCTTAAGTTTCTCAATAAAGTTGTTTGGAAAATATTTTATTTGGAAGTTATGAACAAATTTATTCAATAGTAATTTTTATTTTTATTTCTTATTACCATTATGTAATATAGAGAAAATGGAGTTAACTATTTCCACCAAGTCCTATATAGATGCCTCTAAATATTTTCCAGTTTACTTCAAGTGTGCTACTAAAATACTATCACTTTTGATATGAAAGACTGCTGCAAACCAGGATTAAAATTCTAAGGCCCCCCAACCATCTAAATGGACTTTCTTGGCCAGGGCACTTTTAAAATTTAACCTGAGAGACTGGTTCAGGCCATGACAGGAAGTGGGGGTCGAATGTGCCTCATTATACCTCTTCATCATTAACATCAAAACAGATTTTAAGTCTGATAAGAAACATTTTACAGCCTATTCTCTCTGAAGCCTACTACCTGAAGGCTTCCTCTGCAATAAGAACTTTGTTCTCCATAACCTCTTAACCCAGGCATTCCTTTCTTTTGATCCCAGGTCTTTAGATAGACTTAACCAATTGTCACCCAGAAAATTTTTAAATCTACCTATAAGCTGGAAGCACCCTCGCTTCGAGTTGTCCTGCCCTTCTAGACCAAACCAATGTATTTCTTGAGTGTATTTGATTGAAGTCTCATGTCTCCCTAAAATGTATAAAACCAAGCTGCACCTGGCCACCTTGGGCACATGTTCTCAGGACCTCCTGAAGGTTGTGTCACAGGCATTTGGCTCAGAATAAATCTATTTAAATATTTTACAGCATTTGACTCTTTTTGTCAACACTGCTTTAGCTAAAGTACCAACATGATATTGGTAATATTTGTCCATTCTACTTGGTAAAATATGCATGAATAAATTTTATATTGTTTTCTAAACATCTCCATACGAGTGGAGTTACTACTTGGGTAAAGCTGTGCTAGACTGTCCTGTAAGGAAGGGGCATCTGGAATCTTTTACTATTGTGATAGAAGTACTGGTGCCAGCAATGTGAAAAATTATAATTACCAGGCATTTTGTGGGATGCTTGGCATCCATGTCTCCTTCCTCGGCTTACTAATTTTCTTCTAGGAATGACTGTGTTTCCCATCTTTTTAATCCGAGTGGGGCTGACTTGACTCTGAGCTCTAGGGGTAGTGTATGATGGGCTTAAGCTTTTTCACATATTCTATTTGGAATTGGTTGGTTCCAACTGGTTGGTTCAGAGACATGCACATAATTCATTCAGAGACAATGAAGCATGGGAAGGTATTTGCTGGAAGTTCTGAGAAAGAGAAGCTTTAATTCTTCCCCTTAACATCTTAGCTCCCCATGGAGATGAGAGATCCAAAGACATATATTAAACTATTTTGCTACATTGAATGGTACATTCAGGAAGCCTCTATGTAGAACCTATCAGAGAAGGCAGAGAGGAGAGGAGAGAAGTGGGTTCCTGATGACATCATTTGAACTGCTGGATCAACCTCAATATTGGAACTATCAAATAATTCTGAATTTTTAGTTTATGAAGTTCTCCAAGTTCTGTTTTCTTAGATTGAATATTTGTGTATTTGGGATCCATTCAACACAACAATAATATTAACTATATATTTTCTTATTTTCTGTATTCTTTTTTAAAAATTCTAGTTTCAGGAGGTACATGTGCAGGGTTATTACATGGATATATTGTGTAATGCCGGGGTTTGGGCTTCTATTGAACCCATCACCGAAATAATGAACATATTTCTGGCATGCAAGGATGGCTCAACATATACAAATCAATAAATGTGACCCACCCATAAACAGGATTATAAACAAAAACCCTATGATTATCTCAGTAAATGCAGAAAAAGCATTTGATGAAACCCAAGATCTCTTCATGATGAAAACCCTCAACAATCCAGGCATTTAAGGAACCTCAGTGCCTTTGAGGTAACCTTATTACCTCAAAATAATAAGAGCCACCTATGACAAACCCACAGCCAGCATCATACTGAATGGGCAATAGTTGGAAACATTTCTCCTAAGAACTAGAACAAGACAAAGATGTCCACTCTTAACACTCCTATTCAACATACACTGAAAGTCTTAGCCAGAGCAATCAGGCAAGAGAAAAAATAAAAGGCATTCAAATAGGAGAAGAGGAAGTCAGATTATCTCTGTTCATTAATAACATGATCCTACACCTAGAAAACCCTAAAGATTCCTTCAAAAGACTCCTAGACCTGATGAACAACTTCAGTAAAGTTTTAGGATACTAAATCAACATATAAAAACCAGGAGCATTTCTATACACCAATAACGTCCAAGCTGAGAACCAAATCAAGAACCCAATCCCATTTACAAGAGCCACACACAAAAATAAAATGCCTGGAAATACATTTAACCAAGGAGGTCAAAGTTCTCTTACAAAAATAACCACAAAACACAGATGAAAGAAATTATAAATGACACCAACAAATAGAAAAACTTACAGATGGGAGGAATCAATATCATTAGAACGGCCATACTGCCTAAAGCAATCTATAGGTTCAAATGCAATTCCTTTCAAATTACCAATGTCATTTTTCACAGAGTTAGAAAAAAACTATTCTAAAATTCATATGGAACCAAAAAAGAGCCTGAATAGGCAAAGCAATCCTAAGCAAAAAGGACAAAGCTGGAGGCATTACATAACCTGACTTCAAGTTATACTATAAGGCTATAGTAACCAAAACAGCATGCTACTGGTACAAAAATAGACATATAAACCAACAGAACAGAATAATGAACAAAGTAGTAAAGCCACACACCTACAATCAACTGACTTTCAACGAAGTCAACAAAAATAAACAATGAGGAGAGGATACCTTTTATTCAATGAATGGTCCTGGGAAAACTGGCTAATCATATGCGGAAGAATGAAACTGGACCACTACCTCTCACCATATACAAAATTTAACTCAAGATGGGCTAAAGACTAAAATGGAAGACCTGAAATTCCAAAAATTCTGTAAGACAACCTAAGAAAATCTCTCTTAGTCATTGTCCTAGACAAAGAATTCATGACTAAGACCTTACAGGCAAATGCAACAAAACCAAAAATTGACAATGGACCTAATGAAACTAAAGAGCTTCTGCACAGCAAAAGAAACTATCAACAGAGTAAACAGACAACCTATAGAATGGGAGAAAATATTTGCAAATTCTTTTCTGTTTTCTTAATGCTCTGGTATTTTTGGCCTTTCTGACTGAAGAGAGACTGCTTTTTCCAGGCCTAGCCAATTATTAGAAATAGCAAAGGACTCAGCCAAGCAGGTCTTTCATATGCAAACCAATCCCATGTCTATATGCCTCAACCACCTCCTTTATCTAAGTCTCACACACCAAACCAATACAGTCATGCACAGGATAAGGAGACATTTTAGACTGTCTCCGACACCGTGCAAAAACACCATGGTGATACTGTAAGATTACCATGAAAGTGATCATTCCTATCCCCTAGTGACGTGGTAGTTTTAATGTCATAGCACAACAAATTACTCACATGTGTGTTGTGATGCTGTTGTAAATAACTGCGCTGCCAGTTGTATGAAAGTCTAGCAATACAATTTTGTAGAGTACATAATACTTGATAATAAACAGCTGTGTTACTAGTTCATTTACTATACTATACTTTTTATCATTATTTTAGAATGTACTCCTACTTATAAAAAAAAAGTTAACTGTAAAACAGCCTTAGGCAGGCCCTTCAGGAGGGATTCCAGAAGAAGGCACTGTTATCCTAGGAGATGACGACTCCATGCCTGTTGTTGCCCCTGAAGACCTTCCAGTGGGACAAGATGTGGGGGTGGAAGACAGTGATATTGATGGTCTGTGTAGGCCTAGACTAATGTGTGTGTTTGTGTCTTAGTTCTTAACAAAAAAATTTTAAAAATTGAAAAAGCTTATAGAATAAGAATAAAAAGAAAGAAAATATTTTTGTACAACTGTAAAATGTGTTTGTGTTTTAAACTGTTATTATAAGAATCAAAAAGTTTGAGAAATGAAAAAAGTTTATAAAGTAAAAACATTACAGTAAGCTAAGGTTAATGTGTTGTTGAAGAAAGAAAAATATTTTTTATAACTTTAGTGTAGCCAAAGCATACAGTGTTTATAAAGCCTGTGGTGGTATACACAAATGTCCTAGGCCTTCACATTGACTCACCACTCACTCACTGACACCCAGAGCAACTTCCAGTTCTGCAAGCTCCATTCATGGTAAGTGCCCTATACAGGTGTGCCATTTAAAATCTTTTATACTACATTCTTACTGTACCTTTTCTCTGTTTAGATATGTTTAGATACACAAATGCCATTGGGTTACAATTGCTTACAGCATTCAGCACAGTCACATGCTGCACAAGTCTGTAGCCTAGGAGCAATAGGCTCTACCATTATTGCCTAGGTGTGTACCAGGCTGTA
This sequence comes from Homo sapiens, assembly GCF_000001405.40. Lineage (NCBI taxonomy): Eukaryota > Metazoa > Chordata > Mammalia > Primates > Hominidae > Homo > Homo sapiens. The sequence continues at coordinate 105,991,003 of NC_000011.10, read as the reverse complement.
CCATCTAGGTTTGTATAAGCGCACTCTATGATGTTCGTATGACATAATTGCCTAATGACCGATTTCTCAGAACAACATATTCCAATTGTTAAGTGACACATGACTGTATTTCCCCTGCCCTAAATCAACTCACAGCCAGATACTAGATAACCACAGTCCACCTAGGTGGGCCTACAGCCCACTTGAGTTTTTCAAACTGATTAATCCTAAACTGTTCATCCCACCCTGCTTTGCCTTTTCCATGAAAATGACAGTAAGGGCTGTGGCCTGGTCTTTACCCTCATTACTGCTTCTGCTTCCTGACCAAAACCCTATGCATCTCTTAAGTCTGGCGTGGTGTGTTGTGGCATGCCGTCTTCTTCCAGGAAATGCAAGTAATACACATTTTTCAGTGATATTGGCCTTTCTATGTTGTCACTTAGTAATAACTCCATAAATTAAATCTGGGGTGTAATTTTAGAATATGTCTGTTCTCTTTGTATTGGTTTTGCTTTAAGCTAGTTGAGTTGGAGTTTCTGTTGCTTAAAACTGAAATAGTCTGGCCGGGCATGGTGGCTTATGCCTGTAATCTCAGCACTTTGGGAGGCTGAGGCAGGCAGATCACGAGGTCAAGAGATCGAGACCATCTTGGCCAACATAGTGGAACCCTGTCTCTACTAAACATACAAAAATTAGTTGGGCATGGTGGTGTGCGCCTGTAGTCCCAGCTACTTGGGAGGCTGAGGCAGGAGAATCACTTGAACCCAGGAGGCAGAGATTGCTGTGAGCCAAGAATGCGCCATTGCACTCCAGCCTGGCGACAGAGCGAGACTGTCTCAAAAAAAAAAAAAAAAAAAAAAAAAAAAACTGAAATAGTCCTAACTGATGTAGCTAGAGAACCTAAACAAAATTTACTCCAGGTGTTTTCTCATCAGATGATGATCCATTCCCTTCTTTCTCATTAGATGACTCCTTATTTTTTTCTACCCGTCCCTCCCTCATTCTCTACCCCTTTTTCTCTCTTTCCCTCCCTTCTTTCATTCAGTGTTTGTAAAGTGCTCCTGGTTGCCCGTTCTGGCATAGAAGTTTCAAAATTGTATGAAACAGTTTTTGCCTTTGATTTGGCTTACAGTGAATGCATTTAGAGTAGACAGATGATAAATGATCTCATAAAAGCATGTACAAGGGCCAGTTTTTCCTAAGTTCAGGAAAGTTCAGGAAAGTCTTAGAATGAGTGACTCCTGAACGGAGTCCTAGATGGAATTTGTTAGCAAAGACACAAAAGCAGAGAGGAAATTTCAGTTAGAAGACACTGCATAAACAAAGACTCAGAAGCTTAAATTTCTGTCATACTGAGTCTTTTGGCTCCTCCTTAAATTTTATGCTTGAAGCAAATACTACATTTACCTCATCTTAATCCTGGCCTTGGAAAAGGAATTAGGTTTATTCAAATAAATAACACATTCTTAATGTTCTTATCTACTACCAATGCATTTTGAATAAGTGAATGTTTTAAAACACTATGAAACAATTTGTTTCATACACTTACATTAACACATACATTTAACAGTTAAATGGTAATAATTAACTGTAACTATTCTCACCTCAATATATACATAACAATCATGTAAATATCAGGCTTGAATACTTTTTCCGCTGTCTATTGTATAGCAGAGAACCACAGAAGTTTAGTGTTTTTGAGTTATTGCATAACTACACACAGTAAACTCTTGACTAAGTTTAGAGCCTCAGTTCTTTACCTCATTTGTTGCAACATAAAATTCAGTTGCAAATTAAATAAACAAAGAATTAGACTTTGAAAATATTATTGATAAAATTGCAATCCTTATGTAGCTAGAAGCATATATGCATAGATTTCAAGAGGATGCTTGTGCGTCATCTTAAATTTTAGGTAAAATTTTGTTGATATATGCACGTCCACAACTTTGGTCAGATTCTGTACCTTCTCACCATTTAATTTTTTTCTCACATGTTATATTTTTCTGACATTTACAAATTTTGTTCATTCAGTAATTTGAATCAAGCATTTACAAAATTATATTTGTGGCTTTGGTTTCATTTTAAGTGGATTTCCTATAGAGAACATATAGCTGGGCCTTGCTTTTTCTTCTAACTGCTGTGTCTGTCTTTAATAGGAATGTTTAGGCCATTTATATTGAATATAATTATTAATATAGTTGTATTTAAATCTATCATCTTGCTAGTTATTTTCTATTTGTCCATCAGTTTCTTTGCTCCTTTTTCCTTTTCATCCTTTCTTTCAAGTTTTACTTTATGATTCCATTTTATCTCCAGTAATAACTCATAAGTTATGCCTTTTATAATAGAATTTTTTTGTTGTGTTTTCCCTAGGGTTTATAATATACTTCTACTCATCAAATTTACTTTAAATAATATTATGTCATTTTATGTAGTGCAAGAATCTTAAAATAGTGTAATTTCAATTCTTCCCATTTTTTATGCAATTGTTATCAATTTTACTTTTACATATGTGTTAGACCCACGCAGATCCTCATTACATGGCAGGTTATAAGATGCCACTCTTTTAGACTAACAGCAGCACATCTGTCTGATTTCTTGTTTCGAACCTCTAGAATTCCTTTTAAAAACTCACCTTATTAGGTCAGGCCCACCTAGGATAATCTCCCTTTAGGTAAACTAAACTGATTAAGGACCTCAATATCTGAAAAAAATCTTTTCTCATACAGCATATCATAATCACAGGTGTGATACGCTCTCATGTTCACAAACCTCATTCACACTCAAGAAGAGAAGAAGGGCTTGCATCATTAGAGGTCATCTCAGAATTCTGATGAAAGCATTTGTTAAAAGTCCCTGTGTTATAGTTTCAACATCTGGGTCTCTAAGTATGATTCTACTTATTGCTTTATTTCTTGACAATGAGTTATTGTTTTGTTGGTTTTCTTTTCTTTTTCTTTTTCTTTTTCTTTTTTTTCTGAGATGGAGTCTCACTCTACCGCCCAGGTTGGAGTGCAGTGGCGTGATCTCGGCTCACTGCAACCTCCGCCTCCTGGGTTCAAGTGATTCTCCTGCCTCAGCCTCCTAAGTAGCTGGGATTACATGGATGCGCCACCAAGCCCTGCTAATTTTCGTATTTTTAGTACAGATGGGGTTTCAGCATGTTGGTCAGAATGGTCTTGAACTTCTGACCTCGTGATCCGCCCACCTCGGCCTCCCAAAGTGTGTCTTATTGCTTTCCAAACTTTTTAAAAATTAAATACTGGACTTAGTAGGAGAAAAGCAATAGGGACTGAGGTGAGTACTATACAACACATATGTAAATGACACTTCTCGTTTTTTGTAAGGACTTAATTTTGGGGAGAGGTGAGTAAATCTAGTTAGGGGTTGAGCTGAGTTTGGGTTTTGTTGTTGCTAGCATCACTTTCAGTGATGGCTACGAAGTCATCTAGTAATAGGCTGTTGTTACCTTGTGCCTAAGGTGGAGGCTGAATTGCAAGAGCTTTTTTCTCTTGCTCCTTATTCCTGCCTTCATTCCTGCACTCCTTTGTCACAGTGGAGGCCTCTATTCTGCTGTGCTCCTATCCCTCATTTCAGAAGTAGACAGGTGTTGTTTGTTAATCAATGCTGTGCTTGTATTGGAAGCAAGCTAGAATTTTCTGTTGTGCCTGCCCAGCCTCAGTCTTAGGCAGGCGGTTTTCACCTTATCCTCAGGGATGGGACTTTCTCAGTATTTCTACCCTTCCATCTCCTGGAAGGAAAACTGTGGTTGATCTTTGATGGGAGTTATCTGCCTCTCTCCATCATAGTATCCCTCTGAATTGTATAAGTATAGGATCTTGGGCCCATGACAGTTTCCTGCCTCTCTACAAGGGGTAGATAATTTTTGCTTCTATTCCTTCTCTAGAGGCAATGGTTCCTTGTCTGTGATGTGAAGATGAAAGAATTTGTTGCTCCTTTTCCAGTAGCCTAAAAAGCCATCGACTTTGTGGAAGAGAAGGATCTGTGAAGTCAGGCATGTTGAGTATCCCAGTAGCTGCTATTGACCTCCTGCACACTTGCCCCTCCAATGAAGTCTCTGGTCTCCTACCCTGCTCCCAATCTTTCTTCTAATCATCCAGTCGAGGGTCATGAGAAAGAGCTTCCAAGTGAATTCAAATTCTCTTTGTTCAGCAACCTCAAATGTTTCAAACTGACAAACTTGCCAACACTTGGTCTTTAAGAATTTGTTAATATTTACCTGAATTATTCTTACCCACTTGTGTTACTGCCAGTACAGCCCACTTCCTTTCTGCTGTACCAGTTGCGAAACTGTGTAGCTCATCTCTTTTTGAAGGGGTTTGTCCTTCTTTGGAATTCAATTTACTTGGTCACCATGAGCAGTGTTCTGATTTGTACCAAAAAATATAATTTTGTAGATGATTAGGCTTTTTCTTATTGTTAGGGCAAAAGTGACATTTTTGAAGTGTTTTATTTCCTAGAAGCTGAAGCTCAGGGCTACAGAAAGAAATAAGTATAGCTTCATTTATTGAGCTCCTATTACCAGCTACTATGATAAGCAATTTATAAACATTTATTCTCAACTTCACAGCAACATCAAATGCTAGGTATTATTGCTCCTATTTTGTATGTGAACAACAGGTTTTTTCCAGAGGCCAGAGAGTCAGTGTCAGAACAAGGATTCACATTTAGTTTTGTCTGATTCTAATGCTGATAATTTGTTCTTTCTACTACTCATTGTTGCCTGTGGAACCAAAGAGTGGAGAAGTTTATAAAACAATCATGTAACAGTGGTATAAGTGCTATTATGGAGGTAAACATAGGACCTAGGGAAATTTTTTGAAAAGGATCTCCAAATTAAGAGAATCAAGAATGTCTACCTGAAGAGGTGGTTTTTAGAATGCTTCCTGATGAATGAGTAGAAATTAGGTGTAAAGGAAAAACGACATATGCAACACTTTGTGCCCACTCAGCTTCTTTTGAATAATTTTATGTATATATTCCACATTATGGTTCTCTAGTAATAGCAAGTATTTGGTCTCCCTTTTTGCTATGTCATAGGCATGTGACCTAGCTCCACCAGTTAGATACTCCTACCTGAGGTTTGAATTGGAAAGAGACCATGCATGGAGCTCTTTCCTGCGGAGGTGATAGAGTGATAGAGTACACTAGAGAGGCATCGCACTTTCAGAAGCAGTAGAAAAAGAAGTCCTAGCAGCACTGTTCTATGTTCTCATGTTCTATGTACTTCCTGCCAACTTTGATATATGTGTCCACTATTAGTTGGACTTGGCTTGGGAGCAGATCAGTGGCCTGATTTGAGTATCATTCTTGGCTACTTGGCCTTCAGCACTGATTCTCTGTCTTCACTCATCTGGGAAACTATCTCATTTCCATTAACAAATTTACTTGTTGCTTAACTAAGCTAGAGTAGATTTTGTTGATTATAATTGGAAATCTTTTCTGAAATAGGGGCAATTCAGGTAGAGGGAAAAATTGGCAAAACTTAGAAGGGGAAGAAGATGAAGCATTCTGGAAACTGGAGCTGTGAGTGATTTAATGTTATTGGAGTGGAAAGTAGGTGAGAGACGACACTGAAGATGTTGACAGACCTCATATATTTGCTATAGAGTTATTTTAATCAGGAATGTGACAGGATCATATTTATGTTTTAGGAAAATTACTCTGGCAGCCATGTAGGAAGTGAATTAGAGGGGGATATAAGTGAACAAGAAGCAAGGAAACCTATTAGGAGATAGTTGTAGTAATAATGGTGAGATATTCTGAGTCCCTGAATCAAGTCAGTCATAATATGGATGATGAGTATGGGACAGAGAAAGGAGAGATGAAAGATAAGGGAATTTAAGATGTTGATTGATTGGATGTGTGAATGAGGAAGAAAAGAGGTTATGGAATGATTCTCATGAATTGGGAGATTAGATGAATGCTAATGCCACTCACTGAAACAGGGATACAAGAGGAGGTGGGAATGTAGAGTGAAAAATGAGGAAATTTGATATGTTATAATAGAGAAGTCAAAAAGAGATAAACAGTAGGCAACTGAGTATGTAAGGCTTGAATGGAAGACACAGATTTCGTTGTTGATAATGTATAGGTGACTGTAGACAGCTTGATAATAGTGACATCAACCAGGTGAAATATTCTTATAAGAAGAGAAGGGGGCAAAGGGTACAAACCTGAGTAATAGCAACATGTAAGGACTGGTTGAGGGAAATGGGGAATATAAAATAGACTAAGAAGAAATAAATAAGAATTAGGGGGAATATAATAGTATCATCCATGCCAATACATAAAGAGATCAATTTGATTTTGTTCCGTATTGAAGTGTTTATTTAAATATGGCTAAAGATATTTATTGGTGATCTTGGGAAGAACATTTTGGTAAAGTGACATAGCCAAGTAGAGGAGTTCAATAGTGGATTAAAGGCCACTCTTTTCCGTCACTAGCGTGTGCAAGGAAGAAAAGTGGGTCATCATCTGAAGCAAGATGAGAAGGTAAACAATCACAAGATCTGATGCATTTCCTTTGGTGCAAATAGCATAGAGGCAAAGACCCATGGGAAGTCAAAGAACTGCAGGACTAAGGGTTAGATGAAGCATCTGTACTGACCTTGAAGTTGTTTAGGATGATAATAGAACTTGGGGTGCACAGGAAGAATAAGCCAAATGCCAAAATCATGTATGAATGTGGGGCAATTACAGATAAGTCAGCAGGAGAAAATGGACAAGGAGGCAGGGCATTTTGACAGTATGATTAGATGAGAAGAAATTTTTTTGCCTATTGTCATGTTTTAATTTTAATTTTTAATTGACAATAGTTGTACATGTTCATGAGGTGCATAGTGATGTTTTGATATATATATAATTTATAGTATTCAGATAAGGGCAATTAGCATAGCCATCATCTCAAATATTTATCATTTCTTCGTGTTGGGAACATTCACGGGGAAGGATTTTTATATGTGGGCTGTAATTGTAAGGACTGACATTCCTTTTCCTTCTAGGCTTGTGGTACATGGAGTGGTATTATCAGGAGATGGGACAGTGCTCTGGGGAGAACTTGAGGATGTTCAGGGCTTCCTTACTTCATATGAGGGTCCTAGGGAGACTGGTGACAGTCAGAGAGAGAGAAAAGTGGTGGGAAGATGAATGGGGAGAAGGAAGAAAAGTACAGAAGAGTATTGGGAGGAAAATGCGGACAAGACACAGAGAAATTAATGGAACGATTTAGATGTGAAGCTGTGACCAAGGATGACATGGATATAGACCTACCGGGTCAAGCCTCAGGGTTTTCATTAAATCTCAAGTTAGTGTCACCCGTTCCTGTGCAAGTCCCAACAAGCCTGCAGTCACCTACTTTGATGGTAGTCTTGGAAGCTTAAAGATGCTGGCTGATACTGACTGTGCTTAGATGTAAAAACAGAATATTGGTGGGAAGTATGGTTCTGCGAAAATCTCAGGCAGATGGGATTTTTAAAATGCCCTGTTTTAGAAGTTTGACACTGCATCAGTTTAAGGTGGCCAAAGGATTAGGCAAATCTCTAGATTGAGCCAGTTGTGAACAAAATTGTTCCACATCCCTTCTTTGTTTTAAAAAAATGCTGAAAGATTCCCATTTATGTTGGCAATTAGCTCTAAGGAGCTGGCAGAAGTTTTCCTACGGGGAATGATCATGAAATTCTTTAGAGGGTCTTTATTCATTCATTTCTTTATTCATTTAGTCAAACAGTTCATTAAATCATTTATTGAAACATTGATTGCCTATGACTACAGACCTACCCAACTGCACAAATAATGTTCTACAGACACAGCTTTAAGCCATTACTAAATGTTTAGGAACTTCAGAAGTGTTGGTGAAATGTACAAACTCTGAGAAGGAAATCATAACGGTATATTACTTGAATGAGCTGTCTTTATACTTGAGAATGAGGGACTATGAAACTCCTAAGTAACCTTTTCCCTCAAGCCATGTACTAGGCATTGTGATTTAACAAAAATTTTCTTTAGTGATATTATATATTTTCTGTATTTTTTACTTACTTTGTTGTTCATGACACTTTCCAGTTTGTCAGTACAGGTGGCTAAAAAACAGGTATTTATGCAATGGAAGTTTGCTCAACCTACCATTTTCTTCAGATTCAGAAAAAATCAAATGAACCCTTGTTCTTTGCCACATGGAAGGAAAATCCCAATCCCAATTTTGTTTTGGCCACAATTATTCTTTACTATAAGAAATAACTCTCTAACTTCATATCATGAATCCACTCTGAGGCTTAAATGAAAGATACCTTTGGAAGTATGGCTAAAAACCATGCCAAAACCCTGTTCTGTGTTAGTTTTTGTTTTTTTTTTTAAACAGTTTATCCAGCTAAACAAATGATTCCACAACTATATACAATTACATGGAGTATAGTCTTATCTGATCAGAATATTTATCAGATCAACTTTTTTTTTAAGCCATGCTTTCCAGTGACATAGACAACACTATGAAATCAGCCAACCTGCAAGTTTCATTTGGCTCACCATATACAGATGCCCCTCAACTTACAATGGGTTTATATCCCAATAAACCCATCTTCAGTTGAAATAGTATAAGTTGAAGATACATTGAATACATCTAACTTGTTGAACACAGTAGGTTAGCTTAGCATACCTTACCTGTGTTCAGAACGCTTATATTAGCCTCAAAGTCATCTAACACAAAGCCTATTTTATTACTAAGTGTTGAATATCTCATGTAACTTATCGAGTACTGTACTGAATGCATATCATCATAAACTTGAATAATCATGGGTCGAATGATCATTAAGTTGGGGACCATATTACCTAAAATATACTCTAGAGACTGTCAATAGGAAAAGATGCTGTTTTTCTGCTTTCACTTAATTAAATTAATTCAATTCAATTCACTCATTCATTCAACAAATATTTATTAAGCACCTACAATATGCCAGGCACTGTGCTGGGTGCTGGGGATACAACTGTGAACAAGATAGACACAGTCCCTGCCCTCAAGGAGCTTACAGTCTAGTAGTTATACAGACGAGTACACAGGCAATTACAACGCAGTATGGTAAGTGCCGTGATGGGGGAAAGACATGAAAAAGGGCACCTAACTCAGTCTCACAGGCAGGGGGGTGGTGGATAGCCATGGAAATCTTTTCAGGGTAAGTAAAATTCAGTTGGAGTATTGAAGGATGAGTACAAGTTACTCAGGTAAAGAGGAGACAGGGAGGAGTTACGCACTGAGGAAATAGTCTATGCAGTGCTCCATGTGCTGCTTTGGAGGTTCATTTGCTGACGGGAATAGCTGGATAGAAGTGAGAGAAGTCCTGGAAGAAATAAGCAAGCGCCAGGTCATGAAGGGGCTCATGTGATCTTCTCAAGAGCTTGGAATTTTTCCTGAGGGACTTGTGTGTGTGTGTGTGTGTGTGTGTGTGTGTGTGTGTGATTTATACTGTTTAAGATTGCTCTTACTGCAGCACAGAGATTGAATGGCGAATGGGATCTTGAGAGTTGATGGAAGAAAATCAATCCTTCAGCTTTTCCAACTTTATCTTCCATAATATCCCTGTACTCTCAGTAGCCCATCTAATGGCATTCATTCCTTAAATGAGCCACTGATGTGCATGGCTTTGGGCCACTGCTCACTCATATGGCTCTTAACACCTTCTCCTCCTGTTAAAACTCAACTCATCCTTCAAGGCCAGACTTCTGAAATCATCCTAACTTGTGCTTTCTGCCAATACCCTAAGTACATGATTTTTATCTGTATTAGAGTACTTATTTATTATTTCAAATGAACCAAACCTTCTTTTGAACCATGTTAGTTTAATTCATACATAAGGTGATTTTTATAAATAAACATGAGTATAATTTTCTTTACAATTTCCAGTTGAAAACAAAGACTAATTCTTCATTTGTTATCTACCCCAAGCTATTATGAATGCCTTCATATGATTTAAAGGGAACAATAGGAATAAGGGAAGAAGCCCAAGAGACACATAATTTTATGCAGCAAAATACAGTCAAGTAAAATTTCAACACACAATTACAAGGTATGTTGTTGTTAGGACAGTGATTCATTCCCCAACTCAAAGACTCCATCTTTGACAGTTTAATCTGTTAATGAGTCAAAGATCTGAAAAGGAGGGGTAGCTTAGTATGCAAAAAATAATGAGGGCTAGCTACATTTTCCACTATGGCCCACCACTAATACAATCTCTCTTATAGTCTTATAATTTCTCAAATAACTTTTATAACGATAAGAAAAAACTTTTAAGCTCTGTAGATATTGTAAGAACATCTGCTGTTTTATTCTTTTTGGTGGGTACAAAAACCACAATGTTGTACACAGAATGAGATTATAAATAATACCATTAACATGAGTGACCTGTCATCTCTTTCGAGTCTACACCGCAGACTGATGATTGAACCTAAACGTTTTCTTCCTTTTGCTTTTCTTCCTGGTTGTGAGACAAATGCAATCGGTGAATCGACTCATGTGACATAGTGAAGGTTACAGCAAACAAGAAGATGACCAACAACTTTTATAAAAAAAAGTCTCTAAAGTTTATTACAGTGATGGCATTTATATCAATTATTGCAATGTATTGTTCCCTAAGATGGTTAGAAAAAAGAATTGTGTTGTCCTCTACTGAATTTACGTCAGTTAAAAAGCAAGCATGTTTCAGTATTTGTTTTCTCCAAAGTAAGTGTACATACTTCCTTTATTTTTTTTTCCCACAGGTTTTACATGTTTGTTCATTATTTTCTTATCACAGTTTAGTGATTTGTTTTCTCAGCTGGATTTTCTTCCATGGACTATATGGATGTTCTGGAGACACAGGTTAGCATGTTCACGGACTTCTACAACTATTTTATCCTTTCCGGTGAAGACAAAGGCCTTTCTGAGCAAGAACTTCACAGTTTAATGCGCTAACTCATAAGTCTGATTAGTTTTTGAGTCCACTCGAATGAAATTTGTTGCTGTTAATACACCCATCCCAGATCCCTCCCCCACCCACTCCCCGAAAAAAACCTCAATTGTGAGTTTTCCTGATATAAAATCTGAGTTTGGGTTTCCGAGCTGAGCTCATGCACACGTTGCTGCTGCTGATGTCCGGCCAGCGCGTTAGGACGGACTTCCCGCTCTCAGCCAAAGGATTGGTTTAGCAAAGACCCGCGCGTGGCGTGTCCCTCAGGGCTGCGTTTCCACCAGTCACCAACAGTTTAATTAAGGCACTCAATTATTTTTTTGGTTTTTATGGTAGGTCCGATGCAATGACAGCCAATCCTGAACTTTGTCTGATTGCAGTTCCAGTGTGTACAGCCTTTGGGCAGTCAGGCGTCAAGACGCGGCCATTCTCTCCCACACTCCCAGTGATGGATAATCTGGCTTTGTTTCTTATGGCTTCAGAAAAGGTCAGCTGGGTTGCATGGAAAGGAAGCAGAAAGAACGCGGAGTGTTACCATATTTCTGTTTCTTCAACAATATGTTCCACAACAAACACCGAAATATAAATAATTAGACATCTGCATTTTTTCCATGTTCTTTTGGTCATATGAAAACTGCTTATCCAGGGAAAGGAAAGCTTAACTACACCGAAGAATGAATCTGTCTAGAGTTTGTGGTCCTACTTGTGGAAAAACTAATTCTAAAATTATAATATTTAACTACTGTTAGTAAATCTGGGCAGGAAACATCTTTTAACTTGCTGCACTGTATATCTTAGTACTTCTGGATGAGCTTAAAAGCTCTTTTATGTTTGACAACATTCTTTAAATAGTATTTCCTTGTCATGAAATGTCTTTACAGTGCAAGGATTAAACTACCAGAACTAATGAAGTACCTAAACAAACGATATGTATAGACTATTCATGACAGATCTTCCTGTTTTATAACACAGACCTATCCACAGACACTTCATTCATTCACACCAGTTATAGACATGACCCAGAACAGCACAATTAGTGACATATAGTTCACTCTATGCTATTATGGACACTAAGGCTCATATTTTAAGAACTGTATTTAAAAGGGGTGCACTGAAAAGGGATATGTTTCAAAGCCTACTGAATGGTCATGACTGGGGAACCTCCCATATTGAGGTTATAGAGTCAGGGATCTGAAATCAGTAAATTCCTGCTCCTTATCACATTACATAGCAGATAACATTACACAAAGGAGAAACAGGCACTGTTATTATGTTAGTCTCATTACTGTTCATTCACTGTCTAAATTCTTTCTAGTAGCTAGAATTATAACTTAAGAGGAAAATAGGGTAAAGGAGTGATTCCCTGAGTTTGTTATGACTTAGTTCATAACTCACAACTCAGCATGTATCTAATTCCCTGTTGTGAATTCAAGTTTATCCAAATCTTTAGGAAATTCCATCCCTGTGTTTATTCTGCCCTGGAGCTTAAATATTAGAATAATTATATATTAAGTAATGAAATTAGTAACTAGTTTAAAAACTGGTGGAGTAAAAATGTTTACAGATCAGTTACTCTGAAAACTTCAGAAAGTTGAAGTCAAATTGCTAGTAATGACATATAAATGACAAAATCAAGGTCAATCTCACAGTTCTGTTTCAGTAAACAGTCTTAAAAATTAATACTTATCATCATAATCAGAACTCAGGATATGGTCTTCACAGAAACATGTATAGTTTTTATATTTAGAAATCAAGGAAATATAACAAGGATTTTAGAGAAAAACAACACTTCTACTTGATTATCTTCTATTAGTCCGTTGAAATCAAAGTCCTTCTGTCTTTTATTTAGCACATAATAGGCACTCAGTAAATATTTGTTGAGTGGATGAATGACCTTATATAGGAAGATACTTTTTATCTTTCTTGTAAATGAAACTGATAGAATAATATACTAAAATTATTCATAATTTATCAAACCTGCAGAACTGTACACTAAAAAGGGTAGGTTTTATTGTATGTAAATTGTACCTTAAAAATGCAAATGAATACATTGCCCACTATTTTAAATTGAACAGAATTGAATTTCACTGCACCAGTGAGAAAGTTAGAAATGAAACAATTCAATTCCATTTGAGCATTTGAAAGAATCCCTTAATCAAGAACCTCACCCATATAGAATAATTTCACCAAGGGAACTAAAATGTGTACATGGCTGCAATAGTCTTGTTTTTTGAAGTGAGACTCTGGGGAGACTGTGTTATTGGAGGTGAATGTTTTCCTACTCAATATTAAAGTACATATGTTTTGGGTGTGTGTATAAAAAGAAGTATTAGCAAAGCAGGACTATTTATATCAAGAAAATCTAGCAACAAAATGTATTTAAGAAACATAAGACAAGACTTGGTATCAAGATGCTAAATAACTTTCTAGTGTAATCTTTTCCATTTTATGTGTTTTAGATGGACATTTTGGGGGTCAGAACCCTTTAGTGAGTGCCTAACTATATGGAATACTCCAGTTACAGCATTGGCATTTTCCACAATCTTCTAAAGAAAACAATTTGGGAGCAGATTTAGGAAGTTTATATTAGTTAGATAAAGTCATATGCTGATGAAAACAAGAAAAATGAATATCCACGAGTCTAATCCAAACCAATGTATTAGCCCATCTTAAATCTTTGAAAGAGTCCCCAAACCACTCAGAGTCTCCAAACCACTCACCTCTTGTTTAACAAGAGATTCAGGAAAGGTAGTTCCAGAGAATTCATAGGTATCTACTAATCACTAAATTTAAACAAAACCAAAATCAAAGTCTGAATATGTTTCCTTAGATTCCCTTTCAACATTTAATGTTAAGTAAAATAGACAATTATTTGTTAAAATCCACTAGTTTAGCTTTGTTTTAATTTTTCTTCAAGAGGAAATACTAAAATACCATTAATAAAAGCCTGGTAATTTTTAAAAAGTGTTTACAGAAGGCTTTTGCCAGAAAAATCTGTTTTTGTTTTCTTCCTTTTCTTGATCATGTTTGTGGGGAAAGGAAAACTTCCAAAGGTTGAACAATTCCATATAATCTCAAATACACCCTCCTATTTTATAGATTAATGCAATGAAGTGTATTACTTAATAAAACTTTGACTTATTTTTCTTTAAATCTGTTTTAGCATTTTTATTTCCTATACTTACATCATCTGTATCTTCCATAAAATGCCATTTCTATTCATCTTGATGTGAACCTTTTGAGGTTCCTCAAACTGGAAAACTTTCTAGTGATTTTACATATGGTCTGGGTTTTGTTGGATTGTTGTGGCTTATGTTCCCTTGAGGGATGATCACTTTTTAGTAGAATCTACCATGGATTGAAGGTGCCAGTTTTGTTTTTGGGATTCTGGGGCAATATTATTTTTGAATTACCAATCATTTCCATAATTATGGTCATAGAGTTTATGAAAGTTTTCCTTTAATTTGAGAGTACAATAAAAACTGCTTACTTATAAGTTTTGACAGGCACAGATTATTTCATTTATCCCAAATGCCACTGTCTTTTAAAATGTCCAATGAATGCTTCCTATTTATTTGAAATTTTTTTGTCTTAAATGTTCAAATCTACCTCTAAAGGCAATTCATGTAAGGAAATTCAATTTCAAGTTGTGACTCCAAAAACAATGTTATATGTAAATTGTATATATATGACGTGGGAATTTACATCTCCTTTTAATAACTTCCCTGAACTTTGAAATGAACTAGCATACACAGCATTTATTTCTAAAAATTTCTAATACTCTTTTTTTATTTGCTTTGCTTCCCCACCCTTGTACCTTGCTGATGATGGCTGGAGTGCCTTTGTTATGCCAAAGAAAAGTCAGTTTTAATGAACTGTTAACAAAATCTAGTAAGGACATCTTATAAAATTCATCTCAGAATTCAGTCCAAATAATTGGCTCTGAAAACTAATCAAGTATTGTTTTTCTCAATTTGAAAAAAGTCTCTCATCAACTCTGTAAACATTAAGATGAAAGCATTCCTCTAATGGCTAAGACACCTTGATATTATCCCACTTTGTAGTTTTGCTATCATAAGACATGCTAAAAATGTTTGGATCGAGTGAATTGAGGATTTAGTTCTTAATTCTTTTTCACAAAATTTGGAAAGAATCGTTTTGGAACTATCTATGTGCTATTGTACTCAGTCACTAATTTCTACATTATGGATGAAAGCAATTAGATCTTGATAAAAAGGGATGGCATTGGCTCTTTGCTTTAAGATACAAGTATTTCAAAAGCTTTCATATAAATAAATATAAAAAATCAAGCGTGTTTAGCTGGTGTAAACTCAGATGTACATCTTACTGAAAGTATATCGGGTTTTTGACTCTAGGGTACATCAAGTACCAAATATCTCTTGGAAGTTCAAAGACTCACTTATCATTGTAATGAAACTGAGCAGCCTATTCACTTAGCTATTATAGATAATTTTAGAAAATGGGTTTTAGAGTCCTGATTTTAGGAAGAGCAATAACAAATCCTTTCAGATCTTATTTTAAAGCTACTTCCTATTACTAGAGGAAAGAAGTGGACATTTAGATTTTTTTTTAAATCTCCAACTCCTATATTTTACTGAATGCTTACAATTTTTTATTATGCCATGATGAGAGGATGTGAGTAAGTGGGGCTAACCTGGATTGCTTAAAAGCAATGGAAATGAAAAAAAAAATAGTTTGTAATGACTCACTGCAATTTTTATCTTTTTCTGAATCTTTCCTATAGGACACAAATATTGCTGACGTCTCTGATGGAAAAACTGCTGTATTGCCTAAAATGTCTATTTACCTTAGTGATACTTTGAGCATAAAAGTTGAATTTCATCTAATAAATGTGAATTGTAGTCAAAATTCTGATGATCACTCTTCCTTAAAGGTCTGGCTCAAGGACTACCATCAGGTAAATAAAAAGTGGGATTTCATGTTTTAAAAATGTAGAATGATGGCTAATGTAAAACAAATTAGAAGAGGAGCCAAAATTCATTGAGCACATACTCTGTACCTTGGAGTTTTTACATGTATTGGTCCTCAGAAAACAATATGACTTTGTCAAAAATAGGCAACAGTCTGGGTTTTGATCACTTGGAACAGATTTTGTGCTTATTTTTTAGCACCTACCCTAAAATTGAACTGTTACAGAAAAGATTTGCCCAGTCTATGTGCAAGGAAGCCCAGATCTAATTTCCAATTTTCCCCAAATTTCAGGTAGAATATACTGTTTAAATCATTTCACAGAGCAATTCTGGTTTGTTTTTATCTTTCTGACCCTTGCAATGCAGATATCTATTGGCAACATAAAGTTTCAAACAGTACATCTGCAGCCAAAGAAAACCGAACCAATTTGCACTGAAGTTTTCAAAAATATAAAGCTCTAATTAGAAGCAAGCAATACCACCACTGGACAGACAGGTCACAACACTGCGTTCACAGGATGCATCCCCCACTCACTGTAGTCGGGCCTAAGTCCTACCCCTAAATTTTAATACTTTCGGTTCCATATACGTTGTAACCTTCTCTATAGGTTGCTAAATTCTGGGTATTCTGCGAGGAAGTTGGGTTAAAAGTCTGTGCACTCTTTGCCACCTTCATTCTCTTCGCTTCTGCCCTGGACTTGTAACAGAACTCTATCAAAGCCACCAGCATTGCCAAGCCCAAGCCGCCAACCAGAATGTAGAAGACGCCTGCTACATTGCTCAGGCTCAAGGCACTCGTCTTGTCCTAGGGGGGATAAAGACACTTCAGTTAACTGTGGAAATGTCACATCCAAAAGGTAAAAGAACACATGAAATCCAAAAAGCCAATGAAAGTAAATGCTTAATTTAACCTGAAATGATTTACAAGTATAAGTCACTGATGTAGGCTAATGGACTTAAACATAAATCTTATAGCTCTTGGGAGAAGTAAAATTATAATAGTTATCAACAAATTGTATCTAATTACATTCAATGAAATCAGTAACATTTTATCATTATTAAATATGCAATGAAAACCATTATACTTAGCCTTATATAAGCATTTATATATTTACATAGAGTGGCAGAAATGGGCTTATTATTATTAAGTTTGAAAATGACAGGTTTAAAAATCCAATTATGGGAGAAAGGGGACGTCTTTTAGCTTTGCTTCTATTAGAATATACTTTTAATGTTTGAGATTTCTCTTGAATAAATCCAACTCCGCATTTCCTAGTTGAGCAACTAAGGAGTTGTTGAGCTGATGGTTTCACATTTTGTTCATCATTAATTTACCAAATACATGCAAATAATGTGCCAAGGTACACATTATTTGTTCTTTCAGTTACATCTACAAGGGAAATCTCATGGAAAATGTTACTTTTGCATATTATATACTGTTTAGAAATAATTATCTATGTGTAACTCAAGTAATTTTTTAAGATAACTTTAAAAAATATATAAATTATTATGGTCAATTGAGAAATAAGTTATTTATGTATGGATGAATCTATAATTATTTTTATTAATTAAAAATACAATATAATTCCCACTTAAAAATGCTTAGTCCATTAATATTTTAGAGATATTATTTATTCTTCAGAGCTTCAGTATACATATAATCTCGTAATAAATCCAGAATAATCCCTAAGTCCTACTCTTATGATTGGAAGATACTAAAATTGTAACAAGAATTCAAAATTGTTTAATAAATTATAAATATGCTTATTACATAATGTTATTGCAAGAAGTATTTTGGTAGACTACCTGAAGGATGCCCTGTAGTCATTATCTTCTCAGCAGTATGTTTTGTGCAAAATGTGATTCAGACCCTTAACGAGTTTTATAGGAGAGTATTTAACTCAAAAGATGCACTATATACACTGTCACCTTAGTCACAACATCAACTGACTGGGCCAAACATTTTAGGGTAACTTCATTTTCAAAATAATTACTCATTAAGTATTTGCACTTGTCTGACTTTACATCAGGATTTCAGGTAATGGTTTAATTATCTGGCCAAGCTTGTCTCATTCCACTCTGGTTAAAGGGCAGACAGAAATGATTAAAATATAGGGATAAGGCCTGAAAGGGATTCATTAACATTAGTTTGTCTCCTTAAATTAATTGAGGCTCTCCTATTTAAAGCAGTCACATGTTTAATATCTTAGAATATCCAGTAATTTGTTTTCTTTCTTAAAGAAGATACAGAAAGAAATAAAAGGGGATTCCAAGAAACTTCAGCTCTGGCTTTCAGGTGCTGTTACTATATTCTATCAACTTGTGTAGGTATTTAGATTCACTGATAAACTTGTAATTTTTTTAAAAAATAAAAACATAACTATTTCCATTACTTTTATTTGTACTCAACAGAATTAGGAATATAGGTTCCTGCATTTTTTATTTTTTTCCTGCATTGTTTAAAAAAGAATTTATGATTAAGAGATCTTAGAACTTGAGAATATTATTCATAAACATTGATTAATTAAAACAATTTCAATTGGGCAAGTAGAATTGAAAGGTTCACTCTGTTTCTCTATCAGCACAGAAATATAATGGAGGTTCTTCAAACTAAAGTGGAATGCTTGGCACTATGGTGACAAAAGACTGAACCTCTGAGTAAGCATTTAATTAATATTTAGAATCTCCTTTTTCTGGTTTACTACTGATTTCTTGTTTTGAGAATATATCAGTTCTTGAAATAACATGATTTCATGAAGTCTTTGCCTCCAAAACAAACAAAAAAACTACCCCAAAAAACACTACTTTTATGAGTGGTACGTAAGTTTGAGAATAATGTAAAAGGAATTTTATTATTTAAGAATTTTTGCAGTTTTAATTTAATTTAAAAGTCTTAATATTGGGGAGCAGGTTGCAGTTTCCTGGGAAGACCATCCCTATGGTTGAAATTTATGACATTAGCTTTTAATTTAGGCAGTGGTTGAGTGTATAATGTTCAGTTTTTATGGTTTCCATATACTTTTGACAATTGCTCCCGTTTACTGCTTTGTGAACACAAGAGGAGGCCCCGAACTGCAGCGACTGACCTTGCTTCCAGAGTCCTTGGGTCCACATTCACCTTTATCGTACCACCATTTGTTTTTCAGCTTGTCTAAGACGCCTGCCTCACTGAGTTTCAAAACGGCAAGGTTTACAGGAGTTCTTCACGTGGAAAATAACATAAATAACATTATATATGTTATTTTATGTTATTCAAGTAAAACTACATTAGAATCGCATGGCAAAGTGACAGAGCAGAGGCCACAGTAGGTGCTATGTCTTGTACTGTAGGCCCAGGTTTAGAATCAGACATAAAACTGGGGCCTGCTCCATCGCTTTAGGTAACAGGCACATACTGCTAGGGAGGATTTTTAAATAAAATGTATGCAATTACTGTGAATCCAAAACTATTGGCCTTGGTTGGGTTTCTGGAACATTTACCATTTTCCCCACATAAATGTGGCAGCCATTCAAAATCCAGAAGCTTCTTTTTGTTCTCTTTCAAAATTAAGGAAGTGGCTGCAGGTTGACAGACAGACTGAAATAGAAGCTAGGTAGGACTGATTTCATTGCTTGCATGCATTATGATTCAGCTTATGGTATTTGACTTTATGCTATAAAAGTATGTCTACAGTATCCATCATTAAATTGACTTCTTGACCGCTTTCATCCAAAACCTAATTGAAAAAGGTGGGTGATTTCAGTGTTACAAAAGACCATCTTATGCAGAGGAAGGTCATCAGGAGAAAAATATGTAAATAATTATTTTAAAGCGTAAGCCCATGATGATACTTTCCTTCTAAATTGCAGTCTTTAACATAAATAATATCACCAGAAGCAATTTTCATCTATCTTGTCTATCTTGAATCTATCATCTATTTATCTTTTCATCTATCTTGAATCTTAAAGCATATTAATGTACTTTAAGTACAAGGTGAAGTGACTATAATATATTCCACAAATTCTTAGCAACAAAAAAAGACAGACAGGTTAGAGGTAACCAAGATTTTTCTGAATAGACAAACTCCTCTTATAAGAAGACTCTATTTATATTTATTAGAGACTCTATTTGTCTCCTCTACTATCTTTGATTCCTTCAACACTAAATATTATATTAGGAGTTTCAGGGAGGAGGACATCAGTCATTACCTGGCGTCAATATTCCAAGGAATTTAATAATTCTTTCCGTTTTCACTCCCATATTACAATATGAAGGCTAAGATGATGAATGGAAAGCAGAAAGTTTCAGGATCTTTTGTTGTTACCATTTTGTTGGCTTATTGGTTTTTCATTTCATCCCAAGACAGACTTTTCATATTCTTCTGGACATTTTGCCTGGTTGTATCCCCTAATGCGCCTCAGTTCTTCTAGGAAATGCTGAGTGCATCTGGAGTTACAAGACATGCATTTATTGGGAATTCATTCCAAAAACCTATCTATACAACTAGGAAATGCATTAAGAATGATGGTGATCATGACAGCTAAAATTTACTGAGCATTTACTATGTACCAGGCACGGTTAAAAGCATTTTTCATGTTCACTAACATCATTCACATTTTACAAATGAGGAAACCAAAGCACAGGGAGCTTAATTCAGCAAGTTACACAGCGAGGCAGTAGCCTAATCAGGATTCCTGATAGTATGATTTCATAGCTTTTGCAATTAAAAATATTAATAGCAGAAGACTCACAAAATGATGTTTCTAGTTAATTGGGCCTTCTGGTTAAACTAAAACCCATTTTTTTTTGTATGGTTAGTTTTGAAAAAAATTCTAAAATACAAATTTTTATTTTTGTTTATATGGTTTCAGGATATAATTTAAATTTTGTTTCAATGTTATATTAGTATGGCTTAGGTTCATTGTTCCACTGAAGAAGTAATATATATTTGCCATGATCCTAGAATATTATGTTGTTTTTTGGATTAAAATCTGACATGAGCATGATTTAATACTTTCTACTAAAAGCTGAATTTGAGGGTGGGGTGAGTTGAGGATTATGGTTAATTGGGGTGCCTGGTTATTTTAAACCCAGTTAATCTAGGTTTTCCTATCCATACCAACCACTACTCTCTGCACCTGACCCCCAAGCCCCATTTGTGACGTGATTGTTACAATAACCACAACTGTGGGTTTGCTAGTGACCTGCAAATCCTTTGAGAGCAGAAGTCACATCTCATTTATCTCTGTAAAATGGTATTTTCCAGAGTAGCTGACTCAGAGTAGGTGCTCTATAAAGTAGCTCAATTTGAAAAATGACAGAGCAAGATTTTTGAATCCAGAGCAAGCTTTTTTCTTGAACTGATACTCTAAGGGTTTTTAGGTCCCCAGGCAAGCTCCCCAAAGCCTTTGTAACACATGGGTGCTAAACTATATTATCCTATATTTCAGTTCTTGAATGGGGTGGGCTGGGAGGAGGAGGACTCAGTGCTGAAAACTGGAGGAAAGTTCGAGAGTTTCCTTTAAGTTTCTTCAAGAAGGGACAATTGAAGGCAAAATTGTGAATAAGATGAAGACTGCATTAGGCTTCTCTCTCCCCTCTTAAAGCAGTCTTTTCTCCTATGGCCTTCTTTTTCCCTCTGGCCTCTTTATCCTTTCTGCTATTTCACACCTGTAACCCGGTTTTAGAGGATTAGATTAACACTTTGAATATAAGATATTTAGTATTAACCATAATTAATGTTCAACTGGTGGACTATCAGAACAAGGAATTCATTACTGGGAGAGTCATTCTCCAAGGGCTAGATTCCTTTAGTGTTTTTTGTTTACTACAACTTTTTTTCCTTTCCATTTTTTCCTGCTGATGAATGCATATTTTCTGTACTAATTCCTTTATTCTTGCATTGGTTGTCATGGCTGTGATAGAGGAAAGTGGCTTATTTGTAAGTATAGCATCTATCAAAGTCAGAAATGGGCTGTATTCTTCAAAGGGCCAAATTATCAGGAAGTGCACGACCAAATATAATACCTAGAGAAAGCATTATTTGGTATAATAACACTTACAAAATAATTTTATATGAATATCCACATTTATGAGTGTGCATATTTTACACATGTAGAAGCAGAATAAAGTATAGAATTAACAGAAAAAATAATTTTGTAACTGTAATAATGGGTGATTGATGGTTGCAGCTGTTGCCAAAATTTCTAACTAGAACCAGGATTGAATAACTGGCATAAAAATTGGCCTAAAATTCTTTGTATGGTTTGTGCTTTGACTAAACCATACTAGGTTAACCAAAGTGGAGAATACATTTTAGACATTGCAATCAATATTTTTAAATTGGCTCATTCATTGTCAAGTAGTAAATTTTTGCTATTTTATTCCCAAGATTGAGTATGAATTTCTTATGACCATAAAACAGGACCATATCACAATAATATTAACTCATATGAACACCATCAAAGGATCAAGTTTTCAAATGAAGGAATTTGTACCCCACAAGTCATGCATTTCTGCTTTAATTTATTTCGTGTAAGATGCAGGACCCTGTTCTTCATATCTGTTGTTAATTTTTTACCTTTCAAGGTGAAGCCTCTTGGCTGAGGACTGCTATGGTCAGAACTTCACAGCACTGAGAGTGGCTGTCAGGTGAGTGGGGATGCTAATTACTGCACGGCCTGGAGTGTGACAGGGAAGCTGCTGCAGCGACCCCAAATAGTCTAATTGTTCCTTATATTAAATCATGAGCTCCTTGAGGGAAAGAACAGTGGTAATTCTGTTTCTATACAGGTACTGGCACATGGCCCCATTCAAACACAAGTTTAATAATTTGCTGCTGAATGGAAGGCTGGAGAGGTTACAGTCCTGTGAATGACAAGTGAGTCAGCTCTCTCACAGAAACCTTTCCATGTGTGGTACAGGTTTCCATATTTCCCTTCTTCATTAGATGAGTCACTGTTGGGATAGTTAGTTTTCTCCTACCAAGATTCTGTATTTGAAGGTCAGCTAAGCCAGGATTTCAGCATGTGTGTGCTGAGTTCTCTCTGTATTTTCCCTTCTGCACTGAATTGGCAGCATTGGTCTTTTCTGCTTTAGTTTTACACACAAAGGCTTTAGAGTCAGTTGCATTTCTCACTTCAGGACTTTTTCTCCTTATTTTACATCTTTTGATGAAGATCAGGCCAAATGGGAGGGGTAAGGTAAGTTTACAAAGAAAATCAGTCACCTGAAAAAGGTACAAAATGAAAATGAAAAAGCAACAACTGTCTCCTAGTAATTTATTTCGATTTAAGTTAGGTCAGGCCATTTAAAATATCATCTTGTATGACAAATGCAGAGTAGGGTATTATTAACATTTAGAGTGCAACAATCTATTCTCTTGATAAACCTTAGACCAATAACAACCTACGTGGATTTTTTTTTTTTTTTGGTATACAAACACATTCCTGGAGGAAAAAATAAAACATAATGTATTTCATTTTGGGAGAACATTTTATGTTAATTTTTTATAACATTTTGGAAACCTACTTGTTAAAATTTGAAATAGCGTTCATTCTAAAACATTTTGTAGTTCATGTTTGGTGAAAGTAATGTCACTGCATAACTATAAGAAGAAGCAATTCGGCTTTGGAAACTACAGGGTTAGAGAGAAATTTATTCTTTTGGACAACAAATATTTATGTCCAACAAATAAAAATGTCCATTATGTACCAAACAATGAGTTGGATACAAGCTAATTAAATCTGACTGAGTTGTCCAGTTCATTTCAATAAATTAGAATGACTTTTGTTACATAGATTTTTCTAACATATATATGTTTCTGTTATGCTTGCTTATTTTTCTCCAGAAAACATCTTTAATGCACGCTAAAATGGGACTTCATTATTTATATTTGTGGAAAATTTTATCTGTAAAGCAGTGTTTTACTTCTCCTGTATTTGTGATAATAAAAATTTGAAAACTAAATTTTTTCTAATGGAATAGAATATCTTTGTTTTTATTTTCTCTGGTGTTATTCTATGATATTTTCTGGTATTTCTAATTTGCATGAAAGAATGCTAGGCTATTAGTATAAAATTTAATACTTTTCTCTATGTATATATTTATATGTTTATGAAAACTATCAGAAAATTTCAGACAGTTGGAGCTCCAAAATATAAAATAAGTTATTACTCCTTAAGACAGTGCCTAGAATGGAGACAAAAGTTTGTCCTTCCTCCTGCTGCAATAGAACTAGTTATTAGATGGGAAGATGTAAGTGAGCTTAATTTGAAAGGCTTTTTAGATCGGGTGAGAAATTTCCCATCCATGAACTGTTTTCTTTAAGTCTAAAAATACTGATATATAGTGAAGAAGGGCTCTGGGACACTAGCATATTCTGTTAATTGCCTACTTTTTTGTTCTTTAGATATTGCTTAGAAATAAAAAAAACTATTATTTTAGGAAGCTGGAGTTAAGATATGAAGTGAAGACAAAGCTGAGTTGATTTTATTTTTGTTTCCTGATCATTTTGCAATTTGATCCATTTATGGAAGGCAAAAAATGTGTAGTTCATATGACAGCCTTTGATTTGTTATTTAACTTGAATAGAACCTGAGAGTTTAGATGGAGAAAACTTTTTAGTGGGCACCCTAGACAGGTCTATGTGGAGTCAGGTTATTGCTGATACTAAGCAATATTTGGTAGAAGTTCTGGTAAAGTAATGGTGAAAAAAAACAAGACAGGCTTACCGCCCTGCTCCCTCCCCTCTCTTCTCTAACTTGCTGTTTCAGAAACTTAACATCCCTTCCTACTTTCCAAAATTGAGATTCATAGACTTATAACGTCTGATCCACAACTTCTTCAAAGGCAGAGATTTTCAGTGACTATTTTCATTAGGTTTGTTAGTGTGTCACTAAATTGATAATGGTTGCAAATATTTTTGCATTGACAGTAACTGCATACGTAAGTTTGCGAAGGGACTGGACTAGCAATTCGACTGGTATTAGGAGGTCCAAACCATAAGTCTCCCAGCAGATGCACCTATTACTTTACATACTGTTTACCCGCTTTTGGTGACATTGAGGCTAACCTTGGAGTCACCTCCCCCGCTGCCACATTCTCCTTTGTCGTACCACCATTTGTTTTTCAATTTGTCCAAGAGGCCTTGTTCATTCAGTTTTAAAACTGCGAGGTTAACAGCATTTCTTGAAACGATAAAACATATTTTGTAAGAAACTGCACAGCTGTTAAGATGTTAGAAGGAATGAGGACTTAAGCTCTTTATAAGCTTCTCCCAGACGCTAAATAAACCTCTCATTTTACCATCCTGCAGCCCCTTCCTCTGGAGTCCAAACCAAAGGCAATTGTAACTAATTTCAAATGTATTAAACATGCAGTATTTGGTGCTGTTCACTTTCACAGTTCGTTTATTGTCAAATAACTGATCTCATCATCAATTACATGGATTTTTTTTGGCAAAACAGTAATAAACGGGAATTTACTAGTAATTGAGAAAGAATTGTGTCTTGAATTCCTTTGCCTCTAAGAATGCCAATGATCCAAAAGAGAATGAAATTAAAATTCATTCCCACAAGGAAAAACAAAATGGCATATACAAACCATCAAACAAGCCACTAATTTTTCTTTACTGATTCCCTGAAAACAAAGAGTAATTATTACTCCCTTTATTTTTTATGTGGGTTTAGTGTGCTCGATTTAGTTGTTCGCAGAATCTAGGATTTCCTGATCATTTGCTTCATGGACTAGAAGCTACATGGTAGTCAAGAGACAGCAGCAGCTCTAGGGAAAAATTCTTACATCTAAATTTTGTGTTAATTCTTAAAGGCATTGAATGCTATTTGGAAATTAGGATTACATATCCAATTTGACGGTTTAAGTAATTAAACCCCAGGATGTCATGCTGCATGTGATACTGACTTTGCAAACAAACCCACTAGATTAGATTTCCTCCATGTTTTTCTCTAAAGGGAAATAGGGGAGCTTATTTTGGCTATTCTTTAGGAGGATTAAAAAATAGTGTCATGGGCCAGGTGCGGTGGCTCACGCCTGTAATCCCAGCACTTTGGGAGGCGGAGGTCGGTCAGTCACCTGAGGTCAGGAGTTCAAGACCAGCCTGGCCAACATGGCGAAACCCTGTCTCTACAAAAAATACAAAAATTAGCTGGGCATGGTTGTGGGCACCTGTAATCCCAGCTACTCAGGAGGCTGAAGCAGGAGAATCGCTTGAACCTGGGAGGCAAAGGTTGCAGTGAGCCAAGATTGTGCCATTGCACCCCAGCCTGGGCGACAAGAGCAAAACTTCGTCTCAAAACAAAAACAAACAAACAAAAAAAAAACAAAAAAAAACATGTCATGGGCTTCTGCCTCCCATACATTTGGTTTCTTTCCTGCTTTCAAGTTACAGTTTTTAAATGACCCAATAGGTATTTCAAGAGATTTTTCCATCATTTAATAAAATTTCTGTTAAATTTAAGGAGTGGCTCATATGCTGAGGGAATTTGGGTAACGTTTGTGATATGCTATTTTATAAACACTGAGTTTGGTGATTACTTAATGGCAAATGAATTATAGGTAAAATAAAGCAACCATATTATCAAATAGCAGTTGAATAATTGATTTGCAAGCAAAATGACATTTAGCCAACTAATAAAAAGTGTTGCATATTTTACCACTAATTAGCCTACTAAAGTGTTTATTGTCTTAAAATTTGTTCATATTATTTCAGGTCAACAACGTGCTTTTCCATTTTGTGATGATCTGATCCACTTGGAGAGTAAACAGTTCTCATAAGTAAACCACACACTTAAGAGTTTTTAGTATTAACTCTTCTTAAGAATTAGACTGCCCATTTACTGAATGCTAATTAAATAATTAGCTACTCCTACATTTCCAAGTAAGTGCCACATTAGTGGTGTAAAATAATGCATGTACTTCCTAATGTGACAATATCAAGTTGTTAGTTTAATCACCAAAGGACCAGATTGAAATGTAGGAATGAAGATAGAGACATCTATTTTTTTAAAAATTCTGCTGGGAAAAAAGGAATTGTTTTAATTTATTTTGTGTCTGTGAGGAACTAAATTTGTCTTTCAATAAATTAAGGTTAACTACTAAAATTCTCTATTTTGGAGAAAATTATTTTTATAATCCATTTTATTTTAGCCTTAAACATTCATATGAAGATTTTTAAAAATGAAGTAATACTCCAATTATTTTCTGTGTTGATTTAGACCATTCCTCTGATAAAACTAAACTTATTTCATGAGAGGGTTATTTAACAGGGTTATTAACCATATCCAAAGACAGTTTCACAGCACAATAGAAAACTAAAAAGCAAAATAAAGGAATGGATAAGGAAAAAAAGCTTTACGTTGAGAAAATTGTTTGGAATCAAGCTTTCTACAAAATTATTCTAAAACATTGTCTTTCTAATACCATCTAATAGGCCATGTAAAAACAGTTTAGTTTCACACTGCTATCCATATATTTGTGTAATTTTATACACTGGACCAATAGATAAGTTACTACCCAGTTCACAATTAATCTACATGGTTTCCTTCCAGAAACATGTGGTCCCTCAATAGAGTCCACTTAATACCATCATATATGAAATTTACCTTTCTTTAATAATGCATGTTGGAAGGCATTTTGTAATCAATATCTGGAGATAGTATTTCAAGATTTCCGTGCATGTTAAAAGTGTCTGTGGTTTTCTACAATTGTCTAACTAAAGATGTAATTCCCTCACATAATAAGTTTAGGTCTAAAGGGCTCCTTAGAATGCTATTTAAACTTTAACATAAACCACGTATATAATGACCATTTGGACATCTGTTCTATTTTATAGAATGAATCACTTCTACATGTTATTAGTAATAAAAATCATCAATGACATATATATGTATATAATTACTTCACTCATTTTACTGGACTAGGTTGAAAAGTACTTTTTGTCAAGCTAAGAAGAAAGTGAAATCCTGAAGAAGTAATAATAAACAAGGCTAAGGAAGCCATAAGAAGTTAGATAAATGAGGGGTGTAGAAAGCAGATACTCGCTGCAGCACATTTTATTATTTTTTTGAAATCCCCTTCAAATATTTCAGACATAGACTTCAAAATTGATGTCACAAACTCATATTGATTCTAAGGGGTATTCTTGCCCTGATTAAGTATATCAGTGTCACTGTAATAGTGATCTGCCAAGCAGATAAGTGTAGAAGAAAAATATTTTTAGCTATTTCTTACATTAATTATTCCCTTTATTGCGTTAAATGTAGCTTTTGCAAAGTCAGTTGAAATGAATTGCTTTCCATTAAAAAATAGAAGAGGAGGAAAAAGCAATAAGGGACCACATTTTTTCTAGATGTTTAAACCATATTGGAGAACCAGATGTGTTGACAATGACGTTGCATAGACTGAAATAGGTTCAAGGTAATGTGTTTGCCTTTGCCTTGTATGCCTTAGCGAAAATCTAGGTGAGAAAATCCCTTCCCCAAATAGCTTTTCTCATAGTAATGAGATGACAGGGAATTTGATTCGGGCCTAGAATGAAAATGCTCACTTGATCAACTTCCAGGACTTCTGAAAAACTTCCAAAAGTTTTTATTCCTGGAATTTCCCTCAAATGAGTTAGGTTATGAAAATCCATACTTTACTAACCTAGCATTTAAGACTTACTTTTGTTAATGAGAATTTTGTTGAAATGTCATATAAAACCAAAGCTTTATTATGGGAACTAACATATGTAAATTTTTTCCATTTATTATTAATAATTTTGGGCACATTAATCTAGTGCAAAGTAAGATTTCCTTGTGAAAAGCATGCTTAATCCAGCCTAAGACATTTATTGCTTATTCTTTACCCCTCCACAAATAACTTATCATTAAATTATATAGATCTGGATATGCTTTTATGCTTACTTTTATGCCTCACTCATATTTACTTCTAGATCATATTTCTTACAGTATGATTTCTCTGTTGGTGAGGTATTAAAGTGTATATCTGATAAAATGTCAACCTAAGTAAACAGGGCAAATTTAAAAAGTTTTAGTAAAGTTTAGTTTTATTTTTCTGATTTCCTGGATTTGTGAACATTGTTCTAAAGGACTGATGATACAGCTTCTTAGATTTAGTCATTGTCTGCCCACAAGATATTCAGGACATATGTAGTTTGTAGAACAAATAACTTGCAGTATTATCTTTGGTCTGGTTTAAACACATTCAA
This sequence comes from Homo sapiens, assembly GCF_000001405.40. NCBI lineage: Eukaryota > Metazoa > Chordata > Mammalia > Primates > Hominidae > Homo > Homo sapiens. The sequence goes on along the minus strand of NC_000011.10, from coordinate 105,961,906 downwards.
TTCCATCTCACTTAATAGGATGAACACTTTATTGTTGGCTATGATGGCAATAGTATATGGAATTAATGCAGTTTATCTGTCTTAACTACTGTGTAATTGTGTTAGTGGATTATTATCCTTATAAGAAAGTATCCATTAGTTATACTAATTGAGTATCCCTAATCCAAAAATCCGAAATCCTAAATGCTACAATGTGCATTTCCTTTGAGCATCATGTTGGCACTTAAGACAATGTTTTTTGGAAATGTTTTAGATTGCAGGTTTTCAGATTACGGATGCTGAACTGGTGGTAAGTGTAACGCAAATATTCAAAAAATCCAAAAAAATCTGAAATCCAAAACACTTCTGGTCCCAAAAAGGCCTGTGACCTCTTCACTGGAGTGCTCTCTTCATACTACATTATATAAAATTTAAATATCAAGTGTTAAAATGTCCAGAATATTTACCTGAATGAGGCTGAGAGGTTTTTTCATAGTCCTTAATAAATCTTAATATAGTTTAAAAACACTTAAAAATTGTGTGACAAAAAGAAATTGTGTAAAAATAAGAACATTCCTTTAAAGTCAGCAAAAAACATGGATAGATAACTTATGCAGCAAGAAATTTAAATCATATAAAATAATTCAGCCTTATTTGAAGTTAAACTAAAATCATATAAAAATAATTCTGCCTTATTTGGAGTAAAACTAATGTGCATTAAAGCAATGCAAATTCATTTCTCACCATTCATAATAGGAAAGATAAAAGTAAAGATATGCTTTGTATAGTCGAGGATTTAATAAGAGGAGCAGGCATTCTCATTCACTGATGATAGAATTAAAAACTGGAGATCGGATGGGCGGGGCCAAGATGGCTGACTGGAAGCTGTGGCGTTCAGAGGCTTCCATCGGAAAAAAACATAATAAGCCTGTGAATCCTTCACAGGCAACCAAGGTATCCAGGCTCTCTCTCATCAAAATTGTCTAGAAGGCTGGCATGACCCACTGAGAGAAGGAAGAGCACTGTGGTGTGGTGGCCCACACCGGGAAGGGGAACCTCCTCTCCACAGCCACGGGAGGCGGTGAGTGAGTACGCTACCCATCCGGGGAAACTGTGCTTTTTCCCATGGAACTGTGCAACCCACAGATGGGAAGGTCCCACTCGCGAACCCACGCCACTGGGGCCTAGCGTCCCAACCTTGGAACATGCAGATTCTTACAGCCTCTCAGCTGGAATCTGCTTGAACCTACGGAACTCCCGGGGGGAGGGGCAACCAGCACCAGCTGCTGCTGCCTGCTGTCGAAGCTGTTTCAGCTCCTTGGGGGAGGGGCGGCAGCCAGTACTGGGACTCACAATTGCCTAACATGCTAAACTACCTGGGTGGGGGAAGGGCAGCACCCATTTCTATAGCTCCAGGCTGTGCTTTTCCCCTGCTGGAGCCAGGGAGGCTGGACAGCTTGCTCCCAAGACTTGTCCCCACAGCCCACTCCCAAGACTTGTCCCCACAGCTCAACACACCGGCTGTGGCAGTCAGCAGCCAGAGTGCCTCTTCAGGCCTAATCGTGACCCATTCTTCCTCAGTGGGCGGGGCTTCCCCGCAGGATCTCCAGTAACTCCAGCCAGA